>NC_000005.10:174549202-174852233 GCF_000001405.40 Homo sapiens | reverse complement strand
GCAATGCAAGCATTTGCAATGCAAGCAACCTTTCTGGAGTCTACTGCTATAGAATTGTTTCGGTTTAGAGAATGCAGAGGGATTAGGAAGCTAAGGTTAGGCAGGTCATGCAAAGTCATAAAGCTAATGGGATTTGAGCATGCTTGCTGGAACATATTACATATTACACTGCCTCTCTATCCCATCTGACCATCAGCCTTGTCCAGAGCCACCATTCTCATGAAAGATATGACCATATATACATTTTGAAAGTAAGCGCATATTTTCCTCTGCAAAATTGAGTTAAAAAAGAAGATAAGCACATACCAATAGGAAATCCCAAGACAGGCTATTTAGGGTATTTGTTAAAACACAGGCTTAGTCAGAGCAAGTTAAATCTCTCTCTCTCTCTCTCTCTCTCTCTCTCTCTCTCTCTCTCTATATATATATATATATATATATTTAACTTGCTCTGACTCTCTCTCTCTCTCTCTCTCTCTCTCTATATATATATATATATATATAGAGAGAGAGAGAGAGAGAGAGAGATGGAGTCTCGCTCTGTCACCCAGGCTGGAGTACAGTGGCACGATCTCGGCTCACTGCAACCTCCGCCTCCTGGCTTCAAGCAATTCTCTGCCTCAGCCTCTTGAGTAGCTGGGATTAGAGGCACCAGCCACCATGCCCAGCTAATTTTTGTATTTTTAGTAGAGATGGGGTTTCACCATCTTGGCCCGGATGGTCTTGAACTCCTGACCTCATTATCCACCCGCCTCGGCCTCCCAAAGTGCTGGGATTACAGGCATGAGCCACCACACCCCGTCTAGATATTTTTTAATATCCATAAATTCCTGGGAGATTTTATATTTGGAGAAAAAGCAATAATTGAGAATGTCAGATATCTTTGTCTTTATAAATAAAATATCTGTATGGTAAGGATTGCTATGATTAAATACCCATGTCTAGAATCATTCTGTTAGGCTAAAAGTTTTTCTAACATTTATGAAGGGTTGACGATTCAGAGGCCTCTCAATGTTTCTGATGAGGTAACGATGATGCTTGTCACAGGTGTTTGGTGTTGAATAGGACCAAATGAGACTGGGGCTAGGAATCAGTGCTTTTAAAGATGGTTTTGTTTGATTGCCACATAATTGACCAAGTGTTGAGTGAGAAGGCACCACTTGGCTCTCATGAGAATAAGAGATAAATATTCATCCAGACTTTACATTTAGGGGTGGTGATCGTCTCTGCAGTGCACACCTATCTGATGCCAGAAAGGGCAACAAGATTCTTTTATGCTGTGGTAATCAGCATCTCCAGTGAAGGCACCATTCAAAAGATGCAAATGTGCAAATTATGGGAGTTTAAGCAGGAAAAAAAAAGGAATTTAAACCCCAAGGCCCTACAATTTTGAGGATAACGCCTTTCATTATGGTTATTCTACATTAATCTGCCTCCAGCACTGTGAGTAATAGCGTTTTCCTCTGGGGGTCAGCAAGCCTGGGGTTTCCATGGGGACCTGATTGCTCTGTCTGTATGGAAACTCAGCTCCGTCAGAGGAGAGCAAAGTTTTGGTTTTGACAGGATGAGCAGTAACACCCAAGGAGATGTAGGCTGTTCAAGGAAGAGAAGACTGGGGGGTCCCAGTTGCAGGTTTTCTCCATCACCTTGCATGCTGTTGAATGAGGAGGTGCGTGGCTTCACCCTTTGCGTTGCATTCTGACAGCAAACCAAGCAACTGTTTGTCCTCTCTGGGGAGATGGCAGACATGTTCATCTGGTGTATATTCTATGGGGAAACAGACACTTTGTTTCATGAGAGTACAAATTAGTATCATTTCTTTGACAGGAAATTTCCAAACTGTAACAAAATTGAAATGCACATACATTTTGACTCTAGCTATTCTACTTTTAGGAATTTATTTTAGATGTATTCTCACACATGGAAACAATCACACAGGTATGCAAATATTTATTGTAGCCCTAATTGAAATATTAGAAGTCTGAAGCTAATTGTTGGACAGTAGGAGCTGGTTGTATAAAATCAATTCATCCACACTTTGGAATACTATATAACCATATATTTTTTGAATTGAGGTAGATCTATATGTATGAAATGGAATGATCTCCAAAGTACGTTGTTTATTAAAAAACAACAACACTGTATTGTGTTCCATCATTTATACTTTTAGAACGTGAATATTTGCAGTTTTGTGCGTGTGTGTGTATATGTAAATATATGTGTATATATATATATATATATATATATAGAGAGAGAGAGAGAGAGAGAGAGAGAGAGAGAGAGAGAGTATCTCTAGCAGGGCACCCCAAAACCCAGGGAAGCCCCGTGGGGTCAGGAGAAGAAGGAAGATTCGCAAGTGGCTTTGTGCCGGGGAGAAGCTGAGCTACAATGTGGTTGCAACTGAGTCCAATGTTGATCGCTTCTTGGGGAGATCAGGGCCTGCTCTGACCCTGCAGAGTCATGCTAAACTGAGGCAAGTGGGGCCAGCTTCTGTCGTCACACATCAGCCAGTCATGGGCCATGCGCTTCCCTAAAAAGGGCAATGCTCCTCACTCAAGGACCATTTCCGGTGACAGGTGAGCTCTGAGCCTCTGCAGCCCAGCAGCTGCAGCATGGACACGGAGGATTTGATGGAGAGGAATTGTGGGAATGCCACAGCAGCTGCTACCTGTAGTCTGCTTCCCTGTTGTGATTATTTAACTTCGGGGACACATGCCTTGTCTCTCTGATTTATAGGTATCTTATGCTACTTTGCTTTTCTGCTGAGTCTAGCAGAGAAACGGACAGGGTTAAAAAGCAAAAGTCAGTACATGAAGGGTGAGAAGCTTGGCACCAGAATGCAGTTTTTGATTCCAGCCCCAGTTCTGTTTGCACTTAGCTGTGTGACCTGAGTGAAAACCGTCAACCTCTCTGACCTTCAGTGCTCTCATTCAAAAAGCAAAGAGGGTGCACTGATTGACTGCCCTGTTCTCACAAGTGTGGCTTTTCTGCAACTCACTGTAACGGCGTTTCATTCTGGAGCAGTATGACGGACATCTATGGTGTTTTCTAAATGATATTGATATACTTTTGCCCAAATAAATTAAAAATCCTAACTCAAGTGAGCCATTTGCCAGAGCAACAGTCAGTTTTTAGAGAATGGGCTGTAAATTTGGGGGTTATCTTAGCCTGTTCAGGTTGCTCTAACAAAATATTATAGACTGGGTGACTTAAACAACAGACATTTATTTCTTACCATTCTGGGGACTGGGAAGTCCAAGATCAAGGCACTAGCAGGAAAAAACCTCACATCAGAAAAGCAGAATTAATTCAATAACAGCATCAAATATGCAATGTTCAGTATATTTTGATTGTCCCCAAATGTTCTCTAAAACTGTCTTCTTCCTTCCTTCCATCTTTCCTTCCTTCTTTTTGTTTCTTCCTCCTTTCTCCAGAATTCAGTAAAGGTACATGGATTACATTTAACTTTTTTATTTTTTTATCCCCCCTCATTAAATATTGTAATGATTCCAGACCAGATCTACTTTCTGCATTCATCTGACTATCTCCCCATTATTCAATTCAAACATTCAGGCCAAACATTTCCAATGAGACCACTGCACACGTGGCTTGTACACCTCCCACTGTGTCCTATCAGGAGGCAAACAATGCCAGCTCATTATGGGCAGTTCTAAGACTTGACCACTTGGTTCTAATTGTTACTTCATCTCTCTCTATTATAAAGACACATTTTCTTCTTCGCAATTAATAAGTAATCTGAGGGCCAGGCCCAGTGGGTCATGTCTGAAATCCCAGCACTTTGGGAGGCCGAGGTGGGCAGATTGCCTGAGATCAGGAGTTCAAGACCAGCCTAGCCAACCTGGTGAAACCTCATTTCTACTAAAAATACAAAATTAGCTGGGCGTGGTGGCACATGCCTGTAATTCTAGCTACTCGGGAGGCTGAGGCAGGAGAATTGCTTGAACCTGGGAGGCGGAGTTTGCAGTGAGCTGAAATCATGCCATTGCACTTCAGTCTGGATGACAAGAGCAAAACTCTGTGTGAAAAAAAAACAAAAAAAAAAGCAAAAAAACAAAACAAAACAAAACAAAACAAACAAACAAAAAAACAAAGACAGTAATCCGAGGGCTTTCCGAGGATGCAGGACTTTAAAGGCTAAAACCATCAACGCCCTTGGCAAATTGAGACAGCTGATCACCCTACATGCAACCTCAAAATCACCTATCCCAGGCCCTAAAACTCTACAAGTATTCTTCCCTGTATTTCCCCTTCTGAGATGCTATCAAGGTGGTGTCCTTTACTGCAGTGGGTCTTATAAATATTGCTTTACTTGATCTACAGGTTGCTCAGATGGTCTCTTTGGAGATTATATAGATGCTGCTATGGAGCCATGGATATTTTTAAATTAATATGTTAAAATATGTTACCTTCATCATTCACCTTGTTAATCAAATCAAGTGGGAGCTCCTTCAAACCAGCTGCCATGTCCTTCTGACATGATCCTGCTTACCTGATAGGACCTCCTTTTCCTCTGGCTCAGCAAGATGTTCCATTCTCATCTGGTCTCGACCATTTCTTCAAGAAAGAAGTTCCCTCCTTTTATAAAAATCTGGCTTGAAAACCCCTGGATTAGGGGGAGATGAAAGAATGGGGTAACCAAGTTAGTTCCTAAAGTGTTTTCACCATGTGGAAGTGCAGGGATAAGCTGGGGGCTCACCATGCTAGAGGGAGAACAAGCTTGTAGACGGGGCCTCCAGGCTCCTGGGTCAGACGGCTGTGCTCAAATCCCGACCCCGTGACCTTGAGTAAGTGCCACAACTTCTATGTGCCTCAATCTCCTTATCTGGGAAAACTGTAGTGCAGCTGAAAGCACATGGTCTCCTCTCAAAGAACCTGAGCTGCTCTCATCAGCAAGTACAACAATGGATGCTGACCAAGCATGCTTTACACATTGGGTACCCCACAGATGGTCGAGAAGGAGACGGAGAACAGGAGGCTCAGGAGAGGAAAAGAAGAGACAAGACTTGGCACAGCAGATGTAGGAAAAAGATGAAAATTAGAAGACCAGTTCTTAGTCTTGGTTCTGTCCTGGGCAAATCACTTCATCTTGCTGGGCAACAGTATGTAGAAAATGAATGCATCTCTAGACCCAGAACTGTGCTTCTCAAACTTTGACGTGCATATGACTCAGATGGTGATCTAATTAAAATACAGATTTTGATTTTGTGGGTCTGGATGGGGGCCTGAGGTTCTGCATATCTAATGAGCTCTCTGATGAGGCTGACACCGCTGCTCCATGGACACACTCTGAATGGAATTTAGATCAGAGGTTGGTGAACTTTTTTCTGTACAGTAAATATTTCAGCGTTTGCAGGCCATGCAGTCTTTGTCACAACTACTCCACTCTGCTGTGGTGGCACAAGCGTAGCCATAAAACGTCATTTACAAAAACAAGTATGAAGCCAGATTTGGCCCATCGGTTATAGATTATCGACCACTGTTGTAGTCGATATCTAGTATTCCTTCCAGTTTTGCTCTTCCTTAATTCATATTCAACGAGTCCTTAACTGAGAACCTACTCCATATCGCAGCCAGTGTATTATGTGCTTTTCCACACAGGACTCTGCTACCCTCAGAATCACCTGTAAAACTCTATCCCACACTCATTTTACTAACGAGGAGACTAGTTCAAGATCTCAGAGCATGGAAGGTACTCCTGTTGTGATTAGAACCCAGGTTTCCTGATCCCAGGCCTGGTGCTTCCTTGTTCTTTTCAACAAATCAAATAATCAAATGAAGATTGTTCTTTAAACACACACACACTCTCTCTCCCTCTCTCTCTCTCTCTCTTTCTCTTTCTCTTTCTTTCTCTTTCTGGTGGAGTTCTGCCAAAAAAAAAAGAGGACAAGTGATTGTTCACCAGCTTTCTCTGTTGGGCAAGGTTATCCCTTTTAGCCACACGTCCAAGGTAGGATTTTGACAATTCGAGAATTTTAAAGGAATAGAAGGTATAAAACAGATAGAAACTATCCTATCGCCAAAGCAGGTCATTTCACAAGCACAAGAAAATGTGACCCCCTGATTACCTTCTTCTCTTTGCATCCCAGTTCCCTTCTGAGCTTCGTCAAGTTGAATCTCCAAATGCCACGCGAGTCACAATGTAAAGGAGGCAGCAGCCCCATGACCAAGGGAAGGGAAGAGGCATGAGCACCTGGGAAGGCCGGAGGGATGGAGGTCCCTGACTGTTGCCCCTTGCTCAAATGCCACCTCTTTGTTCCTGCCATGGGAGCTGTGATGAGAGGAAGGTGCAGAGAGTGCTGGGCAGAGAGTCAGAGGAAGGCCTGACTTTGGGGTGCACGAGACAATCACCCAACCTCTCAGAGGTCGCACACCAGCAGCCCCCAGGTGGAAACTGACTCGCACACGGGTGGATTTGCTTTGGGCTGCATGCAGAGTGTTTTAAATCATTTCAACTAGTTGTCAAATATAATCTTCCTGTCTTGCCTTTTATAACTCACCCAGATGATGGATCCAGCCACAAGTGACACTTTGCACAGGACAACCGTGGGCCCCAGCAGAGGACTGGCAGCCCCCATGCATGGTAAGCAATCCCAGTGCCTCGCTCAGGTACAGCTCCCACCTGTTCCCAGGGGGCATTTGAGTTTGCGATCTCTGCTAGACCGGCCTATTTCCTCATCTGTAGAGTGTGGTGAGTGTCCACCCCAACTGCCTCATTAATTCAGTCAGCAAATGAGTGGCCACTGCCTGGCTCAGTCTGTTCCACAGAGGAGCGGGGAGGAATAAGAAGGGGGATGTGGCAGTCCTCGCCTCATGGGATGGACTGCCCCATGGCGACAGCCTAGTGAACAAGCCAGCCATTCTGGCTGCCACAAGAGGCTCATGAGTGGAGCACAGTGCAGACATAAAGCAAGAGGAGAGAGTCTACAGGGAGCAGGGCCGGCCAGAACAGGCAGTGTCTTGAAGAGAGAGAGGCTCTCCTTGTTAAGGAGCTGCAGTGGGGGCAGAGTGGGAAGAGAGGAGGCAGGGAGTTCTCAGCCAAGGGATCACCTGGGTTACAGAGACAGAGGCCAGGATAGCAGCCAAATGTATCAGGGAAAGCACAAACAGTCCTGTGGCTAGTTGCAGGGTGTGAGTAAGACTGTGGGGTGGAGGCAGAGAAGGCAGGAGGCTGACGGGTAGCCCAGCACGGCTGAGGATGGAAGGCCTTGAATGTCCAGCTGAGAAGTGTGACCTAGTCCCAAGGGCCATAGGGAGTTCTGGGAGGGTTTCATACATGGGAGTGCGGGGATGGAACTCAGGCTGTGGGAAGATCTCTCTGTCACAGTGGAGGGCAGATAGATGAGGAGGAAAGACAGGGCAGGGAAACCAGTTAGGAGGCAACTGGGTAAATCTAAGTGAGAAGTCAGGGAAGACAAGATTGTGACAATGATGGAAATTCAGGGACAGGACTAGGATGAGACAAATGAGGAACCCAGGATGCAAAATTTAAGGAAGTGCTGGCTCTCAGAGACACACAAGTACGGGTTGGGTACCTGAAACCAAGCACCCACTTAAGTGTTGCTTTCAGGGGTCTCTTGCTTGCCTCATCCCAGGACTGGCCCTGGATTAGCGGTGCAGAAGAACTCCGTAACTGTTGAAGCCCTGTTTTCCAAAGATGAGGATCTTCCAGGGTATCCTGCTCAACATGACTGACTTGCTTCTTTCACTCAAGGACTTAGGGACTTGGGTTCAAATTCTGACTCTCAAACTCATGGTCTCTCAGAGTTTTCCTCCTCAGTTGCCCACATATGTAAAATGGACCCAGAGTTTTCCAGTGTTAGGGCTGCTCCAAGTTCAGAGGATGTGGAAGCCCAGGGCCGTGGCTACAGCAGACAGCCCCTGGTGACCTCTGTCTTTGCCAACATTTATTTGTTTTGAAAGACCCCAAGGCCAATGGATCCTCTTTCCTGATCCACTAAGTTATGATTACAGAACCTGTAGCTCTTCTATTCTTTTTCTTCCCCAAGGGTTTGCCTCAGCTGTCTTATTAAATATGGAAAACATCTGTGCTTGGGTTTTTTTTTTTTTTTTTTTTTTAGCAAAAATCCCCACATCTGGAAACTATTGGTCAAGAGTCTAATTAAGTATGTCAATGACAAATTGTTCTCACAGGAAGTATTTAGGACTAGTGAATAATTGGGATTTAATGCCCTTGGCCTTTGTCCTTGCCTGCTTGTTTACTTATCCTCGCAGAGGTCGGGGAGGCAAGGCTCCCACCCCCACCCAGCCCCAGTCCCAAGAATCCTTGGCCAGGCTGCCGCAGAAAAGTCAGACCCACGGATGCAAGGAGCTGCCCTCAAGTGAGGAAGCAAGGGTGGAAACTTGCTGGAAGCTGGGTCTCTTATAGCTACACAATGCCCCCTTCTTACTAGAACCTCTAGCTCTTCCACTCAGGGCTAAGACTTCCTGCCGGGTCTACCTACTGTTTGAAGGAGATTATTTCCTTTCTTTTACTTGGACTTTTTTCTTTCAACCTTCGGAGGGCCCCAGCCCTCAGGGAAAATGGATTCTCTTCCCCTCCCCAGCTCCCAGCGGGATATTCTCAACTAAATAATGAAGTTTAATGGGCTTTCACACAAACACAAAGCTCTCTCCCCCCACACCACGGGAGGACATTTCTCATTAATGAAGGCCTTAAAATGATGTTCTCATCCCCATGAAGCTTCAGGAATGCTCTGCATCTCCTCATCCTTGACTCCCCTGGCCATCCTGACCCAAGATGGCTCTGACAGGAGAAACCACTGTGGACAGCAATTGAAGACCTCACACCAGCTTCATCAACCAGAAGGCAGATGGCAAACAGGGACAGAACCAGAAAACATTAGAAATGTATGTTGTTAAATGCGAGTTCTGAGTTGGAGACACTGAAAATTGTTCTTTCAGGTGCCTTTGCATTCTCTCTTGTCCTTCTCTTGTCCTTTTTTTCTCCATGTCTCCACTCCAATAGCAAGTCCCAGCTGCTCTGTCTCAGAAACGGTCTCCAAATTTATCCTCTTCCTCCCATTCCCATGGCCCCCACCCAGTCCAAGCCATCACCCTCTCTTGCATGGACGATGGCCATGGCCTCCTTGTGGCCTCTGGGCTTCCCAATTTGCCCCCTTCTGTCCATTCTCCTCATGTAGCCAAGTGCTGTACAGATATGGGGACCAAATTGTGTTGTATTGTAACCATAATGGGTTTTTGCCCAATGCACAGCAAGTCAATATAATGAGACACAGAGGTTGCATCAGAGAAAGAGTTTAAAAATCATAGAGCAGCCAAACAAGGAGATAGGAGGAAACCTCAAATCTCTCTCCCGAGGGGTTTGGGGGTAGGAATTTTAAGGGGTTTGGAGTGGGCTGAGGTGTGGGGACCTTTGATTAGTTGAAGAGTGCCAGGTGAATTCATGCAACAGGGAGCTAAAGAAACTGCATTCTCACACCGATTTGGTTCCTCTGCAGGGGTCTTTAAATTGATTGGCATTAGCTCTTCCACTGGAATTCAGAGTCTGAAGAGCATCTTAAGCAATTCTTAAAGAAAAAGCCTTATGATTCTAACATCAGAAATCCTATCTACAGGAACAATGGGAGTGCAAATGGTCAGTACCTGGTGCTGTGTGACTTTTGGTTACAAGGAAGTAGGCCAAATGGCAGCCTGATTAACACTTAATTATAAACATATTTCTGACCAGAGCCTGGCATATAATTCTTGTGAGCCCTGTGAGGACAGTTTCAGGGTCCCTGCCCTCTGGCAGCTCCCATCGCGATGAGGATGCATCCCAGGCCCCTAGCAAGGTCTGGGGCCTGCCCCACCTGGCCACTGCCCCACAAACATTTGCCACACCTTGGTGTCTTCCTCGTGTTTCTTACCATGATGTAAAATCACGTTCATGAGTTATTTGCATGTCGTCTGTAAATTCCATTAGATCATAAACTCCATGAGAGTAGCCTGTTGCTTTGTTAGAATGAAGCAAGCAAGGTGCTTTGAGCACAACATTTAAGGAGGTACTCACTCTCAACCACAGATTCTCTATCACACAGCCCAGAGAGGGAGTGCCTCCCAAAATTTTGTGTCTCAGGTGCCCCACTTGCCTCTCAGCCGTATTCCCAGGGCCATCCTCCTAGTGCCAATAGATATTTTGGAGATGAATTAATTCTGATGTTGTCAAGGTCAAGGGTGCAAGATTCACCCAAGTTCCCGAAGTCCTGTCCAATACACCCAGAGCATCCTCCAGTTTCCAACCCCACTGCCATTGGCAGTCTCAGGCCACTGAGAAGTGGCTGCTACACTTCCTTACCTCCCATCCTCCCAGGCCTGACTGCTCCTCAGTCTGCCACATGGCACTTTGCCTGGTTCTCCAGGCTTATCCATCCTCAGCTGGTCCTCCCTTTAGTGCCATGTCACCTTTGCATCCCCTCTTCCAGACTTTTGTCAAAGTGACCAAATCTGTCCAAAATGTAGATCTCATCTTGTCATGCTTCTGCATCTCCCATTGCCTGTGCATAGAGTCCAAGCTGCTTGGAGCAGCATTGAAGGCTCTGCGGGATCTGAGTCCTGTTCATTTGTTTGACTTCATCTCTCTTCCCATCTTGCCCTAGCTCCACGCTTCAACCTCTCCACCCTTCTTCCAGCTCTGGATCTCTGCATGACTGCCACCTTGCCTGGGATTCCCTCCCCTGGGGAATACCTAGCTATTCTTGAGGACCTTGCTGTGAAGTCTTCCTAGTTAATATAAGTTTCCTTGCTCTGGCCTCCCTCATTGTTTTAGTCCATTTGGGCTGTGATACCAAAATACCATAAACTCGGTACTTTCAAACAACAGAAATTTATTTCTCCCAGTCCTAGTGGCTGGGAATTCCAAAATCAAAGTGCAGGCAGATTCAGTGTCTGGTGAAGGCCTGCTTTCTGCTTCATAGTGTCTTGTCACTGTTTCCTCACATGGTGGAAGAAACTGAAGCTCTCTGGGGCCTCTTTGATAAGGGTTGTAATCCCAGTCATGAGGGCCCCTCCCTCATGACCTGATCACTTCCCAAAGGCCCCACCTCCTATCCCATCACATTGGGGGTTAGGTTTCAACATATAGATTTTGAGGGACACAGATATTCAGTCCCTAGCATTTGCAATGAACAATTCTTTAGAGTCTTGGGTTTGAAGTATAGTCTTGGGGCATTTTATGCAAACACTTTTAGCTAACAGTACGCTCCTAACCAAGTGGTTTGCAAAGCACTATGCCAATGTTTGCTTCCTTCAACAACTTAGTATTCCCTCCTTGCTGAGACTGAGAGAGAGAGAGAGAAAGTAATTTACAAGCATTGATATAAGAAAGGTACACATTAGAACCCAAAGCCACTGCTGTTTTGCTCTTACAAGGAGTATCCCCTCTTCTTCCTGCAGAGAAGCTTCCAAAAGTGTGGGGGGAGCAAGTGGCACACGACGACAGTGGACAGAGGTAGTCTTTTTAGGGACACTGACTTGGTTCAGGAGGGAAATTTTGACATTTGCCCTTCTCCTGGTCGTGATGATGCCATCAGGGTTAGAAGCCAGTTTGGCCCCATGCCTTGCCTCCCTTTTTAACACAGAGCAGGCCTCAAGCTCAGCACTTGTTTTGGTTAACAGTGTCCGCCTTGAATTTAATCATCTTGCTTTGTTTTTATACTGTTGTTTTTCCCTGCTACTTTTAATTTGTGGCCGGTGAGACAGCTTTCTATTTAGAGAAGGAAATAAATATTTTAAAATACATTTTTTCTGAGATGGAGTTTCACTCTCGTTGCCTAGGGTGGAGTGCAGTGGTGTGATCTTGACTCACTGCAACCTCTGCTTCCCGGGTTCAAGTGATACTCCTGCCTCAGTCTCCCGAGTACCTGGGATTACAGGCGCCTGCCACTACACCTAGCTAATTTTGGTATTTTTAGTAGAGATGGGGTTTAGCCATGTTGGCCAGGCTGGTCTTGAACTCTTGGCCTCAGGTGATCCACCCATCTTGGCCTCCCAAAGTGCTGGGATTACAGACATGAGCCACTAGGCCTGGCCCTTAAAATACATTTTTAAAGAAAAAAAACAAAAAACAAAAAACATGAGCCAATTTAAAGAAATATTTTAAGTACATAATGGTCCAGATGGTTCCCAGACATGGTAAGAACTGAGAAGTGATATGATGGAGATGGCTAGCTGACCAACAATTTGTTCTCACTTCTTCTAATATAGAATTGTTGCTGGGAGGCAACTTCCCAGGCAGGGACTACATTTCCCCACCTCTTTGCAGACAGAAGGAGCTATGAGCATAGAATAAGGACACAGGTGACATACATCACTTCCTAACCTGGCCCATTCTCTTAGTTCCTTCAAGCTGCTGTAACAAAATACTAGAGACTAGGTAATTTATAAATGCAGAAATGTATTGTCACAGTTCTGGAGGCTGGGCGGCCCAAGATCAAGGCACTGGCAGATTTAGTGTCTGGCGAGGGCTTCATAGCTGGCACCTTGTTGCTGCATCCTCACATGGCGGAAGTGGCAAGGTTGCTTGGCTTATATAGGCACTAATCCCATTCATGAGGGTGGAGCCCCCATGGCTTAACTGCTTCCCAAAGACACCAACTCTGAATACTGTCCCATTGGGTATTGGGTTCCAACATACGAATTATGGGGGACACCAACATTTGGTCCATGGGACTCATGAATACCCCCATTTGACCCCCAGGATCTCATCAAATGGCTACACCCAGAGCAGCCCTGGGGACCCTTTGGAAAATAGCAGCACATTTGTTTGCCTGAGTCTGAGTGAGCATGTGACCAGAGACTCTCCCTTTCTACCCCAACAACAATTAAGCTTTATGTGATTGAAGAATAAACTTTGATTGTGCCAAGACACTGAGATTTCAGGGTTCTTCTGCAGAGAAGCTAAAATGATTAAATGACTATGCTTGAAAAATAGAGTTTTAGAGCAAGATTCAAGAAATTAATGACAGTTTGATTTTTCAAAGAGCTGCCTCCTGTTAAGAGTGATACTGGCAAAACCAAACCAAATCCTGCCTGTTTCCTTTCCAAAGAAACCACGAGTTTGAGAATTTCAAATTATCAAAAAGCAATCTAGACAAGGGATTTTTTAAGCTTGTCTTCCTTTCTTCCTTGGTTTCTTCGTCTTCTCTTCTTTCTTTTCCTCTTCCTTTCTTCCCTCATGTCTTTTATCTCCTTTCCTATTTTTTTTTTTTTGCAATGAAATAATGTATTTGGATGAAAGCATACATGCGTCCCCAATATTCAGAGCCCACCAGTGGGAAAGGCAGATGTGCTATTTGGCCCAAGTTGAGATCTCAAATTTAGACTTTTGCAATTACCACCTGAGGAGTTTACACATAGAGCCTCAGTATGTATGTGTATTAAAAATTTCAATTTGTTAAATGTAAACTATGAAAATATACTAAAACTTTTGTGTAACGTTCTACATTTAGAATGCATAGGAACACACTGGAACCCATAGGAACATGGTGCAAGGAAGCTATCAGAAAGATACGTGTGAATTTTGTTCTGATTCACTTCAATTCATTTCCACAAGCAGATTTGGATGCTGTTTCTGCTCTGTCAAATCTTACAGATGGCCTCATAGAATGCTAAATTCCTGCGAGAAAATTTGCCGGCAAACATTCTTCCTTCCTCTAAGGGGTTTTCGCCCATCCTACACCACTCTTCCCGCAACATTTTGGTGCTAGTGGTGCTCTCTAGTGGCCAATCGGCCACACCAATCTCTGATTACTCAAAATTGGCTGGAGTTCAGAAGTCTTTCCTCCCTTCCTATTTTGCAGCTGGCTCCTGGCACGTCTCATAAAATGATGACACTGTCTCACTGCCTTTACAGTTAATGATTTCTCAACCAGACCCTGTGGGGATGTCTTCTTTGGATGGTGCCAGTGATTTTCACCAAGTTGTCATTCCCCAAATGTTGCTCCACACTTCTGTCAGATGGTTATGGTGCTAAAGACCCCACCCCCAGCATTCTCCAGTGGCATGAGGCCCTTCTGTTAACCTTATTTAAGGGCCACCATATGCCAGGGATTTGTCAGCTCTTTATATAGGTGGTTGACTCATCCCCAAGAAAACAGAGGGGCAAGGAGGTTAAACAACCCTCTCAAGGTTGCACAATGAGAAAAATGATGGCAAAATTACTCAACCCCAGCTGCCTTCCTAGATTGTTCTTCCCAAGCATTCCAGGATGATTGTTAAGGGAAAGGGAAGGGAAACAACATATGCTGAGTCTGGACAGGCACAGCACTGGTATAGACAATTCCACATACAGTACTTGTTCCATTAATTCCTCACAACCACCCACTTATGTAGCTATCATCCATCCTCCCATTTATCCATCCATCCATTCACTTTTTCAATACATATCTGTTTTACATTTGCAAAATTCCAAGGATTGTGTTAGGCACTAGGTATGCTGTATCAGTTCTTTTTCACGCTGCTTTGAAGAAATACCTGAGACTGGGTAATTTATAAAAAAGAGAGGTTTAATTGACTCACAGTTCCACATGGCTGAGGAGGCCTCAGGAAACTTATAATCATGGTTGGAGGCACCTCTTCACAAGGCAGAAGGAGAGAGAATGAGTGCCAAGCAAAGGGGAAAACCTCTTATAAAACCATCAGATCTTGTGAGAAGTAATTCACTATCATGAGAAAGGCATGGTGGAAACCAGCCCCCATGATTCAATTACCTCCACCTGGTCCTGCCCTTGACACATGGGGATTATTACAATTCAAGGTGAGATTTGGGTGGGGACACAGAGCCAAACCATATGATTCTACCCCTAGCCTCTCCCAAATCTCATGTCCTCACATTTCAAAACACAATCGTGCCCTTCCAATAGTCCCCCAAAGTCTTAACTCACTCCAACATTAACCCAGAAGTCCAAGTTTAAAGTTTCACCTGAGACAAGGCAAATCCCTTCTGCCTATGAGCCTATAAAATCAAAAACAAGTTAGTTACTTCCTAGATACAATGGAAGTACAGGCATTGGGTAAATACACCATTCCAAATGGTAGAAATTGGCCAAAACAAAGGAAGTACAGACCCCATGCAAGTCTGAAATCCAGCAGGACCATCACTAAACCTTCAAGTTCCAAAATGATCTCCTTTGACTCCATATCTCACATCCAGGTCACACTGATGCAAAAGGTAGGTTCCTGTGGCCTTTGGCAGCTCCACCCCTGTGGCTTTGCAGGGCACAGACCCCTCCCGGCTGTTTTCATGGTCCAGCATTGAGTGTCTGTGGTTTTTGCAGGCGCATGGTGCAAGCTTTCAGTGGATCTGCCATTCTGGAGTCTGGAGGACTGTGGCCCTCTTCTCACAGCTCCACTAGGCAGTGCCCCAGTGGAGACTGCATGGGGGCTCTGACCTCACATTTCCCTTCTGCATTGCCCTAGCCCAGGTTCTCCATGAGAGCTCAACCCCTGCAGCAAGCTTTTGCCTGGACATCCAGGTGTTTCCATACATCCTCTGAAATCTAGGAGAAGGTTCCCAAACCTTAATTTTTGACTTCTGTGCACCCACAGGCCCAACATCATGTGTAAGCTGCCAAGACTTGAGGCTTGTCCCCTCTGAAGCAACAGCCTGAGCTCTATGTTTGGCCTTTTTAGCCATGGTTGGGATGAAGGGCACCAGGTCCTGAGACCACAAAGAAGCAAGGCCCTGGGCCCTGCCCACAAAGCTGTTTTTTCCTCCTAGGCCTCCAGGCTTGTGATGAGAGGAGCTGCCATGAAGACTTCTGACATGACATTTTCCCCATTCTCTTGGCAATTAATATTTGGCTCCTTTTACTTATGCAAATTTCTGTAGCCAGCTTGACTTTCTCCTCAGAAAATGAGTTTTCTCCCACATCTTCCTGTCTTCTTCTGAGCCCTCCAAACTGTTCCAACCTCTGCCTGTTACCCAGTTCCAAAGTCATTCCCACATTTTTGGGTATCTTTATAATAGTACCCTACTCTTTGCGGTACCAATTTACTATATTATTTCATTCTTATACTGCTTTGAAGAAATACCCAAGACTGGGTAATTTATAAAGAAAAGAGGTTTAGGCTGGGCATGGTGGCTCACACCTGTAATCCCAGCACTTTGGGAGGCCAAGATGGGTGGATCACCTGAGACCAGGCATTCGAGACCAGCCTGGCCAATATGGCAAAACCTCATCTCTACTAAAAATACCAAAAAAAAAAAAAAAAAGAAAATTAGCCAGGTGTGGTGGCGGGCACCTGTAATCCCAGCTACTCAGGAGGCTGAGGAAGGAGAATCACTTGAACACGGGAGGAGGAGGTTGCAGTGAGCTGAGATCGTGCATTGCAGCCTGGAAAACAAGAGCAAAACTCCATCTCAAATAAAAGAAAAGAGGTTTAATTGACTCACAGTTCTGCATGGCTGGGGAGGCCGCGTGAAACTTACAGTCATGGTGGAAGGCATCTCTTCACAGGGCAGAAGAAGAGAGAATGAGCACTGAGTGAAGAGGGAAGCTCCTTAGAAAACCATCAGATCTAATGAGAACTAACTCACTATTACAAGAACAACATGGTGGAAACCACCCCCATGATTAAATTACCTCCACCTTGTCCTGCCCTTGATACATGGGGATTATTGTAATTCAAAGTGATATTTGGGTGGGGACACAGAGCCAAACAATATCATATGCCGTGAGAAACAAGCTTTGGTAAAAACCTAGTTTCTGGTCTCAAGGCTGTAATAGTACCAGGCAAGAGACAGACAAACTGTAAACTCACATAGATGTGAGGTGCTGCCTTGGGATGAGACCCTGATCACTGCACAATAGATGTAGGGCTTCTAAATCAGAACTGGTGAGGCAGGGAGGAGGGAACAAGGTAAGTAATACCCTAAGGCAGTCGGTAAGCTGACATTACTTAGAAGTAGTCCTTCTTGAGTATATTTGCCAGGCAGGATACCATGCGGATTGGGCTATTTAATCCTCACAACCCTCCTATTGTGGGTGCTATTGTGGATATAACCTCCCCTACTATAAGAGGGTACAGTTATGATCTCTCATTTCATAAGCTAGAAGCTTCAAGATTGTTGGGGTTAAATAACCTTCCCAGGGACATAGGGCTTTTTTTGTGGCGAAGCCAACATTTGAATTAAATTCTCACTTGCTGCAGAGCCAGGGTTTTAACCTCTGGGCTATGGACAGAGCCAAGAAGGGTGGTAGAGGGAGGTGGTCAGGGGAACCTTGAGTTTTGTAAGAAATTTAACCTTAATATGAATATCTTTGCAAAGTCATTGAAGGATTTGGAATAAGGGAATGCTATCAGACTTGATTTTATGAAGATGCATTGGAGAGGCTATCTGAAAGAATCATCCATGTTGTTTCCAGTCCAACTATCAGTCAAAAGAACAGCAGAAGGGGCCACACCATCAGGTGCTGAGTTGGAGAAACTAATGAGACGCTCAAGTGTGTAGATCAGGCAAGTCACTAGATGTGTGGTCCAGAATGCAGAAAAGAGATGAGGTTGGTCATATAGACTTGGGAGTTGTCAGAACATAAATACAAGCTAAGATTGTGGGTAAGATGACTCCAAGAAAACCAAGATGAGAGCTGGGCAGGACAGAGCAGATCAACAAGGGAGCAGGCACTTACACAGGACACCAAGGAACAGCCAGCCAAAATGTAAGGTACTGTAGAACCAAGAAAATAGAGTTTCCACAAGGAGGGACTGAGGAGCAGATGACTCGGAGTGTCAGGACACTTGGGGACAGATGTGTCCATGCTATTCTCTAACCCCAAGTCTAAGCCTAAGAGGAAATCAGGATTCAGGGAGGTTGTATTTGGTTTCCAGCAACTCGCCCACCAAGAATTTCAAAATCTCTCTTCATCTGGAACACAGAAAATGATTTGCAGTCCTCAGATGGTTACAAGGGCACCGGTTTTTGCCAAGTCAAATTATTTGACAGAAATGGGCCGTGAAATGCCTGCTAATTGCTACAAGATTTAACAGGGAGAGAAGGGCCTGAAAACAGGAGGCGGGGAAGTGTGTTGTCAGTCTTTCATGTGGGAAGCTGGGGAGCTGGGGATAACAAGACATAATGAGCCTTCTTCTCTGAGCTCCAAATTACTAGGATCATTTTATCCTGTTGAAAGAAGGATGAAGCTTTTTAAAATGGGCAATTATGACATATTTTTTTCATTGTTGTTGAGAAAGCTAAACCCCAAAGATCGCAGCTATTTTTGAGGAGTTTTCAAAAGGCACTCATGCCATTGTTGAGCTCATCATCTCAGGCTCCAGGGAGAGGTTTATTTGCCATGATAATCCTGCTTGATCCCCTCTCTCCATACCTGACAGGTCTTTGCAGTGTTTCTTCTCACACATTCTAGTAATGCCCTGGAATCAGACCATGGGGCCCTTAAACCAACTGAAGGAAACTGTTACCAAATAACCAGCAATGCCTCTGTTGAGCCTTGAAAGGTTACTGAAAGTGTCTGTAATCTTACTTTGTGTTCCCTTGTTGTCTGGTCTTTGGAATGTATTCCTTAAATCATGTCATCTCCCCCACCAATCTAACACCTTCACTAACTACCCCGTCCAGCAAGTCTGGTCCAAAGGCTACTGCCTCTAGAATTGAATCCTCAACTCCTTGACCAATCTTATCTTTTCTCCCCACAATCATTCATTCATGCATTCATTCATTCATTTAACACACACAGGATGAGCAAGTCGTATGTTCTGGACATTATAACAGGTGCTAGAGAAGTCTGCCAAGGAGGAGAGACAGTCAAGAAGGTAGGAGGTCATAATACAGTATAAGAAGCTTTGTTGAGTTAAGATGAAGGGCTTTGGGATACAGAGAACTTGACACCCGGACTAAGCGTTAAAGGAAGAGGACACATATAGAGACATATTTAGACAACAGAAGCTATAGGACTTGAAGTCCTGGTGGGCTATGGGGATGAATGTGAAGCTCAGGTTTCAGCCTTAGGCAGTTAGATTCCATTAGTGCTCTGGTTTAAATGTGTCCCTCATATTTCATGTGTTAGAAACTCAGTCTCCAAATTTATATGTTGATTGGAGATGGGACCTTTGGGAGATAATTAGAATTAGGTAAGGTCATCAGGATTGGGGCTGCACGATGAGACTGTTGTCTTTACAAAAAAACAGGAAGAGAAACCTGATCACACATGCATGCTCTTGCCCTCTCTCCACATGATGCCTTCTGTCATGTTATGACACATCAAGAAGGTCCTTACAAGATGCAGCCTCAGGACCTTGGTCTTCTCAGCCTCCAGAAACATGAGGCAAACAAAACTCTTCTTTTATGAAATGTCCAGTCTGTGATATTCCGTTATAGCAACAAAAAACCAGACTAGGACAGTACTAAGAGAGGAATCATGGAGAAGAAATTGGTTTGACAGGTGGGGGAATGAGCTTCTTCAGGGACATGCTGACCAACAGGAGCTTGTGGAGAGCCAGCAGCAGGTGCCCTGTGGGAGGTTGCTTATGGGAATCTGCAGCACAGGTGAAAGGTTCAGGCTGGAGAGAGAGACAAGGGAGCGGTTGGCTGAAAGATGGGCATCAGAGCTTTGGGTATGAACAAGACAATGTGAGAAGATGGGTCCCTGATGAAGAGCCCTGGGGAACACCATCAGTTAAGGGGTCATATTGAAAAAGACAGACTGCAGAGGGAAAACAAACTCATGTATGGGGCCTGGGCACTGAAAATTCAAACCTGTGCTTTCTCCAGTGGGGACAGTCAAATAGCAGTGCTGAGAAGGGTTGTCAGTCTTTCATGTGAGGAGCTGGGGATAACAAGACATAATGAGCTGAGAAGGGTCAGCTTCATAAAAGCAGGGAGGAGATTTGAGATGAAAATGGCAATGACTCTCAACATGCTCCTTCCTCTTTATTGTGTAATAAAGAATTTGGCTGGCTTCTGTCACCAGTTCCTGGGAGGTGGCCTCTAAATCTTCGGAATTTCCCAAGTGATAAGAGTGTTTTTGTTTTGCGGTGGATCTCTCAGACCACACCTGATATGCTAATGAGGTGACTTAGAACGGAGACTGAGCATGTCAGAAGAACCAGCCATGTTGTTAGGGAACAGGAGCCTTGAGCCACATGATATCAGCCCAACCTCTAGCCCAGCCTAATAGAGAGTGCTTAGAGTTTGAGTCTCATGGGCAATGATTCAATCAATCATGCTTACATAATGATGCTCCAATAAAATCTCTGGACATTGCAGCTTGGGTGAGTTTCCTTGGCTGGCAATACTCTGTGTATTGTCACACATTGATATACTAAAGCGTCCTGACTCCACAGTGAGAAAAAACAAAAGCTTCATGTTTGGGACCCTCCCAGAACTCACCCTATGTCTTTCTCCTTATGGCTGATTCTGATTTGTTTGCTTTATAATAAAACTGTAATCACAAAGAGACCGCTTTCCTGCATGCTGTCAATCATTCTAGTGAATTGACAGAGTAGAAAGAACCCCCAAATTTGCAACCAGTTGGTCAGAAGTTCTGGTGGCCTTGGGATCCCTGAAGTTGTGACTGATGTCTAAAGTGAGAACAGTTTTGTGAAGAACTGAGCCTTAACTTGTGAGGTTTGGCTCAACTCTGGGTATCTGTGCCAGAAGTTCTTAAAAGTTATTGTGTTCCAAGGATAGGCACTAATATTGATGAGTTCTTTCTTTGGGCTAAGCACCTCACATGCAGTTTCTCACTTCATCCTAGATTCAAAGCTATGAGGGAAGTGCTAAGTATTATCATCCACATGTTACAGACAAAGAAACAGTTCTCAAAGTTAGGAATCCTGGCCAAGATTATGCATCTAGGAAGTAAGGGAGCCAGAACTGAGCCCAACCAACCAAAACCCATGCTCTTAACCATTCTACTAAACTTCTTCCCAGCAAGATACTCGTCTTCATGCTTGATCTGGGATGTCTAGCAGAGTAGTTAAAATGAGCTTATTCATTAATTTATTCAGCCATATTACTGAACACCCTCTGTGTATCATCCATGAATAAAACAATGATCTCTGGTTTCATAGAGCTTATATTCTAGCTAGTGGAATGAAGATCATGGACTTTGGCTTTTACTCTTAATGAGATGCAGAGCCGGAAAGCTATTGCTTGGTTTTAAGCAGAGGAGAGTGGCATGACCTAATTTATATTGTAAAAGAATCACTCTGGCTGCTGCACTGAGTATAGTCTTGTGTGGGCAAGAGTAGAGTCAAGGAACCCTGTAGAAAGCCACTAAAGCCATCAAACCAGAAATAATGGTGAATGATGGTGGCTTGAGCAAGACTGGGAACCCTGGAAGTGGTCAGATTGTAATAATAATAATTATTGATAATAATAATGTTCATAGCAGAACTAGCAAGATTAACTGATGAATTTAGGATGTGACAGAAAGAGAGGAATGAAGAATGACTCCAAGATTTGGGATTAAGAAACTTGGAGGATGAAGTTGCTATTATCAGCTAAGGTAGGGTAGCTTGTGTGAGAAGCATTTGGGGGCTAGAAGTGAAGGAGAAAAGGTATGATGTTTAGCTTAGATGGTTGAGTTTGAGATGCCTCTCAGACATCCAAGAGGAGATGTCACTTACACAATTTTCTATTCTATACTCATTTGTTTATTTACTTGAGAGTGTAGACTTTGGCATCAAACCATGTGGAGAAAATTCCATATTCAGTCCCAACCAGATATGTCATCTTAGGGAAGTCGGTGTATCCCTCTGGGCTTTATTTAATTTCCTCATCTGCAGATTGTGTTAACAATTATACCTCCTGTTATTGTTAATAGGACCCAGTGAAATAAGTCACTGAAGCACTTAGGACAGCGCCTAGAATCACATGTAATCACTCAGCAAGTGTTAGCCATTTTGTTGCTCTTTGGAAAGCCTCCACTAGTGGACTTTAAGCTTCATGGGAGCAGAGCTCTTACCTGATCTGTAAGCACTCAGTAGTTGCTGGATGAATACCTTGTTGCACAAGATTGGGCCGACACAAACCAATTCCAAAACATTGAAAGAGGTTTTTATTATTCCCTCAGGTTTGACAATTCACTAAAATAATTGACAGAACTCAGGAAAGCACTGTCTTTGTGATTACAATTGTATTATAAAGCATACAAATCAGAATCAGCCATAGGGAGAGAGACATAGAGTGAGCTCTGGGAGGGTCCCAAACATGAAGCTTCCATGTCTTCTCCCTGTGAAGTCAGGACTCTTTAGAACATCAGTGTGTGACAATACACAGAGTATTACCAGCCAAGGAAACTCACCCAAGCTGCCATGTCCAGAGATTTATTGGAGTTTCATTATGTAAGCATGATCGATTAAATCATTGGCCATAAGACTCAAACTCTAGATGCCTTTTTACAGGCTGGGCTAGAGGTTGGGCTGATATCGTGTGGCTCAAGGCCCTCATTCTCTAATCACGTGGCTCAGTCTCCATTCTACGTCATCTCATTAACATAAGTTCAGGTGTGGTCTGAGGAATCCACCGCAAAAAACAAAGACACTTCTATCACTTGGGAAATTCCAGTGTTTCAGAGGCCACCTCCCAGGAACTGGTGACAGAAACCAGACAAATTATTTATTACACAATAAATTTGCAGTGCACACAAATGGACTTGGCTTTCAATTTTCTCCAACTGTTCCTATTTAGATTCATGCTCTATCGTTCTAGAAGCCATCTCAATACTCTTGGGAAAGTCAGGACTTTTGTACCCAGTCATGAATCAACAATGTGACATTTGATACCGGATAGCGTTTTCATGAAGCATTGAGCCTCTTACATCTTATCTTATTTTGAGTGTCATTATCCGTGACACACTTTAATGGTGAAACAACAGCTGTATAAAATTCAGCCAAGCTCATTTTGAAAAAAAAAAAAAAAAGAGCCACTGGAATCAGTGATTCACGTCTGATTTGGAGTCTTCGTTAGATGAGCTTTCCTCTAGAAACAGCAATCTCATTTAGTCATTTGGACTCAAAACTTTGCAGTCGCAAAATATAAGGTATCATCTGGCACAAATGTCTTATTTTACTGATGAAACTGATGCCTAGAAAAGGGAAGCAAATTTCCAATGTCATACCATGAGTTGAGGAAGCACCAGAACGCTTCACAGGCTGAGAAACTCAGGGGAAAATAAAATGAGATCAGATGGCCCAGAAAGTATTAATAGAAAAATTTGCCTCTGCTTCTCATTGCCAGGAATGGGGAGGAGGTGCTCTCACACCCGTGTTTTCCATTAATTTTAAAGTTGACAAGTAATACGTGAATATTCCCCTAACTATTTTTACACTGCACATGAAGCTGATGTCTCCTCTGGCCACCACACTTAAACCCACTTTTCTTTTATTTCTGAGACAGAGTCTCACACTGTCGCCCAGGCTGGAGTGCAGTGGTGTGATCTCAGCTCACTGCAACCTCCACCTCCTGGGTTCAAGCGATTCTCCTGCCTCAGCCTCCTGAGTAGCTGGGATTACAGGCATGTGCCACCACGCTCAGCTAATTTTTTTTTTATATTTAGTAGAGATGGGATTTCACCGTGTTAGCCAGGATGGTCTTGATCTCCTGATCTCGTGATCTGCCCACTTCGGCCTCCCAAAGTGCTCGGATTACAGGCATGAGCCGCTGCGCCCGGCCCCACTTTTCTTTGTGTCTCCCCATGAGAATTCACTGTCATCAATTTAGTGTGTCTCCTTCCCAAAGCTTCCCTCTATCATTACAAACATATGCGTGATTACCCATAAAAGTATATTAGTATTGTTTAGTGTAACCTATTTATATAAATAGTACCATATTCTTTGTATTATTTTGCAAGTTGTTTTTTCACCCTCAGCCGTGTAACTTTAGAGTTCTTTCTGTATAAGTACATGTAGATCTATCTCGTTCTTTTTAATTGGTATGTCATAGTTATTCATGTGAGTCTATCATGATGTATTTATATGTTCCTCTATTGAAGGACATTTAGGTAATTCCAAATTTCTTCTATTACCCCCAGTACTGTTTTAAAAATTCTCCCATTTGCTTCCTGGTGTGCACGTGAGACAACTTCTCTGAGGAAGATGGGAAGGAGAACTGCTGGCCATAGGGTGTGGACATTTTTAGCTTTCTAGATGCTGCCAAATTTGTTCTCTAGAAATTTGTTGGAAACAACACTCCCACCCATGGTTTACCCACTTCTCCACACCCTCACCAACACTGAACAGTATCAAACTCCCATTTGTAGGAAAAAGTGTTGCCTTGATTTAGACTTTCCCAGCTGCTAGGGAGTCTGAGCATTTTTTATGATGCTCAAATGTGTCTCCTTGTATGTAAATTGCTTGTTAATAGCCTTTGCACATTTTTCCACTGGGCTATTTGACTTTTCTCCCAACAATATTTTAAAGGAAATTAAAGCGCTTAAGCCCTGCTGAAATTTGAAGTGAATCATAGCTCAAAAATCTCATGCTGCACGAAAGAACGATTTGAAATGTTATTTTTAAAGGGTGGGGTGTTGAGGCTTGATGGAGAAATGTGGATGACAGGCAGATCCAAAATGAAAGAGGCCTCATGGAAACTGGATGCAGGAACTGGAGTGGAGGGTGTGAGAGCCTCGAGTAAAATTCGTAAATCCCTCCGCTGATAACCACAGGCTGGTGCTAAGGCACACAGAACATGGGCATGCTCAGCTGGTAGAGACCCCTGTCCATAAAACAATGATAAATATTCCATTAATAACTTTTATATTGATCACACATTGAAATGATAGCCTGCTGGATATATTAGGTTAAATAAAATATATTACTAAAATTAATTTTACCTGTTTCATTTTACCTTTTTTTTTTATTTTTATTTTTATTTTTTTGAGACGAAGTTTCACTCTTGTCACCCAGGCTGGAGTGCAGTGGCACCACCTCGGCTCACTGCAACCTCCGCCTCTCAGGTTCAAGCGATTCTCCTGCCTCAGCCTCCTGAGTAGCTGGGATTACAGGTGCCCACCACCACACCCGGCGAATTTTTTGTATTTTTAGTAGAGATAGGGTTTCACCATGTTGGCCAGACTGGTCATGAACTCCTGACCTCAGGTGATCCACCTGCCTCAGCCTCCCAAAGTGCAGGGATGACAGGCATGAGCCACCGCACCCGGCCTCATTTTAACTTTTAATGAGATTGCCAAAAAGCTGGAAATGATCTATGTGGTTCATGTTATGCTCCTGTTGCATGATAGTGGTCTAGGAGACAGGGACAACTAAGCTCCCCATCCCAGCACTTCAATAAGAAATACCATGTGTGCTCAGGATGGCATGCAGGGGAGCCAAACTCATGCATTTCTTTTTATGTGGAAACTCAGATATTAAAGGTGACAACGCAGGACCTCACTCTGCCTCTCACACCTCATGGAGGGTTGAGATGTCAACTCTTCCCAAGTTCATTCAAAAGTAGTTTATATTAGACCTGGAGACAAGACATTTACATCCAGACCTCCTCCATTCTCAGGACTTTTATTTGTCAGACTTTAGGTACAGCAGAGCTGGAGCTTCACCTCCCTCCTCACCCGGGCCCTGAGGATTCTTCAGGATTGGTCTTTTGCTATTACGTTTTCATCACCCAGATCATTCGGTTTTATTTGTCAAACACAATTGCTTTGGACTCCACCAGTTTACCACAGAGGACTCCTGCAAAAGGGGAAAAAAAACTCAAAATGGCTTAAAATTTTTACAAAATCAGGGGAAGAGGGATCTTTATTGGCTCTGGGACTCGTCTTCTAGGGCTGCCATAAAAATTTACCCTCTCATAGTTCCAGAAGCCAGAAGTGCAAAATCAAGGTGTCAGCAGGGTCATGCTCCCTCCAAAGGCTCTCGAGAAGCATCCATTCAGTGCCTCTTCCAGTGCCTGGCGGAGCCAGGCACTCCCTGGCTTGGGACGGCATCACTCCAGTCTCTGCCTCCATCAACACATGGCCTTCTTCTGTGTCTCTGTGTGCCCGTCTCTGTCTCTTATTAGGACAGAATAAGAGTGCTGGCCTTCCTATCCTCTCACTGGATTTAGGGCCCACCTTTTCCAGTGTGATCTCGTCTTGATCCTTACCTTAATTATGTCTGGAAAAAAAAAAAAGCAAAAACTATTTCCAAATAAGATAACATTCTGAGGCTCCAGGTGAACATGAATTTTTTGAAAGAGGTCAGTCTTCAACCTACTATATTTCTGTTTTCTGAAAAGTCCAGGGGTAAACCACTCAGGAACCAGGCCTCACCTTCTCCATACCTATGTGCTCAGCTCTGCTCCCCTCCAGGAATCACTGTCATTTGCAGGCTCCACACAGCGGCAAGAAGGTGAGAGCAGCCCCAGACTTACATCTCCCCTGGTTCAAGTCCAGCAGGAAAGAGAACCTTCTTAAAAGATGAAAAGTGAAGCACGGGGGAGGGAGTGATTCACCAAAGCCACAGGAATGTGCTGTGCTGATTGGCTCTGTTTAAGCCTGAACGTGAGCTGCCCCCAGAGCATTGCGTTCCCAGACAGGAGGAGAGGGTACCCCCCTAGATACCAGGAGCCATAGTTACATGAAGTGGGGATGCCTGCTGAGGAGGCAGACATTAAAAATCCAGCACAACCAGGTTGAGTAGAAAATCTCCACTGAGCCCTTCTTTTTGTCTTTCTTTCCATATGGTAGGAACATTTACTAAGGACCAGGTACTTGGTAGGGAGCAAAACTAAATGTGACAAGGGGCCGTGCCCCTGAGGTGTCCTGCAATCCAGCGGCAGTCAGGCTTGTTAACAATCTCAGCGTGGCACCATGAGTACCAAGGTAAAAGAGAAAAGGGGGGGTGTGGGAAGGAAGAGGAAGGAAAGAGTGTTCTTCAGGGAACTCAGATGACTTCTCAAGAAAGGCGGTGTCTGGCTGAGTCTAGAGAATGGGAAAGGACATGGAGGAAGAAGCATGAAGGTTTTGGCTGCTCAGGGAACTGTGGCAGCCTTGTGTGACTGCAACCCAGGGCACAGTGAGGGGGAGTCAGGCTGGTGGGGAAAAAGGGACAAGGGCATTAGGCAGGGGCATAACAGCTCTGGTGCTTAGAAAAATCACTCTGGAAGGGTCTGTGGGAGTCTAAGGGCGGCAGGGAGACCAGCAAGGAGGTGGTTAGAGACAAATGTGATAGTGCCTTAACCAAGGCAGGAATGGCAGCGATGGGTAACATAAAGTGGATTTAAGGTTATTGTTGGAGTAGAAATGGCTAGACTTTGCAATTGATTAGATATGAGAGGGAGGGGTGAGGGACAAAAAGGAGTTTCAAATGGGGACAGTTTTCAGTTTGGGACACTAACTGTCTTAGCTTGGGAACATGAGGAGGCACACTGGCTTTGGGGTGAAGACAGAAAAGTTAGTTTTGAACATACAGAGTTCAAGACACCCATGGAGCACGCAGGTGGGGGTGTTTCCAGGCAGTGAGAAAGGTCAGTGTTGGCAGGAAACAGAGAGAATTCGAGGTGTTAGGTATTAGCCGGGGCTATGATGTGAGAATAGGGAAGACAGTGGAGAACAGATGAGGCAAACCCTACAGAATACCATGCGTCTCAGGGTGAGAGAGTCAGCAAAAACTCCCAGGACCATGACGCAGCAGTGAGTGTGGGTAGAGTCAGTGTCACAGTCGCTGCCCCTAGGATGAGAAGAGGCCTTCCAAAGCGCAGGTCCTCATCCTGGGAGGGCAATCATGGATATTTTGCTACTTGGCCCATTCATTTCAATCAGATCAAGAAAGGAGGGTAGCCAACACAACCACTCCAAGGCGATGAAAGATAAGACACTCCAGGTGGGGCTGCCCAGCAGTGAGCTCTTAGCTCCTGCAGCTTCTAGGGGCAGAGGGGAGAAGGAGCGTGCTCTCCACTGACAAACCAAGAAGTGTCTGTGCTGGGGTCCACACACACAGAAAAAGGTGGGGCCTTGGCCCAGCAGGGCTGATGGATCCGGCCTATCCTTCAGCACTGGAGGTCACAGCGGCCCCCTAACCTTACTTAGCAAGCCTGACAGCACCTTTCATCTTCTCACCTGGGCTGCCAAGGCTTCAGGAGAGGGAGAGGCAAAATAGCGCTCCCCTCCACCCACAGGCTCTGAGGGGCTCCTGAGGGGCTCTGGCCTGACTCAGGCCCAGCAGGCCATCTCTGGGATTGAAATGCCATCTTTATGCTGGTAACTCTCTGATAAACATCCCCAACTGGAGCCCACCTCCAGACCCATGATGAACTCAACAGCTCTATGTGAATGCCCATTAGCCTCTCAAACTTAACTTTTGGTAGCTGCTTCCAAGCATCCAATCTCCCCTTCTTCCATTAGTGTAGACCCTCTGAGTTTTAGCTAAGAATATGGCTACTTAGCTAAAGACCGTATTTACTCCCTTGCTACATGTGGCCATGTGAGTTTTGGCCAATGGGACATGAGAAGAAGTGGCACCTGTGACATTCAGGTCTTGCCTTTAAAGAAAAGACGTATCCCCTTCATTTATCCTTCTCTCTTTCCCGTAGAAGTTAGGGTGGAGCTCAACCTTCCATTGGAGGCCATGATAGAAGCTCTTTTAAGGATAGAAGAGCAACAAAATAGGAGATCGAGTCCCTAGCACCGTAGCCACTGAACCATCCTTGCATAGCTTTATTCTCAGAATTGTTACATTACAGGGGGAGAAAATTTTAATTTAATCCATTGGTGGTTCTTGTTACACAGCCAGACCTGTACTGCAAGTCACAAAATGCCTAAACGCAAATTCCTATCCACCCCTAGCCCCAAAACCTGCTCTTCCTACAGTCTCTCTTATCTCAGTAAATGTAAGACAATTTTACGGTTGTCAGGCCCTAAATTTTTGACATCCTGGACCCCTCTCTTTCTCTCAATCCCAGATCCAATGTACCGGAAAGTTCCATTGGCTTGACTTTCAAACATTGGCTAGATATTTGGAGATCTTGAGGAATTCTTGTTGCTTCTTGTTAGTACAATAATGGTATGGAGGTAATGAGATGACCTCTTTTAGAGACACTTATTAACATATTTACAGATGGAATCCTCAGATGTCTTGAATTTGCTTTAAAATAATACAGAAACAGGGTGGGTAGCAAGGAAACAAGATGATCCTGAGTTGATTATTGTGGAAGTCGAGTGATGGTTACTCACAGTTTCATTTTACTATTCTCTTTGCTTTTATGTTTTAAATTTTCCATGATAGTTTTTTAAAATGTTTACAGTATCCCAGCATGTCCTCCCACCATGATCCTGATCCAGGTGCTCATCCTGTCTACAACCCTTCCCTAACGGATCTCCCTGCTTCCACTCTTCCCGCTGTTCCTATGCTCAGCACAGTGCTGGAGCAACACTTCCAAAGACTCAGGCCTCTCCTTTGCTCTAATCCTCCAGGGGCTCCAGTCTCAGCGGAAAAGCCGGTCAAGTCCTTGCTGCAGCCCACAAAGCCTGTGCTCATGAGATCACCTCTTACCTCTCTGTGCTTTTACCTTCTCTTAACTTCCCCTCACTCATCCCTCTAGGGACTGTCTTCCTTTGCTGTTCCCAAACACACCTGGTGGAATCCTGCCTCAAGGCCTTTGCACTTGCTCCTTCTTCCTAGGATGCCCTTCCTCCAGACAGCCTCCTGGCTCACTCCCTCACCTCCTTCATGCTTCCGCTCAAATGTTACCTCCTCAGTGAGGCCTTCCCCAACCACCGATCTGAACCAGGAGCCCCGTCCATGTTCTCCTTACTCTGCTTTCTTCTTCTCTCCATCACACTTTTGCTCAGCTGACATGCTACATGTTGACTTCTGTATTTGTTTGTGGTCAGACTTCTTCATTTCTGATCCTCCTATACCAGTAACAATGCCTAGAACCTTGTGCCTCTTGTTAAATAGCTGTTGAATGTGTGACCGGGTGAATAGCGCAGGGAAAGATAGAAATGCCATCTCGCTGTTCTGCTGGGACAGAGAGTGGGGCAGAGGAAGCGGCCAAGTGCCTGCTACTTTGGGACCCACCAGAGAAGAGCTCTCAAAGTTGGAACCCAGATGTCTAAAGTAGCTGATGGCACTACAAATGCATCAGAAGCCAGGGAGGGCACTCATCTGAGGGAAGGTGGCTGCGACCAGGAGGGTAGCAATGAGATACAAAAGCCTACGATGGCAGGGAAAGCTTACGTGGTTTACATGCTTCTCAAACCCACGCATGGATTTTTAAATAAGGATCAATGATGGTATCAATTCTGAGAGTTCACAGGTTCAAAAGGTGTTGCAGGCCCTGCACCTTCATCAGATTCTTAATAGCACATTCAATAAACTAAGCAGAGTTTCAATGACATACTAAGAATCCTAGAACCATGCATGGTGCATATGTATTTGCCAGGCCACAAGTCAGGTGGGCAAAATCGAATTTTGTTTACTTTTCTAGAATTGAACTAGAGCTCTCTCTTAAAATTCTGACTGAAAGCTTAAACTAGTCACCACTGGGAAAATTCAAGTAAATTCTGACTCAAATTCATTCAAATATCTAAGAAGGAAAGAAAAGAGAAAACAGAGGCAAGGTCACATATTAGTTTCTTACTGTTGCCATTACAAATTTCCACACTCTTGTTCCTTAACACAGTCCCAGTTTATTAACTTACGGTCCTGGACATCAGAAGTACAACCTAAGTCTCGCTGGGCTAAAATCCAGCGGCAGGTAGCTGCATTTTGTCTGGAAGCTCTAGGGGAGAAACTGTTCCCTTGACTTTTCTGCTTCTAGAGGCCACCCACATTCCTTGGTTTATGGTCCCTTCCTTCATCTTCAAAGCCAGCAATATCACATCTCTTTGACCTTTCTTATGTTGCAACAAATCTCTCTAACAAGTCTCAGCTGGAAATGCATCTTTACTTTTAAGGGCACATATGATTAGATTTGGCCTTCCCAGATAATTCAGGATAATCTCCCAATTTCAGTGTCTGTAATCTCTGTCACATCTGCAAAGTCGCTGTGCCATGTAAAGTAACATACAGGTTCTGGGGACTATGGCATAGACATCTTGAAAGGAGGCATTATTCTGCTTATTGCAGGAAGTGATAAAAGTAGTAATTCAAGAATTTTTTACAGGACTGGAATATATAAAAATAACCTTAAATCCATCCATTCATTGAACGCAGACTTAGCACTCACTTTGTGCCAGGTCTACCCCATGTCCAGGGATAGAGCAGTAAAGGTGTCAGCTAGCACCTGCCCTCTTGAAGCTTACATTGCAGAGGAAGGAGAAAGACCATGAACAAGAGAACAAATAGAAATACTAGGTGATAGTGGGCAGTAATGAGGGTTAGAAAGGAAATGTTGAAGGATGTGTGGAATACTTTGAGTAGAGAATGTAGAAAGGCCTCACAGAGGCAATGACAGGGAGGATAGGAAAGGAGCAGCTATTTGAAGGAAGAGCACCCTGGTCAGAAGAAAATTCAAGCACAAAAGCCCTGAGGTAAGACTAAACTTGGGATTTTCAAGGAAGCGAACAAAAGACCAGTGTGATTGGTAATATAATGAGCCAAGGGGATAGACGTGATAAAGGAGGGAAGAACGGTGGACAGAGGCCAGTTTTGCAAGGCCTGGCTGGCCATGAGAATTTTGTTACTGGTATACTGGAGAATTTTGTGAAAGGGGGTGACATGATCAGATTTACTATTTTTAAAGGTCACTTTGTCCATCAATTGTTGAATAGATAAACAGTGAGTGGTATGTCCACAAAATAAACTATCATCCAGCCATAACAAGGAATGAAGTATCGATTGTGAGCGTCCACAGGTCCAAAAGGCATTGCAGATCCTGCACCTTCATCAGATTTTTAATAGCACATTTCATCAAACTAAGCAGAGTTTATCAGCTGCACTTCTGGCAGCCCTGGAGGTTGACTTTCTCTAGATGTCCAATCAAAGGGACTTAAAATCTGGGCCACCGGGCACAGGTGTGAGTAGAAGGATCATACTCAACGCTAGAGGATTAGGTGAAAAGTCCACATGCTCCATGATGATGCCACCTCCCCCCCTCACCCCGACCCCTTTAAATCCTCTTCCCCCACTCAGCTGTGAGAAAAGCCCACAGCCAGCGTTATCCCTACACACCCACCCACACCCACCTGAGGCAGGAGATTATAGAAGTCCTCTCTGGAACGCTGTATGAACAAGGCTTCCATTGCAATAAGGCTGGGTAATAGTCCCAACTCTCACTGGCTTACCATCACAAACATTTATTTTTCATACTTGTGAGCCTGCAGGTTGGCTGGGGTTCAGCTTAGCCCATCTAGGCTCAAGGAGGCTCCAGACTGAAGGCTGGGTTAAGGTCTTCATGAATCTCCTCATTAGGGGCCAGTGGCTGCTTGTCTCATATTCTTATGCTGGATAACAAAGAACAAAAGGGCAAACTAAAGGACACCCACAAAAACATGGAAAGGCTTGGCTCTACATTCCAAAAGCCAAAGCAAGTCACGTGGCCAAGCACAGCTCCAAGCGGCAGGGAAGGGCACCTCTCCCAGATTCACGGTAATCCACATAGCCCAAGACAAAAGACACATGAACACCAGCAATTGAGCCCCTCTAGTGAAACAGCCCAGTCACATCACCCTGCAGCAAAACGTCTGGCCTCAAGACCCCTTAATATTTTCATTTTTTATTTTTATTATATTTATTTATTTTTTGAGGTGGAGTTTAACTCTTGGTGCTCAGGCTGGAGTGCAGTGGCGTGAACGTGGCTCACTGTAACTTCCGCCTCCTGGGTTCAAGTAATTCTCCTGCCTCAGCCTCCCAGGTAGCCGGGATTACAGGCATGCACCACCACGCCCGGCTAATTTTTTGTATATTTTTAGTATGAGACAAGGTTTTACCATGTTGGTCAGGCTGGTCTTGAGCTCCTGACCTCAAGTGATCCACCCACCTCGGCCTCCCAAAGTGCTGGAATTACAGGCATGAGCTACCGAGCCTGGCCCCTCCCCCTTAATATTTTTAAAATGTATTGAAGTCTGCAGAGAGATTTTGTTTATGTGAGTTGTATCCACCAATATTTAGAAACTAAAACCAAATGTTTTTAATACTGATTAATTCACTATAAAATAACAATAACAAACCCATTATATGCATAAATAACATTTTTATTAAAAATAACTTTTATCCAAAACAGAAAAACATTAGTGAAGAGAGTGGCATTGTTTTAAAATTTGCAAGTCTCTTAAGGGTTTGGCTTAATAATAAACCTAAATTGTCCTATTTGCTCCTGCATTCGATAGGTTGTGATGTACTGTTGGGCTGAAGCATGTGAAGACTACAGAGCTGTGTAGCTGGAGAAGAGGAATATTTCAATAGTTTTCAAACAATTGCAGATATATTTCTTTAATACCACATCAAAAGTGCACAAGTAATAGTTTCTTAAAGGTTAGTTGCTGTGCGTTATCTGAAACCTTATTGTTAAACTTTTTGTCTTCTGCTGTGTTAAAATCCATTGGCCCTTCTGGTATTTTGAATAAGTCTTTTACCAATATGTGATTTTGTACTGGTTCACAGAATCATGCAGATTTTCCAACATGTTAACACATTTGATTCTACAATATCAAATGTCAGTCATTATTATTACTGCTGATCTCATCAGAAAAGCTTAAGTATTCATAAGATAACAATCTCCCTCTGACAAACACAATTTTCAAAATTTTAATTTCTGTTTTAAAGCTTGAATTTTATCATGGGCGAAAAATACTGTCAGTCATTTTTCTTCAAGTGGTAAGCTAACTTCACTCATTTTCAAGATAATGTCTGCCAAATACCCAGGTCTGAATAGTTATTCTTCCAGTTATTCTTTCAAAAAAAAAATGGAATTCCAAGAAAAAAAGTAGCTAGTTCCACTTGCCAATTCAGTACAAGAGTGTTTTTCCTTGAGTCAACCATCATATTTCACCTGCAGCAACAGTGCTTTATACGTATTTTCCATTGTTGCAGACTATTAAAAAGATATTTACTCAAGATTTAATAAAACCAATATATTTTCTGCTTCATGAAGAACATTCCCAAGTGAAACTGGCATTTTATTTTTATTTTCAATGTGTGGCAATAAAGAATTCAAAAATATTAGTATAGCATAGTGCCTTGATTTGTACCAGTAGTTTTAGCCATTGTATTACTCCACGTTCTCCAGAGAAACAGAACCAATGGGACATACACACACACACACACACACACACACACACACACACACCATATTATAAAAAGTTGGCTTACTATGGAAGCCAACAAGTCCAAAATAGAGCCAATGCTGAGCTCCAGTCTGAAGGCAGTCTGCTGTAGAATCAAGAAGAGCTGCTGTTGCAGTTGAAGCCCAAAGGCAGTCTGCCAAAAAATTATCTCTCTTGCTTAGGGTAAGTTAGTCTTTTTGTTCTATTCAGTCCTTCAACTGATTGGATGAGGCCCACCCACGTTATGGAGAGCAATCTGCACTACTCAAAGTCCACTAATTTAGGCCAGCAAAATGTCAGAATAGGAAGCCCAAAATCCTTGTTTCCCTTACAGACACCAAATCAACAAAAATACATAAACCAATTCCCTTTGTGAGAAATCTCAAAAACAGTGAAGAGGTTCCTGTACCTCCAGCAAGCACAAAACCAGCTGCATCAGAACTATAGAAAAATGCATAGCACTCACCTGCCTAAGCTCCTCTCTCCAGCTTAGCATGCCATGACTGGGGGAAACTCCCAGCTCCTGGCTTCTTCCTGGAGAAACAGTTGAAGTGTGTGTCCAACATTCTGTCCATTTGGGAGGCTAAGAGACTGATCTATTTCTCACCTGTTTTGGAGTGCTGACAGAGCCTGGCATACTCTAGGTGTCTGGGGGCAAATAAGAACAAAAGAGAGCTAGCAATATAATAGACATAGCCAGAGGACCAGCGGTTTAACAGACGTAGCCTTGGTGACCTCTTCCTTGGGGGTTGGAGGGAGGGGAGAATAATTGAGCATGCATCCACTAGTACAGTTTTGGTGGGGCTGGTGGTCGAGGCTTCTGAAAAAAAACAGCTTTTGTCCTGTACAACTCAAAGCACTGACAGGATCTGACATGCTCTAGAAGCCTGGAAAGTTCTGAGGGAAAATAAGCCAGGAGGCTAAAAAGAGATCCAGAGAACCTGCAATACCACAAACAGACGCCAGGGAAAGCAAGATATTATGAGTGCTAAAAAAAAGAAAACAGCAAATCTCTCTAATTGGTAATTAACATGTGTAAGTCCAGAGAAGATGTCTCCACAGAAAATGTTTGAGACACTTCAGAATGTCACACCAGGCTGCTTGGTAAAGACATTTCTCTTTACAAAGCCAGTTACTAAAGACTGGAAGGTGTGTCTGTTTTTTTAAATGCATAATTCCCAACACAAAGTTATGAGGTATAAAAAGAAACAAAGAAGCATGGCCCAAAAGAGAAAAAAAAAGTAAATCTTTAAAAACTGACCCTAAAGAAAAGAGATATGTGTCCAGGCGTGGTGGCTCACGCCTATAATCCCAGCACTTTGGGAGGCCAAGGTGGGCAGACCACCTGAAGTCAGGAGTTTGAGACCAGCCTTGCCAACATGGTGAAACCCTGTCTCTACTAAAAATACAAAAATTAGCCGGGCATGGTGGCGTGAGCCTGTAAGCCCAGCTACTTGGAAGGCTGGGACAGGAGAATTGCTTGAACCCAGGAGGAAGAGGGTTGCAGTGAGCCAAGATCATGCCACTGTACTCCAGCCTGGGTGACAGAGTGAGACTCCATCTCAAAAAAAGAAAGAAAGAAAAAAGAAAGAGATATGTGAATTACCTGAAAAATAATTCAAAATAACCATCATAAAGATACTCAGTGAGCTCAGGAAAATGATACATGAACAAAATAGAAAATCGAGAAAGACAGAAAATATAAAAAAGAATTACATATTTTGGAACTACATGATAAAATAACTGAACTAAAAAATTCACTAGAGGATTCAATGTCAGAATTGATCATGCAAAAAAAAAAAAAAGCAAACTCAAAGACAGGTCATTTGAAATTATCCAGTCAGAAGAACAAAAAGAAAAAAGAATTAAGAAAGCCTAAGGGAATTATGGAACACCATTAAAAAAAAATACATTATGAATGTTCCAGAACAAGAAGAATAGAGAGAGAAAGGAAGAGGCAGAAAGCTTATCCTAAGAAATAATGGCTGAAAACTTCCTAAGTCTGGGGAAGTAACTGAACATCAGATTTAAGAAACCCAACGGATTCCAAATGATGAATCCAAAAAGGTCTATCACCCAAACACATTATAACCAAATGTTCAAAAGTCAGAGACAAAGAGACAATTATGAAGGCAGCAAAAGAAAAGTGACATGCCTCATAAAACAGAGTCTGCGTAAAACTATCAGCAAATTTCTCAGCAGAAACCTTGTAATTCAGAAGTGCATGGGATGATATAGTGAAAGTGCCAAAAGGAAAAATATCCTGTCCACCCTGAATATTGTATCCAGCAAAACTTTTCTTCAAAAATGAAGGAGGGCTGGACGCGGTGGCTCACGCCTGTAATCCCAGCACTTTGGGAGGCCGAGGTGGGTGGATCACGACGTCAGGAGATCGAGACCATCCTGGCTAACATGGTGAAACCCCATCTCTACTAAAAATACAAAAAAAAAAAAAAAATTAGCCAGGTGTGGTGGTGGGCACCTGTAGTCCCAGCTATTCAGGAGGCTGAGGCAGGAGAATGGTGTGAACCCGGGAGGCAGAGCTTGCAGTGAGCCAAGATGGTGCCACTGCACTCCAGCCTGGGTGACAGAGCACAACTCCGTTTCAAAATAAATAAATAAATAAATAAATAAGGAGAAACACTTTTCCAGGTAAACAAAAGCTGAAAGAGTGCCTTACCATTATACCTGCCTTACAAGAAACAGTAAAGAAAATTCATGAAGTTGAAATTCAAGGATACTAGACAGCAACATGCTAGAATGGCCAATTATCAAAAACAAAAACAAAAGAGAAAATGACAAATGTTGGTTAGAATATGGAGAAATTAGAATTCTTGTGCACTGCTGTTGGGAATATAAAATGGTATTAGTCACTATGGAAAACAGTATGGAGTTCCCTCAGAAAGGGAAAAATAGAACTACCATATGATCCATCAGTCCCACTTCTGGGCATATATACAACACAACTGAAAACAGGGCCTCAAAGAGATATTTGTATTCCCCTGTTCTTTGTAGCATTATTTCCAATAGCCAAGTGGTGGAAGTAACCTAAAGGTTCATTAATGGATAAATGGATAAAGAATATGTGTGTGTGTGTACGTGTGTGTGTGGGATAAGATTCACCCTTAAGAAAGAAAGAAAGAAATTCTGTCACGTGCTACAACATGAATGAAACTTAAGGAGATTATGCTTAATGAAAACATTCATCACAGTAAGATAAATGCTACCTGATTCCACTTTTATGAGGTAATTAAATGTAGTCAAATTCATAGAAGCAGAGAGTAAAATGGTGGTTGCCAGAGGTTAGGGGAGGCGGAAATAGGAGTTGCTATTTAATAGACATAGTTTCAGTCACTCGAGATGAAAAAGTCCTAGAGATCTGCTATACAGCAATGTACATACCGTTAGCAATATTATAATGTACACTTAAAAATTTGTTGAGAGTAGATTTCATATTATGTATATTTTACTACAATTTTTTCAAGTCCACAGATTTAAATCTTAATCTAAAGCACCCTCACAGAAACATTCACAATAATTTTTGACCAAATACCTGAGCACCCTGTGCCAATTTGACACATGAAATTATCCATCATATCCATCATTGCTTTTGCATAATCACTACAATTTTCAACCCAGTGCAAAGGGAAATTAACATCTCAATATTATTATGAAGATAGTTTTGACACCGTGGACCTCTGAAGGGATCCCAGTGACTCTCAGGGGTTCACAGACCACACTTTGAGAACAGCTGCCCTATAGTGAAACCTGCCATTCAACTCATAAACACAAATCTTCATTCAGCTTCTTAGCACACTCTCTTCCATAGAAATGGTCTGCCAAGCATGTACAGACATTTGATGAAAACCTATACTGTAAAGGAAATTAAACAAAAACTAGAAGGAAAAGAAGGAGGAGGAGAAAAGAAAAAAAGAAGGGGAGGAAAGGGGCAAGAAGAAAGAGAAGAAAAAAAGGAGGAGACAAAGAAAAAACTCGTAACAGACACAATGCAAGGAATAGAAAAGACATTAGAAATATGAATGTTACATTTAATGTTCTAAGAGATATGAAAAGATGCTGTATCCATGGAATAAGAAGGGATGACAATGTAGAGACAGAAAAATAAGAAAAATTAACCTTTAAAATTAAAAATGTAATAGAAGAAATTTTAAAAATTCACTAGAGGATTGAAGGATACATTTGAAGAAATCCCTTAGAATGAAAAGACAAATAGGTCAAAAATTGGAAATAAAGTAAATAAAAATTAGAGAATTAGTCTAGGAAGTCCAACATCCAAATAACTGTAATTAGAGAAAACAGGAGCAGAGAAAATGGAGGGAGGATATTATTAAAGAGATCACTCAAATTTCCCATGATTAAAGGAAATTTGAGTGATCTCTTCAACAATATATATACATATATAAGAGTCTATGTTCCATACTGAAAGGGCCCAGCAGTGTCTAAAAAAAGAATGTTTCAAAAAGCAATGCTTCTAATAGCTCCCAGAGTTGGGAAGCGGGGGGAAGGCAATAGATCTCACTAAAATAATCAGATCTGAAAACGGCCTTAGCTTACTTACCACCAACATTGGAAACTGGTGAATGGATGAGAGTCTTCAAATTTTGAAGGAAAAAAAGTAATTTCATTCAAACATAATCTGAAGTAGTTAAGATATATCACAAGGTGCCGGTGGCTCACGCCTGTAATCCCAGCACTTTGGGAGGCTGAGTCTGGCGGATCACGACGTCAGGAGCTCGAGACCATCCTGGCTAACACGGTGAAACCCCGTCTCTACTAAAAATACAAAAAAAATTAGCCGGGCGTGGTGGCGGGCGCCTGTAGTCCCTGCTACTCGGGAGGCTGAGGCAGGAGAATGGCGTGAACCCGGGAGGCGGAGCTTGCAGTGAGCCGAGATCGCGCCACTACACTCCAGCCTGGGCTACAGAGTGAGACTCCATGTCAGAAAAAAAAAAAAAAAAAAAAAAAAAAGGATATATCACAAGGTATAAAGAATAATACAATGGAAAACCGAGTATCTTTCAACTCAAAAAGTAAAACATTACCAAGACAGTTGAAACCCTCTGAATATATTTTCCATGTCCTATCCTTCTCCCCACCTCCTAGAAGCAAATATTGCCATCCTGGTCATTATTAATTGTATATGATGCCTCAAATTTCCTTATACTTTGCTACATATCCACGTATTCCTAAGCAATATTATTTTGCACTTTAAAATATAGAAAGAATGATGCACATATTAATGTATATAAAATTATTATAATACATATAATATATGGAATTGTCCCCTTAGAATTTTGTTTGTAAGACTCATCCCTGTTCATAAGTATTGCCCTGGTTCATTATCACTGTTGCATGGTGCTTCACGGATTTAGCATAATTGGATGTTTGGTTTGCATGGATATAGCATCACTTATTTATGTAGTCTCTTACTTATGGATATAAAGTTTGTTTCCAATCTTTTGATATCAAAAATATAAATAGCGTGTCAACTTGCATGTTTCTGTTGAGGCACCAGGGAATGATAACCTTCAGATACCAAAGCAAATGCCATACATAGACTTTACAATGGAAGGAATCAGCTTCATGATTCTTGAACCCTTTACTCACTTTGATACTGCAGAAGCAGTGAAAACATCCAATTTCCTACAGCATAGCATCCTGTATGGGTTATTTTACTCGTCACTCCCCATCTTTTATAGTGCTATTTTCTAAACTTATTTCTGAGTGTAGTCTCAGCTAAACTTGTATAATACTAAAATCATGAGAACTCCCTATTTAAGCAACAACTAAAATCTATTGGGCTATCCACTTGATTAACTTATAAAGTGTTAAAGGAAATATTTTACATGAGTAATCACTTATCAAGTTTTATTATGGCATAATTTGTAAAAAATAAATTATAAAAGAAATTAGGGATACATTGATATGAGAATTTGTCATATCTGAGGTTCAAAACTGCAATCAAAGTGGTCTGAAGACTTAATGTGTTTATTTAAATGTGGCCTCTTTGTGTTAAATGTGAAAACATAAACATTTTCTTGTAAAAGTTGAAGGAAGAAAGAGGCTTTTTGGAGGAGATTTTGTTTGAAGAGTGATGTTGTGATGATGACTGTGTCACCATCCCCATAAGTGGCAGAAGGAGGATGCCTGTCTCTCACCTCAAGCTTTATGAGAGATCTCAAAAGAGTCCTTTGTGATCTCTGCAGTTTAGAGCTACTGTTTGCCTCTGGCTCAAGAAATGCTGGAGCAGACAAGACAGATGCCTAGAAGAATGGATGGATGTTAGGTGGTTGCTGGGATGGGTGGGCGACTGGCTGGCTGGATGGGTGGGTTGGTGGTGGATGAATGGGTAGGTGAATAAATACATGGGTAGGTGAGTGGATGGGTGGATGGATGGATGGATGGATGGATGGATGGGTGGGTGGATGGGTGGGTGGATGGATGGATGGATGCATGGATGGATGGATGGATGGATGGATGGATGGATGCACAGATGACTAAGGAGAGTGACTACTGCACTAGATCATCCTGGCCTCTTCTACATAGGGGCAGAGGATGTATGAATGTTTCTCATGTTCTCATGAACCAAAGGTGGCTCTTGAGACAAAGAGGTGGTCTGCAGTCATTTTGAATTTTGCCCAAGGAGACACTTGGAAGATATGGCAGCTGGAGGAACCAAATGCACCCCCTACCCCCAATCCCTTCCCTCCCCCAGACCACCACCACCAAATGGAGGGTTGGCCTGGAGGATGGAAAAGTATTATGTTTGGGTGAAGGTTGAAAAATTGCTTATGTATTGGACTAAACATTGTAATTTTTGCACTAGGACTCTCTTCTCTGATTTAAAGTAACAGTAGTATTCTCTAGCCTCTAAGAATAACCAGAAAAGCCATGAGCTTGCCCAAGCTTTCATCCAGGGCCAATAAATTTTAAAGAGACAATGTTAGACAAAATAAAAAGTGCTTTATACTTGCATTCTATGAGTCATATTTACTGCCTTGCTTACACAGTAAGTTATGCATACTTTTATACAGGTGTTCGCACATACATGTAAGAATTTGTCTGTAGGGTTTATGCTTAGGAGTGGAAGTGCTGGATAAAAGAAGATGTTCTTTTTAATCTTGCTACACTATGCCAAACTATTTTTTTTAAGAAAAGTAATTTTTCACTTGAGATTCCGTATGCAGCCAGATTGTCTATGGAATATAAAGATAGGATAAAGATAAAGCGACATCTCAAAAAGCAATCTTTCCTTGTACCCTTTAGCAGGTAAACACCATAAAAATTGTATTACAGACTGACTGATGTCCTCCTAAAATTCATGTTGAAGCTTAACCCCTAATGTGACTGTGTTTGGAGACAGGGCCTTATAGGAGGTAATTAAGGCCAAATGAGGTCATATGGGTAGATTCCTAATCTAATAGGACTGGTGTCCTTATAAAAAGAGGAAGAGACAGCAGAGCTCTGTATTTTTCTCCACTCACCCAGAGAAGAGTCCATGTGAGGACACAGAAAGAAGGTGTCATCTCCAAGCCAAAGAAAGAGGTCTCACCATAAGCCAATCCTGCTGGCACCTTGATCTTGGGCTTCCAGCCTCTAGAATTGTGAAAAAAATAAATGTATATTGTTTAAGTCAAACAGCTTGTGTTTGACTGTTTGACAGCCCGAGCAAACTAACACACAAGGGAATTAACTAAAAAAAGACAAAGATATAAGATCCAGGAAACGGCTAATATAGCAAAGGAGAGACGTGAAAGGAATTCTGTAGATAATGACAATGACAGGTCTGCCGCATCCTGAAGAGCAGACCTCAGAGTCCACAGCGTTTTCTCCGGGAAGTGTCATGCAGAACTGGTAGTTCAACAGACATGTTTGACCATGTGGAAATATGAGCTGTTAAAAGATACAGAAAGATGTAGAGACCCTAAGAAAATCAAGCAAATAAAAATAGCAATAATAAAGCAAGTAATAACTCTAAAAAAGGTATATAAAGATAGGAATAGACTTCTATTCCAAATTTGTCTTAGCAGTATGTGATATATACTATAGTCACAATAATATAAACATTGAAAGTGAATTTAACCAAACATTGTGATAAAACTATTTCAGGATGTTGAAGGAAGTGGGAGTATATAAGAGCTAAAATCTTGACATATCATAATAGAAAGTCAAGAAAAAATGGTTAAAATTGGAGAATCAAGAGGTAGCTGGATAAACATGTTTTATAAAATGTTTTCAAAATGAGAAGAAATAGCTTTAAAGATGAAAGTAATTGCCTCTGAGAAAAAGATTCATGTGGAGCAAGGCTGCTGATTAATACTGTCTTTTAGCAATATTTCTCTTTTAAAAGACAATAATAGTTGCATATATTTATTTGGAAAAATATTAAAATTTAACTTAAAAAAATCTAGAGGTGCCTCCCATTAGAATCTTTACAGTGTGTCCTGTTTAATAAACATGGCTTTTAGCAAATCTAGCGTGGGATAAAGGTTGAGGTCGGAAGAGTTACAGGAAGGAAGAGGGTGTTGTAAATGACTTGTGGGAGATTCAGAAAATAGTGTTTCCGAGGAAATGACCAGCACGCTGGGCCTTGGACATGGTCAGAACGTGAAAAGCAAGGGAGGCCATGAGGCCTACCCCTGTCCTGGGTGGAACATACGGCTTGCATCAGCTCAGACTGCCATTGACAGCCACACTGGGGAGCTGCCCCTTTATCCTGGAGGTGACAGGCCCAACCAGGGATCTTTGAATAGGGGAGTAAGGTGGAAAAATATATGAAAAGTACATTGGAGTGGTAAAGGTTCTGAAGTCAGAGAGTGTGGCTTTACGCATCAGCTTCACCACCTACTTGCTGTGTGATTTTGATCGTGTAATGCAACCTCTCTGAGCCTCTGTTTTCTCATCTTCAAAATGAGGAAAGAAAAAGCACCTCTTGCACAGGATTGCTATGAGTATTGAATGTAACTGTCTATGTAATGCGAGTGTTATAGTACCTGGCACAAAATAATGATGAATGTTAATTGTGATGGAAATGATGAAGACAGTGATGGTGATGTTTGAGGAAAACCTTTTGATAGCCATAATGTAGCCCATACTTCTGTATGGCTAAAGAGTAGTTTGAAACAAAGAGACTAGTTTGAAAACTCCAACTGTGTGGGGAGACCTGGAGACCCTGGAGCTGAAACCCAGTCCTGGGAACCAGGGAAGCGAGAGTTATCGCCAGAAACTTGGATGACCAACTCGAGGAAGCAAGAAGACCAGTTGGGCCTCCTCAGGCTGTTCCTTAGAGTGCACCAGACTGAAAGCCAGCAGAGCAGGAAACCAGATCCACAAGTGTGGAGACCTTGAGGAGGAAAAGCAAAGAAGTGAACAGTCTGAGGGTGACAGGAACAGAGGTATCTCTTCTTAGTTCTTTTGTACCTAGAGAGAAAGGTCCTTACTACCATGGTCCTTGCTAACATGTTGATCAAGTTAATTTAAAAAAAAAAAAAAAAGACTTTTCTTGCTGGGGTGGTATGAGTGGGGTGAGAGGAGTGGATAAAGGCCCTGGTCCTCTTAAGTCATCCCAAGTAGCAACTGCCTAGTGAGACTCCACCTAAGGCCAACCTGGGCCTCTCCATCACTTGGTAAATGGGATGACTCCTGTTTTAGAAACTTACATATTATGTAACTAAGCTTCCTGTGAATGCACCATCTAAGGAAGCAGAGAATCAGCTCTAAAACTAAATAGCCAGCTTGAACAGCAACAGCCAATCAGAGGGCTAGAGCCTGACTTTTTCTTTTTAAATTGACAGCCTCATCCATATTCCTAAAAACAGAAAAAAACAAACCTGTAAAAACCACTCACATGGTGGCTGAAACTAACAATGAGGGGCGCATTTGCTGTCAGGGCAACCTCCCTCCTCCAAACACCTAACAAGACCAGGGAGGGGAGAGTCTGATGTGGGCATTTGTCTGACTGCAATTTGGCAAGAAATGAACTAATTAATTGCAGAGGCAATTAAAGGAGTGTTTCCATACGAAGAACACAACTTGCTTTTAACTTTTTCTGAGTCCTCTGGGACACCTCAGGAGAGGGATTTGAGGTTTCCTGGTCATGTTACTTATGCTTTGTTAGAAGTAACTTTGTTAGAAGTTATTCCCTCTTGTCGCATGAAATCTGAACACATCAAACAAAGTGGCCTGGCCCTCAGGTTCAGATCTGTCTCTTTATTTGTTCTTAGAAGACAGCATTGCAAAATTTCCCTGTAACTACTGGAGCATATGTTTCTCTTTGGAATATGTTTCTCGCAGCCGATTACATAGAGGACACTGCTTCTCAAAATGCATGAGGCCTGGGAGCTGCCTGAGAGCTCTTTAGAAGGAAGTGGTATTTATCACCCATTACTCAAGAATGGCTGTCACCAGCCAGATATCCCTGCCTAATATGGGTTAATGAAACTGGCTCCCCTGGCTTTCATAGGAATGCTTGATTATTCCAACAATGTAAAGAAAAGTTAGCTTCATATAGTCCCGGATTATGAATTCAGCCACTCCCAAAAAAAAGAGTGTTAGAGTAAAATTCTTTCATTGATTTAAATTTGTCTTTTGTGACCAGGCACGGTGGCTCATGCCTGTAATCCCAGCACTTTGGGAGGCCGAGGAGGGCGGATCACCTGAGGTCGGGAGTTCGAGACCAGCCTGACCAATGTGGAGAAACCCTGTCTCTACTAAAAACACAAAACTAGCTGGGCATGATGGTACATGCTTGTAATCCCAACTACTAGGACGGCTGAAGCAGGAGAATCGCTTGAACCTGGGAGGCAGAGGTTGCGGTGAGCCGAGATCGTGCCATTGCACAAGAAAAAAAAAAAAATTTTTGTCTTTTGTTAAGACCGTAAATATAACCACAATAATGACAATAATCATAGTTACCATTTATTCAGTGCCAGCTACATTACAACTGCCTTGAGCTGCAAAATAACCTTGCAATATGGGTGCTATTACTCCCCATTTTACACACAAGAAAACAGAGACTCATAGGGGAGGCCTGGGTGGCCCAATGTTACATAGCTAAGCAGCAGTGAGCATGGGATTTAGCCCCACAACCTGAAAATTCATTCAGCCCGCTATGGCAGTGGGCAGTTTCCCCCCTTAACCACGGTTTTACTTTCAGTAGTTTTGTACTCTGCAGTTTCAGATATTTATCAGCGGTCAACCGCTGTCTGAAAATAGATGAGTACAGTATGACGAGCTAGTTTGAGAGGAAAGAGACCACATTCACATACTTTTATGACAGTACATTGTTATAATTATTGTTATTGTTAATCTCTTACAGTACCTGATTTATAAATTAAACTTTATCATAGGTACATATGTATAAGACATATATATTATGTATATAGAAGTATATAGAGAAATTTATATATAGTACTATATATATAGGGTTTGTTACTGCTATGATTTGAATATGTCCACCAAATTTATGTCAAAATGTAATTACCATGGCTGGGCATGGTAGCTCACACCTCCAATCCCAGTGCTTTAGGAGGCTGAGGCAGGAGGATTGCTTGAGGCCAGGAGTTCCTGGCCAGCCTGGGCAATATAGTAAGACCCCCTCTCTACAAAAAAAAAATGCAAAAATTAGCCAGGCATGGTGCCACATGCCTGTAGTCCTAGTAGCTCAGGAGGCTGAGGCAGGAGGCTCACTTGAGCCCCAGGAGTTTGGGGCTGCAGTGAGCTATGATCATACCACTGCAGTCCAGCCCAGGTAAAAGAGCAAGACCCTGTCTCTAAAGAAGACTAAAATTAAAATTAAATTAGAAAACAATAAATAAAATAAAATAATTTTAAAAAGAAATGTAATTGCCATTATTACAGTATTAAGAGGAGGGATCTTAAAGAAATGATTAGAAAAATAAACAATTGGGTTGGGTGTGGTGGCTCACACCTGTAAACCCAACACTTTGGGAGGCCAAGGTGGGCAGATCACAAGGTCAAGAGATCGAGACCATCCTGGCCAACATGGTGAAACCCCATCTCTACTAAAAATGCAAAAATTAGCTGGGTGTGGTGATGCGCACCTGTAGTCCTGGCTGCTTGGGAGGTTGAGGCAGGAGAATCGCTTGAACCCGGGAGGTGGAAGTTGCAGTGATGTGAGATTGCACCACTGCACTCCAGCCTGGCTAGAGAGCAAGGCTCCATCTCAGAGAGAAAAAAAAAAAACAGTTGGAAAGAAGCTGGGTGTAGTGGCTCATGCCTATAATCCCAACACTTAGGGAGGCAGTGGTGAGAGGACAGCTTGAGCCCAAAAGTTGGAGACCTGTCTGGGCAATGTAGCAAGACCCTGTTCTCCACAAAAAGGGAAAAAACGAGAAGTGATTAGATCATGACAGTGGATCCCTCATAAATAGATTGCCATTATCTCAGGAGTAGGTTAGTTACCCAAGGACTTGAGCCCCTTGTCTGTGTCTCCTGCACTCACTTGCCATATGATGCTTCCTGCTATGAGGTGATCCTTGCCAGATGCCTGCACCATGCTTTTGGACTTCCCAGCCTCCAGAACCATGCGCCAAATAAACTTCTGTTCTTTATAAATTCTCCAGTCTGTGGTATTCTAGTAACAGAAAATGAACAAAGGCAGACACCATCCAAGGTTTCAAGCATCCATTAGGGGTCTTGGAATGTATCCACTGCGGATAAAGGGGAACTACTCTATCTCCAGTTATTTCTTCTCAACTAGACATGTGCTGAAAGTTGAAAGGAATTCCTGGCTTAAATCCAAGCTCACTGTGGACCTGGGTGTAGTCCTTTTGCCTCTGGGCTTCAGAGCCTGGGTTTTTACACAGGTAATCAAGTTAAAAGGAGGTCATTAGGATGGGCCCTAATCCAATATGATTGATGTCTTTATAGGAAGACAGCACAGCCATGTGAAGACACAGATGCAGGAGGGAAGATGTCATGAGGGCAGAAATTGGAGTTATGTAACTGCAGGCCAAAGAACACCAAAAATTGCCAACAAACCATCAGAAGCTAGAAGAGGCAAGTAAAGATTACCCTACAGATTCCAGAATGTGTGTGGCCATACCAACATCTTGATTTCAGACCTCTGGCTTCCAGAACTCTGAGACAATTGGCTTCTGTTGTTTAAGCTGCTGAGTTTGTGGTACTTTGTTACACTGCCTTAGGAAACTAATACACATGCCAACTTTGTTTTCTAATTTTTTAAATAATTATTTACTCCATACCTTCTGCATTTTTACAGCTAAAGTATAACAATGAGTTATTTGTGTTTAAAAATATATACACAGGGGACCGGGCACAGTGGCTCATGCCTGTAATCCCAGCACTTTGGGAGGTCGAGGCAGGCATATCACCTGAGGTCGGGAGTTCAAGACCAGCTTGACCAACATGAAGAAACCCTGTCTCTACTACCAATACAAAAATTAGCCAGGTGTGGTGGCAGGTGACTGTAATCCCAGCTACTCGGGAGGCTGAAGCAGGAGAATCACTTGAACCCGGGAGGCAGAGGCTGTGGTGAGGGCCAAGATCATGCCATTGCACTCCAGTCTGGGTAACAAGAGCAAAACTCCGTCTCAAATATATATATATATATATACACACACACACACACACACACACAGATGATTATTTAAAAATTCGAATAGTACATATTTTAACCAAGGCTTTCTAGAGTAGCAAAATCAATAGGATGGATGGATCGACAAATAGATGATAGATATTAGGTGATTTATTATGGGAATTAGCTCGTGATTACAGAGGCCAAGAAGTCCCATATATTAGTCCGTTCTCACGCTGCTATAAAAAACTGCCCAAGACTGGGTAATTTATAAAGGAAAGAGGTTTAATTGACTTACAGTGCCATATGGCTGGATGGCCTCAGGAAACTTACAGTCATGGTGGAAGGGGAAGCAAACATGTCCTTCTCATGACTGCGGGAGACAGAAGTGCTGAGCCAAAGGGGGAAAAGCCCCTTATAAAACCATCAGATCGGCCAGGCACAGTGGCTCATGCCTGTAATCCCAGCACTTTGGGAGGCCAAAGCAGGCAGATCATGAGGTCAAGAGATGGAGACCATCCTGGCCAACACGGTGAAACCCTGTCTCTACTAAAAATACAAAAATTAGCGGGGCATGCTGGCACATGCCTGTAGTCTCAGCTACTTGGGAGGCTGAGGCAGAAAAATCGCTTGAACCAGGAGGCAGAGGTTGCAGTGAGCCAAGATTGCGCCACTGCACTCCAGCCTGGTGACAGAGCGAGACTGTTTTCTCAAAAAAAAAAAAAAAAGAAAAATCAGATTTCATGAGAACTCACTCACTATTACAAGAACGGCATGAGGGAACCACTCCCATGATTAAATTATCTCCTACCAGGACACTCCCATGATATGCAGGGATTATGGGAACTACAATTCAAGGTGAGATTTGGGTGGGGACATAGAGCCAAACCATATCATCCCACAAAATGCCATTTGTAAGCTGGAGAACCATGAAAACTTGTGGTTAATTTAGTCTATTTCCGAAGTCCTGGGCACCAGAAAACCCAATGGTGTAACTCCCAGTCCAATGCCAAAAGCCTGAGAACACAGAAAGGGAGTAGGAGGGCTGGTGTAAGTCCTGGAGTCCAAAGCCTTGAGAACCAGCATCTCCAGTGTCCAAGGGCAGAAGAAGATGGATGTCCCAGCTCAAGGAGAGAGACTGAATTTGCCCTGCCTCTGCCTTTTTGTTCTATTTGGGCCCTCAGTGAAATGGGCAATGCCCCCCCACACTGGTGAGGGCAGATCTTCTTTACTTGGTCTACTGATTCAGGTGCTAATTTCTTCCAGAAACACCTTCACAGACACACCCAAGAGTAATGTTTTACCAGCTGGATGGACATCCTTAGCCCACTCAAATTGACACATAAAATTACCAATCACAACACGGAAGTGTATAAAATAAAAATTAATGCCTCCCATAATCTAGCCCCTTGGCAATAACTTGTTTGTGTCTTAAATAAATATTTATTAATTACCTAATTCCTTCCAAACTAAGCATTGTGGACACATCGGTCAACAAAACAGACTTTTTTTTCTGTGCACACGTAAAACTCTTGTGGTTTTGTTTTCTAAAAAATGCATGTGTTGGCTGGATGTGGTGGCTCATGCCTGTAAACTCAGCACTTTGGGAGGCCAAGGTGGGAAGATTGCTTGAGCCCAAGAGTTTGAGACAAGCCTGGACAACATAGCAAGACCTTGTCTCTACAAAAAAAAAAAATTAAAAATGAGGTAGGAGGATCCCTTAAGCCTTGGAGATCGAAGCTACAATATGCTGTGTTTGCACCACTGCACTCCTGCCTGGGTGACAGAGTGAGACCCTGCTTCATTAAAAAAATAAATAAAATAAAAATTTAAAACATGCCTGGGTTGTTTCTGTGAGCATTCATGACTTTTACAATTTAAAAAAAAGCCATAAAATAAACAAATAAAATTTTAGATGGGAGGAACAAGGAAGAAGCCTTAAGGAGACATACATGCTGCTCTTCCTCCTCCTTGGCCCAGGGGAGGAGAAGGGAAACCTGGTATTTATCTTAAATAAGTGGCCCTCTAGTTTGCAGATTTATCCACCCAGAACTGCAGGGTACCTTTAAGGATATGGTGACTCTAGGAGCGTGACCTCCTGCAACAAGCAGGCTTAAGGTTGAGTCCCAGATCTACCCTCTCTTTCCCATACTAACTGGCCTTTCCGTAAAAGCGCCTTGTATCCAAAATGACCCCCAAATTCCAAAGGTGCCGAGAAACCAAAGAATGAGGTGGACAAATCCAGTTTGTTGGCCTGGGGTGATTTAGTAAGGGAAACTTACAAGCAGAAGTATGGTCTTGGGCAGCTGAAGGACAGGTAGCTCTCTGCACCGCCACCCCCCCACCCAAGGCTTATATCTTGGGGCAAAAGTATACGTGCTCTGGAAGGAATGTGTAGGTGGCTGAGAGAATGCTGCAGGCATCACAGCCTATGAGTTCTGCAGCAGCACCAAGGGTTGTTTTGGAGGAAACCTACAATGAATAGGTGTCCCACATAAAAAATAATACATCAACTAGACATTTTGGAGGCATTCCCAGACTCAGGGTTAGTCAGGCAAATGAGCATTTAAAATAAAGTCACTTTTGGACCTATACTTAGCTATGTGGCTGACCTGTTTTTTTCTTTAATTGCCTCCATTTCCTCATCTGTGAAATGGACATACGGTTACCTACCAGCACTAGACTATCTCCAAGAGCTCCTGACTCTTACTCCCATCTCTTCGTGAGCAAAATGAAGAGGAAATTTAATGTTCTTGGCCTTTGAGGACCAAAGAATTTCACAATCAAAGCCCCATTTCTTCTACATGACTTTTCTGAACTCCTGCTATTTCCCTCAATAGTGAGTTTTATTTGCGCTTAAATCATCCGTGATGGTTGAGATGGTTCTCCCTGCCTTTGAAGGCAACAAAGTCTTCAGAAAAGCTCTTTCATTTGCACCCCCAGGCGTCTCAACATGGTACCATATTTGCCTAGAATAGAAAGGTAGAAAAGGTGATTTTTAAAATTTGACTATAGGTGCTATAGCTGCTATAGACCTATTTAACTATAGGTCTATAGGTGCTATAGACACAATGATGAATTTCACAGTATAGTGGAGAGAAGGGGGTTCACATAAAATAAGAAGACTATAGCATAGAGTGGCAAGGTTCCAATAGGTTAGTGTGAGTTCCTGGTACAGTGAGTGATGAGCGCTCCCTAGTGAGAGAGGCAAAGGGACTGAGAAAGGTCTCCAGAGAGGGAAATAGACAAAGAGGCCTTGAGGAATCAGTGATAATAGCTAATGCTTATGTGAAACCTGCTATAAGCCAAGCCTGGGCTGTCACTGGGCAAATGCTATTTCATCTCATACACCAGCGCTCTGAGCTAGGCACTATCTTCCTCTTCACAAGAGTCTGACTTATTCCACTTTACCAGGCACATAATCTCAGGAGTTTGTAAATTTGGGACCGGACTGAATTGCTTAGGGTTATGTGTTGCTGCACAGCAAATGACCTCAGACTTAGCAGCCTAACATAGCACACATTTACTGTCTCCCAGTTTCTGTGGATCAGGAATCTGGGCACAGCTCCTCAGTCTGCCAACTCAGGGTGTCTTACTTAGCTGCAATCAAGGTGTCAGTTAGGGCTGGGGTTGTCTCAAGGCTTAACTGGGGTGGACTTATTTTCAGGCTTTTAAGTGGCTATTAGGCTGCAGCCCCTCTTAGTGCTTGGCCAGGCAGGCCCCTCCACAAGGCACCTGGCTTTATCAGAGCACACAATCAAGAGGCCAGGAGACAGTCCTAGTGAGACAGAAGGCAGGGTCTTTTATAACCTAATCTTGGAAATGACATCACCATTTTTGCTGCATTCTATTGGTTGGAAACAAGTCACTGGGTCCTGCCCATGCTCAAGGGAAGGGGATCACAGAGTATAAATACCCATAGGTGGGGACCAGTGTAGGAGGCTGCCTGCCAAACCCAGGACAATTGAGAAGCACCTGAGCTCAGCCAATAGGCAACCACTCTGCCCCTTCTCCAGTTCACCATGTGTATACATATATATAGCATATGTAGTGTGTGTGTATACAAATATATATGTGATGTGTGTGTACAGACATGTATAGTATGTGTGGTGTATGTATACATATATAGTTTATGTGGTGTGTGTGTATACATATATAGTATATGTGGTGTGTGTGTATACACATATGTAGTATATGTGGTGTGCATGTATGCATATATAGTATGTGTATGCATATATATATGTGGTATGTGTATATGCATACATAATATTTGTGGTGTGCATGTATGCATATATAGTATGTGTATACATATATAGTATATGTGGTGTGTGTGTATACATACATATGTGGTGGGTGTGTATACATACATATGTTGTGTGTATACATGTATATATGTGGTGTATGTATACGTATATAGTATATATGATGTGTGTATACACATATATAGTATATGTGGTATGCATGTGTGCATATATAGTATGTGTATACATATATAGTACATGTGGTGTGCATGTATACTTACATATGTGGTGTGTGTATACATGTATATGTGTGTATACATACAGAGTATATATGATGTGTGTATACACAGATAGTATATGTGGTGTGCATGTATGCATATATAGTATATGTGGCATGTGTGTATACATAGTATATGTGGTGTGTGTATATCTACACATATAGCATATGTGGTATGTGTATACATATACAGTGTGGGTAGTGTGTGTAACGTTTATAGTATATGTAGTGTGTGTGTATACATACATAAAGTATATGTGGTGTGTGTATACACATATGAGTATATGTCAGTGTTTGTGTATATACACATATATGGTATATGTGGTGTGTGTGTGTATGTAACTTTTTTTGAATAATGTAGTTTGAAAAAATAACAAATTATTAGCCTGGATCTCAATGGAATGATTATCAGCAGGAATAAAAGATGGTCAGAAGCGTGTTTTGGGATATTACACCATGCACATCGATTGGAACAGATTGCTTTTCTAGGTCAGTTTCCAAAAGGGTAACAGTGCCAAGGACTGAGTGTAAGTGGGTGAAAGCTGAGATGTGAACGAAATGGGGGCTTGAGGGACTGGGGGGAGGGAGAAGAGGCCAAGCAAGCCGGAGCTGGAAATTCCTTCCAGACTTAATCATCCCGGGCATCATTAGTAACCAAAGCAAGACTTCAGAACATATGTTTTGTGTTGACAGCAGATCCTTAATTAAAACAGCCCCGGTGAAGAATAGCCTGATTAAAGGAAAGTGGTGCTTAAAGAACAATTTGACTGCCGACTGATATCCGTTGGCAGAGGGTGGGTGATCCCCTCTCTGCTTCTCCTGTGCTCCCAGAGGAGGGGGAGTGTTCCCTGTGTGTCAGGCAATGTGCGATGGGTGCCATTTCCCAGTCTTTGTCTCATTTACACCTCAAAACCCATTTCATCTCCATTTTAGAGATGAGAGAACTAGCCCGAGAGGTGAGGTGATTGAAGGCCCCCAGCCCACTAGCCTGGTCACAGCTATAAGCTAAGGGGTCTTCTTTTGTGTAGCTTTCCCTCGCACACAATTTCAGTGGTTCTAATGAATCAGAATGTCTTGTCAGTTATAAAAACCATATGCCTCCTCAACATAGTCCCTCTTGGAAACCCAATGATTTTAGGTACTGGGTGTTGCTCAAGGGCACAGCCGGTCTAATATCCACATTTCCTTTATGGTCTGGAAAATCCTGGGACAGGATCGCAATGCTCTGTGCAGTTGTCTGTCTGCATTTCCAGGAAGTGACAGAGATGTAGACGTCGGGGCGAAGAACAAGGAACACCTATTCCGTCAGACAGCTGAAATCATTTTGGGTTTGGATGAAATGAACCACTTCCTGGAAGATTAGATCTTTTCAGAGGAAATTAGGTTGTCTCAGGAAACAAATTCACTTTAATGTCAGCATGGGGTGGAGGTTTTAGAGGATGGGCAGAGAATCCGATCCTGCCGTGAACACCGCTGAGGCTTCACTTTTGTTGTCCGTTCCCCAGAGAAGCACACGCAGTAACAAGACTGTACCCCGACCAGACACCCAACTCTTGCCAGCTATCACTGAGGCTGGCCACGCTGCAGACTTCCACCCCCAGGAAACTAAGGAGAAAGGATACACATGTGAAAGGCTTGTCATGAATGCCTTCTGAAGGATTCTCTTTGTTTATAATAACAACAGTTAGCATGGATTGAGTGCTTACTGTGTCCTGGGCACTTTTCCTGTATTATGGCATTTAATCCTCACAAGAGTTCTCGGAGGTGATACTATTATACACTTAAACACCCCACTTAACCACTTCCCTTTACTGTTCCATTTAATGAGAAAGGCAACTTTTAACTTCAGCAAAACAGGAATTTTTTAACCTAAATGGTGAACTTTCATAGGTAAAGTAAACACCAGGGTTAGAATTTAATTGACTGACCCACCTGGCTGTCATTTGCTTCCATGAATAGGTGGGACTGTCTGCCGTTCTAGAAACTTCCTTTCTCCCATGGCTACTTTCCCCCACTCTGGTCATAGCTGGTGGATCCCATGTTGGTCACCCGACCCAGCTGTGCCAATGGGTCCCTTCCCTGAGGCTTGGTCTTGGGATCAAACAACACGCAAGTCAGTTACTCTCTGGTGGCTGAAAAGGTGGCATTACAAATCTCAGACCATGTCACCATGTTTCCTACCTCAGAAGAGGCAGCCTACAGTAAGAGAATATAAAATTGCTTATAGAGAAAAGCCAAGAAACAGTGTTTCAGAACATGCCGTGTCCTGGTTCTGGTTGTTCTTGAGCCCAGCTGAGCGGCTATCCTTCCTGAGGCCCAGTTCTTCACCCCCTTCCTTGGATTTATGTACCAGTAAAGTTCTCTTTTTACTTAAGAGTTTGAGTGAGTTTCTTTTTTTTCCTTTTTTTTTTTTTTCCTTTCGTTTTAAGTTCTGGGATACATGTGCAGAATGTGCAGGTTTCTTACATAGGTATACATGTGCCATGATGGTTTGCTGCACCTTTCAACCTGTCATCTAGGTTTTAAGCCCCGTGTGCATTAGGTATTTGTCCTAATGCTCTCCCTCCCCTTGCCCCCCGACAGTCCCGGGTGTGTGATGTCCCCCTCCCTGTGTTCACGTGTTCTCATTGTTCAACTCCCACTTATGAGTGAGAGCATGTGGTGTTTGGTTTTCTGTTCCTTTGTTAGTTTGCTGAGAATGATGATTTCCAGCTTCATCCGAGTTTGAGTTGAGTTTCTAACACTTGCAACCAAGAGTCCTAATTAATAAATATATGAGGCGTTCCCCTGGGGGCCAGATCCAGTCCACTGAAAGATTGGGTGTGGCATAGGATAAGAGAGGCTTCAGTGGCACCTCCGTTCCTGACAGTCCATGCAGGGTCAACTCAAGGTTTAGAACTAAGAGCCAGGGCCACCAGCCTGAGCTGACGTCATTATCGAGCATTGCCGTGGCCAGAAAGACAACTGCTATATGCTAGTCAATTCAAGCTGTGTTAGAACACCAAAGCCCACAGAGGAGGTCAGTCTCTTCGTCAAGATGCTGAGAAATTCAATGAGAAAATTAAACCATTTTACCTCCAGATTCCTTTATGAAGCCGAATGGGCTAATTAATTTGATTAACAAGGGAGATATACCCAAGCAATGGGGTGACACAGTAGCTGGGAATGCAGGCTTGGGGCAGATGCCCTGCAGCTGAATCCTGCAACCACCCCAGGTTGCTGGGGAGTCTGAGCCTGACTCTCCATCTATGAAGTGGGGATAATAAGGACCCCTTCTTTACAGTTACCATAAGGGGTACATGGGATGCCCCGTGTAGATAGGGCTGCAGTGTGCGGGGAGCATTGCGCGGACCCTAAAACATATCCATGGAATGACCCTAATGGATATTTCTGGAAAGAAGGGGGCCCACCATCAAGAGAAGTTGCAAAGTGCTGCACACCTTGGCCCCCTTGGAAAGTTACAAGCATATTAATGTATTAAAGGCTCTGAAAAGTTCTGCAGCTGAAACCTTTTTATTTTTTATTAAAACAGTGTTTCCCACATTTAACCACAGAATCAAGTTTTTTTTCTTTTTTCCCCATACAACACTTTAATGCCGGCCTAAATATCTAATATCCCATCTTGAGTTAATTTTGCCCCAGGGCAAAACCAAATAACTTCACCAATAAATCTGCTGTGGAAGTCCTATATATCCCATCTAACCTTCAGATGCTGTTAGTGTGGTTTATTCCTTCTGGGTTGGCATGACTTACTTGGTGTTCATATTTACGAAACAATGGGCAAATTATATATCTGTCTTGATTTACTAGGAGAGAATAAGCTGTCACCTTGGTTTGGGGAAATTTCTAAATGAGGCCACCATCCTAGGAATACAAAGAAACAATCAAACCAAAAGTGTGTTTTTTATCTGCACTGGTTACTAAGTTGCTGAATGTTTAGAACCAAAAAACAGCTGTAAGAGAATCTGCATATCACAGCATACATATGACAAACTCACAGCTCAGGACAGGTAGAAATCCATGAAGTGTGATGATGGAACAAGGGATAAGATCATGAGTCTCAGCTCTGATTTTTACTGATCGTGACTTTGGGCCAGTCATGCCACCCTTCTTTGCCTTAGTGATCTCTTCTGATCCTTGAGAAAAATACTACTACTTCCCTTCTGCAGCCATTTCTATAATCAGGTGAGGGTATGGCTGTGAAGGGATTTTGTCATCAGGAAAGCCTGTAAACTATTGCCCAAATGATATAAAATTAATTGTGTGCCATATCAAAAGAGCATAAGACAATTGAAGTTTTGTGGACAATGTTTGTATATAATAGCAGTGGGCAAACTTTTTCAGTAAAGGGCTAGACAGTAAATATTCTAGTCTCTGTCACAAATCTGCAACAGCGGAGTGAAAGCAGCCACAGTGATAATGTAAATGAGTGGATGTGGTTGTGTGCCAATAAAGCTTTATTTATAAAGACAGGCGGCCATGAGCTGTAGTTTGCCAACCCCTGATATATAAGACCCACAAGAAATCTGCCTAAAATGAAAGCTACTGTTTGCAAGGATGATGAGATTTTGTGGTACTTAAACAAAATTTTCATTTAATATTATAATGACCCCTTTACAGTGAATAACATAGGCATCTTTTACTAAACTAACCATGTTCTAATAAGATTCCAAGGACTGTCAGGGGATTTCTACAGGCAGCAGAACTGTGGGTCCCGGGGAACAGTTTTCAATTCCCACTTCCTTTGCTTCAAATTCCAACTCAGTAGGGGTCCTAGGGACCTTTCCCGCATCATAGCCGGGCCTGTTTTTGTGGCAGGAAGGGCCTACATACCATTCCAGAACGGCTGTCTTAGAATTATGCAAGCTGGACGCTTCGTTTTGTTGGCTGTAACTAGATGGCCTCACACAAAAAACCACACGTTATATTAGAGGTTCTCCCTCGGGGCAATGCTGCCCCCCAGGAGATATTTGTCGATGTCTGGAGACATTTTGGATGATCACAACTGCGGGGTCAGCGGGGGGCAGGGGGGACGGGGGGGGGTGGGGTGTGGGGGAGAGGTGGGGGCGGCATCGCTACTGGTATCAGGTGGGTAGAGGCCAGCAGAACAACCCCCACCACAGCAGAGAAATATCTAGTCCAAAATGTCGATAATGCCAAGGTGGAGAAACCCTGCTCTATATGGATGAGCTTTATGCTCAAATCAAATTACCGTTTACTTATTTACACTTCCGTGCCCCGCTTTATAATAACAAGTTGTATTTTCCCCAGATGCTTTAATGAAGTCGCTGGTATGGACGTGAAGCCAGCCTATTTTACGATCCACACCACCGGGAAAATACAGAGGGAAATTAGCGTAGTTAATATTGATTTGTTTTATATATGATGAACTTAAATGTGAATTACATGGCATAATGTGCCCTCAATTCCTCCTGGGTCTGGGTTAGGTAAAAGGGGAAACAAGTGCGGTAGCAGCTGAAGATAATTTATTTGCAGACATATGTGTTAATATGCTTTTTCTTCTCTCCCTCCTACTTTTACAAAGACATTAAGTTTAACATTAGTAGTTAGGGATGGAGTAACAGAAGGGAGAGTGCGTTCTGGAATCTTTTAAATGTCATACAAAGACCACTGGTGATTGTAATAATAATAAAAATTAATAAGGAACACTTTCTGAGCATGTTCTATGCTCCCAAACCTGTGTTGGGACAACTTTGAATACTATCTCTCTGAGGCTGTCAGCATCCCGGGGAGGTCCACACTACCGTTGTTCAGTTTAATGACTTGCCCAAAGTCATCCAAGTCCCTAGCAGTGGCCACGGGAGTAACTTAGACAGTCTGGCTCCAATCGTTAACTCTTAACCCCATGTTTGTATTTATCTGCCTCCACGTGCCCCCGTCCCCCACCCCACGAGCCTCAAACTTCTCTTTTATAGTCCCTGCAGGGCCCGGGACTAAGCCTCCCTCCCTGCCCCTGAACTTAATCTAATTGAATCAAAACCAGATTTCGCCTCCGCGGAGAGTGAGCTTCTCGCAGGCGGCCGCGCGGGGGCGCGCCGGTGCCAGCCATGTGGCGCGTCGCGGAGGAGGCGCTCAGACTGGAGCCCCAAACCAGCCCCGGGCCTGCGGGAAGGGGAGGGAAGGGAAACCTTTCTGGGGTAGGGGACTGCGGAGGGTTTCTGCGAGGAGGAGCCGCCGCCCCACTTCAACACATTATCGCATGTTTCCTGCATTGCAAAGACAAATATGATTCCATCAGGGATTGCCCATAACCGCTTCATTAACTAAGTCCCTATTGTTGAAACACAGAGTGATGAATTCAGCAACTGCCCGTTTAAAATGGCGTGGAAATACGTGTTTTCCAGGCCAGACACTGGGCTGTTCACAGGCTGTCTTCCTTTGCTGTCCCTGGGTACCGGGCCAGTCGCCAAGGGCTGGTCTTCATTTGGAAAAGAGTTTGTTCTGCAGGCCTGTCCATTTCCTTCCAGAGAGTTATTTCCCCTTTCTAAGCCCCTGCTCACAGGCCCTAATGCTCCAGGTGGCATCTCGAGAGTGACCACCAATCTGACATCCCAACTCAGACACTCGAGAGTGAGACAGGGACCCTTGGATAACTGGGTCAGAACAACGGGCATGAGCTTCTATCTCCCTTCACCCAGCAAAGACACCTGGGAAAGCTCCCCTGGTCTCATCCCACTTCTGGGGACGCCACCCAGTCAGCAGGTGCAAGGCTGAACTAACCTCTCTCTGGTGTTCACCTGCTTCTCCTCCCTTACTCTCCACTGCAAGCCCGTTCACAGAATGGCCAGTCCCTTAAAGGGTTCGTCAGCTGAATGGCTGATAGTTCATAAAGAGTTTCTCCTTGACTATGGAGCAGCGTTCTAATGCAGCTCTAAAGCAGCTCTCGTGAAGATGCTCTTTTTCTGAACATGAATATATCACAGACCTTTTCTACCTCCCTATTTAAAATGAAAACCCCGTCACTTCTATCCATCCTCCTTGCTTTATTTTTCTCCAAGGCATCTGTCATTGCCTAACACACTATATGTTTTACTTAGTTCTTGTCTGTTATTTCGTGTCTATGTCTCCAGCTCCTGGAAAAACTCTGTAAATTGCTCTCAGTCTCAGCCCTCTGAGCTCAGCTTAAGATCTCTCTGCTGGTGAGGTTGTGGAGAAAAAGGAACACTTATACACTGTTGGTGGGAGTGTAAATTAGTTCAGCCATTGTGGAAGACAGTGTGGCAATTCCTCAAAGACCTAAAAACAGAAATACCACTCGACCCAGGAATCCCATTACTGGGTATATATCTAAAGGAATATAAATTATTCTGTTATCAAGACACACACATGTGTATGTTCATTGCAGCACTAATCACAAGAGCAAAGATATGGAACCAGTCTAAATCCCTATCAATGGTAGACTGGATAAAGAAAAGGTGGTATATATACATCATGGAATACTATGCAGCCATAAAAAAAGAACAAAATCATGTCCTTTGCAGGAACATGTATGAAGCTGGAGGTCATTATCCTTAGCAAACTAAGGCAGGAACAGAAAACCAAATGCCACATGTTCTCACTTATAAGTAGGAGCTAAATGATGAGAACACATGGACACATGCAGGGGACCAACAGACACTGGGGCCTATCAGAGTGTGGAGGGTAGGAGTGGGGAGGGGATCAAGAAAAACAACTGATGGGTACTAGGCTTAACACCTCGTGACTAAATAATCTATACAACAAACCCCCATGACACAAGCTTACCTATATAACAAATCTGCACATGTACCCCTGAACTTAAAATAAAAATTAAATAAATAAATAAATAATTTTTAAAATGTAAAATTTAAAAAATTTTTTAATTTAAAATTTTTAAAAAGGTCTCAGCCAGGCACGGTGGCTCACCCCTGTAATCCCAGCACTTTGGGAGGCCGAGGCAGGTGGATCACAAGGTCAAGAGATTGAGACCATCCTGGCCAACATGGTGAAACCCTGTCTCTACTAAAATACAAAAAATTAGCCAGGCGTAGTGACGCGCGCCTGTAGTCCCAGCTACTCGGGAGGCTAAGGCAGGGGACTTGCTTGAACCTGAAAGGTGGAGATTACAGTGAGCAAAGATCATGCCACTGCACTCCAGTCTAGCGACAGAGCGAGACTCTGTCTCAAAAAAAAAAAAAAAGAACAAAATGTATAGATCTCTCTCAATCTACCCAGTAGATACTACAGTATCTACCAGTTTTAACTGATGGCACCTATTGGGTACTATGCTAATTACCTGCATGACAAAATAATCTGTACATCAAACCCTCATGACATGCAACTTACCTATATAACAAACCTGCACACGTGCCCCTGAACCTTAAATAAAAGTTTTTTAAAAAATCAATGTGGGTCACTCACTAAAACACAAGTGCTGTTTCATCCTGAGAAATGCTGATTCTGTAGGGCTGGAGAAGGAGGGGTGTCTACTTTAACAAGCATCCCTGCTCTTCTCAATCTGAGGGTGGCAATAGACGCTGCCCTTTGGCAATAGACCCCCGCCCCCGGGCCCACCCCACCCCATCTTACTCTCTAACCTGCTTCCAGGTCCCACCCTCCAGCTCAGGCCTCTAGTACTTCCTCCACTTGAGATGCCAAAATAATCTTTTGTAAAGCAGAAATCTGTCCCTGTTACTTCCCCACTGAAGCCATTCAGAGCTCCTCCGTGGCTGGCCAAAGGAAGCTGTGAGAATAGTGTCTGTGGCATGGCTGCTAAGCTCTGGGGCCTAGGGGGAAGCAAGTTAGACTCTAAATCTCAGTAAACCGTAGACAGGAAGCGTTCCTCAGGGTTATTACTAAGCTTCTCAACCCCAGAACTATTGACATTTTGGACAGGACAGCTGTTTGTGGTGGGGGCTGTCCTGTGCATTGCGGGGTGTTAGCAGCATCACTGGGCTCCACCCACTGGATGCCAGCAGCAGCCCCACTCCCAGCATGACAACCAAAAATGTTTCCAGACATTGCCAAATATTCCCTGGGGATCAAACCTCCTTTCTTCTCCCCCCGGCTGAGAATCAATGGATTATTATAAGGACTAAATTATAAGAAAGATTCATGGAAAGCATTTAGCCAGTGCCTAGAATATAGAAATTGTTCTTCAAGAATATTCAATATTTACCCGAACTCATCACTCCAGGCTTCCCTCCTGCCCCTTTGTCATCTTTAATGCATCCATCCATCTCTTCCTGCAGTTAGGTTTCTTCTTCTCTCTCTCTTTTTTTTTTTTTTTCAGATGGTGTCTCACTGTTGTCGCCCAGGCTACAGTGCAATGTCGTGATCTTGGCTCACTGCAACCTCTGCCTCCAGGGTTCAAGCGATTCTCCTGCCTCAGCCTCCTGAGTAGCTGAGATTACAGGCGCCTACCACCACGCCCAGCTAATTTTTGTATTTTTAGTAGAGATGGGGTTTCACCATGTTGGCCAGGCTGGTCTCGAATTCCTGACCTCAAGTGATCCACCTGCCTTGGCCTCCCAAAGTGCTGGGATTACAGGCATGAGCCACCATGCCGGGCCAGGTTTCCTCCTCTGTTGACATTTAACAGACTGTGTTATAACTGTCTTACATTTTTGTTGCCTCCTTCCCAAGACTGTGGGCAACTCAAGGGTACAGATGGCGTTTCATTCTTGTGTGTGTCCGTGGTACCTATCACACAGTTAACAATGATAATTGTCAGTTGGACGCAGTGGCTCATGCCTGTAATCCCAGCACTTTGGGAGGCTGAGGTGGGCAGACCATAAGGTCAGGAGTTTGAGACCAGCCTGGCAAATATAGTGAAACCCCGTCTCTACTAAAAATATAAAAATTGGCCAGGCATGGTGGCATGTGCCTGTAGTCCCAGCTGCTCGGGAGGCTGAGGCAGGAGAATCGCTTGAACCGGGGGGGCGGGGGTGGAGGTTGCAATGAGCTGAGATTGCACCACTGCATTCCAACCTGGGCGACACAGCGAAACTCTGTCTCAAAAAAAAAAAAAAAAAAAGTCATTGTCATTACACTAGTAATGACAACTTACCAGGTCCTGATTAGGTTCCAGCACTGTACTATCTTCCTTAATCCTCACGACAGCCCTAGGAGACTCATGCCATTCTCATTCCTCCTATACACACAAGGATGGTGAGGCTCAGTGAGGTAAGTCACTCGCCCAAGGTGTAGCTAGACAGCACTCAAACCTAGGTCAGTCTGGCTCCAGGGCCCATGCTGTAAACCAGAGCTTAACAAACTTTTTCTGCAAAGAGCCCAGTAGTAAATATTTTAGGCTTTGCATGCCAGTCTCTGTCTCTGCTGTCATAGCACAAAAGTGGCTGTCAGTATTGTGAAAACGAGTGAGCCCAGCAGTAAAACTTTATATGGAAACTAAAATTACAATTTCATATCAATTTTTGGTATTAGGAAAAATTATTCTTGTTTTGATTTTTTTTCCAACAGTTTAAAAATGTAAACCCCGTTCTTGGCTTTTACGGACCATACAAAAGCTGGTGGTAGGTCCAGTGAGCCCCACGACAGTAGTTTCCCCAGCCCTGTTCTTAGCCAATGCGCTCAGACAGAAATGACTGTGAGCCAGGAAGACCGTGGACACTAGAAATCCGGGTTCCTGTTTTCACGGCACCAGACAGTTGGTGTGGCCTTGGCTTTGCCCTTGACTTCTTTTTTTTTTTGGGTGAGACAGTCTCACTCTGTCACCCAGGCTGGAGTGCAGTGGCGCAATCTCAGCTCACTGCAGCCTCTGCCTCCTGGGTTCTAGCAATTCTCCTGCCTCAGCCTCCCGAGGAGCTGGGACTACAGGCACATGCCACCATGCCCGGCTAATTTTTTGTATTTTAGTAGAGATGGGGTTTCACCGTGTTTCCCAGGCTGGTCTCGAATTCCTGAGCTCAGGCAATCCACCCGCCTCAGCCTCCCGAAGTGCTAGGATCACAGGCGTGAGCCACCGAGCCCGGCCACCCTTGACCTTTTTTGAGGGCAGCCATGATTACAGGTCATGGGGAGTTATGAATGTAGTTGTGTAGCAGTTAGGTAGCGCAGATCCAGAGAGGTCCGGTAAACACCCAGTGTGTGTAGATGCTGGACAGGCTTCCTGACAACACACAACACAAAGCTGTGAGACAAGCCCTCTCATGTCAACCACAGATGGCATCCCTTATTAGGAGCCACTCCATCACAGGCATTTATTTCTTCAGGGTCATCCTCTGATGCCTGAATCCACTTGTGCAACTCACCAAGAGAAACAAGAATTGTAAGACCAAGCAAAACTCCACTGTGGGATGGTTATGGCAGAAAAATGTGACCTTAAACATTGAACCTTGGAGAAATTTCAGGCAAGAAGTCTTGATAACTCTTCAAGATTCCTGATACAAGGAAGTTGTTTTGGACTGCATGTTTGCATCCTTCCTGCAAATTCACATGTTGAAATCCCAGCCCCCAATGTGATAGTATTAGGAAAGGGGACCCTAATAAGGGCGAAATCCTCATAAATGGGATTCACGCCTGCTATGGTTTAAAACTTCCCCCAAAGTTTATGTGTTGGAAACTTTAAGAGGTGGAACCTTTTAGAGGTGATTAGATCAGGAGGGCTCTGTCCTCATAAATGTATTAATGCTGTTATCTCAGGAGTGAGTTCCTAAAGAAAGGATGAATGTGACCCCTTCTGCTCTCTCACGTGTGAGTACTCTCTGGCCCTTCTGCTTTCTGTCATGGGATGACACCGCAAGAAATCACCCACCAGAGGCAGCCCCTTACTCTTGGACTTTCCAGCCTCCAGAACTGTTAGAAATAAATCTCAGTTCCTTATAAATTACCCAGTCTCTGGTATCTGCCATAGCAGGACAAAATGAACTAAGACAGTGCTCTTATAAGAAGAGATGTGAGGGGCCAGGTGCAGTAGCTCACGCCTGTAATCTCAGCACTTTGGGAGGCCGAGGTGGGCAGATCACCTGAGGTCAGGAGTTCAAGATCAGCCTGGCCAACATGGTGAAACCCCATCTCTACAAAAAAATACAAAAATTAGCCAAGTGTGGTGGTACACGCCTGTAATCCCAGCTGCTTAGGAGGCTGAGACAAGAGAAACACTTGAACCCAGGAGGCAGAGGTTGCAGTGAGCCGAGATCGCCCCATTGCACTCCAGCCTGGGCAACAAGAGCAAAACTCCATCTCAAAAAAAAAGAGAGAGATGTGAGAACTTGCTCTCCTTCTCTGCTCTCCACCAAGTGAGAATACAAAGAGAAGTTGACCATCTGCAAACCAGGAAGAAGGCTGTCATGAGACACCAGATCTGCTGGTGCCTTAAATCTTGGACTTCTAGTCTGTAAGACTGTGAGAAATAAGTTTACGTTGTTTAAGCCACCCAGTCTACGGTATTTTGTTATAGCAGCCCAAAATAACTAAGAAAGAAGTCAAGAGGCCAGAATAGTAGATGGTGGGGCAATGATAAACTAAAAGTAATAATGATAATAATTGCAGATCACTTTTATGAAGTGCATACTATGTGCTAGGCCTCTCATATATATGTAATCCTCCCATCTTGTTTAATCCTGGGATGCATGTAAAACCATCATCCTCATTTTATACATGCAGAAGGAATTGAGGCTTAACATTGTTTAGTAAGTTGCCCAAGATTACACATTAATATAATATAAAGTGGAACAAAGGTTTTTAAATGTCCTAAGGGTACCCCAGCACTGGCCCTTCAGTCATCACTTCAAACTGCCTTGGCAAACATGGTCTTTTTTATTTTGGAAATCACTGTCCACTTGGAAAATACTACTATTCCTTGGTCTTTGTCTACCTCCCTCACCCCAGTAAACTATGTCTTCTTCCTCTGGGTCTCCAAAGAACATTGTTTATCTAAGAACTAAGGGACTTATCACCTTGTAGCCTTGTAGCTATTTTTTCATGTGTCTGTCTCTACCTCTAGTCCATAAGCAACCTAAGGACAGGCATTATCCCTTAACTGTGTGTTACCATAACCCTTAGCTAGTGGTCAAGCTTCTAAAACATTATAAAGGTGAACTTAGGTGGTTTTAAGAAAATAAAGTTTTCCTGCATGTTTTAACTATGAAAGTTATATATGCTGAAATTCTCCTTATCAATAAAAAGGAACAAATTGTTGATACACACAACTTAGATGAATCTCCAGGAAATCATGCTAAGTGAAGCCAGCCAATCCCAAGTGGCCACACACCACATGATTCCATTTTTATAACACTCTTGGAATGACAAAATTGCAGACATAGAGAACAGATTGGTGGTTACCTAGGGTTGGGCTGAAGGATTTTGGAGGAGACAGGCATGGCTATAAAAGGGCAACACAAGGGATCCTTGTAATGATGGAACTGATCTATATCTTGACTGAATTGATGTCAATATCCTGGTTGGGACCTACAAGCAATACGTAGGAGTGTTTCAAAGTCCTTATTCCTCAGATAACTTCTTTTCCCAGTCATATGTATGCCCAGAGCTGGATGCATAGAAAAGACCAGAGAAGGCTCTGAGCTCTCACCATTGACTGGCTTTCAGACTCTTCACAAACAAGAAATGAAAGCTAAGGTAGAGTTGCAAACTGCCTTGCTAAGTGTTAAAAAAAGCATGCACCAAAACACACACACACACACACACCCTATCAGTGAATACTGAGAATTCTGGATTTTTTGTTCTGGACATTTAAAGAAATCTCTGTTGAATCATTAGCTGACCACTAAGTTAATGGAACAGAGACTTCAGTGGCCACACACAAAAAAGACTTTACAAAATTAAATCAGAAAATTTGCTAAACAAACAGACAGCAACAACAAGCAGAAACAAGAAGCCCTCAGGAAAATGGATACTCTGATTTCCAGAGTTGCCATATTAAAGTATTCAAAATGTCAAGTGTTCAACAAAAAGTTATAAAAGATGCAAAGAAACAAGAAAGTATGGCCCAGGCAAAGGAAAAAAAAAGGAAATTAATAGAAACTGCCTGGTGGAAGTAGAGATAGTGGAGCTACCTAGACAAGGACTTTAAGTTAATTCTTTTAAATATGCTCAAATTAAGTACAAAGAACTGCAGGAAACCATGATAATGATGTCTCATCAGACAGATCATATTAATAATGATATACAAATTATAAAAGGAACCAAATAGAAATTCTTGAGTTGAAAAGGACACTTACTCAAATGATAAATTCACTTTGAAGAATTCAATAGCAGATTTGAGTAGTCAGAAGAAAGAATCAGCAAACCCTAAGATAGGTTAATTGAGATTATCCAGTTGGAGGAGCAAAGAGAAAAAAGTAAAAAAGAAAAATGAACAGTGTTTTGGAAGCCTGTGGAACAAGCATAGCAATGTATGTACAACAGGAATCCCAGAACAAAAGAAGAAAGATAAAGGGAAAGAAAGAACAGTTAAAGAAATAATGGCCAAAACTTCACCAAAATTTATGAAAGACATGAATCTACACATCCAGGAAGCTCGAAGCTTCCCAAGAAGTATAAACTCAAAGATATCACTGAGACACATTCTAACCAAACTATTGAAGCCAAAAACAAACAGAAAATTCTGAATGCAGCAAAAGAGAAGTGGTTCATCATAATGTACAGGGAACCTCGATAAGATTAGCAGCTGATTTGTTTTTAACCAGAAACCGTGGAAGTCAGAAGACAGTGGATGACATATTTAAAGTGTTTCAAGAAAAATCAAACAAACAAACTCCCTCCCAAAAGAAGTCTTGTCAAACAAAAATTTTATAACTGGCAAAATTATTCTTTAAAAATGAAAGCAGGCCAAGCGTGGTGGCTCACGCCTGTAATACCAGCATTTGTGGAGGTTCATGCCTGTAATCCCAGCATTTTGAGAGGCCCAGACAGAAGGATCAAATGAGGTCAGGAGTTCAAGATCAGCCTGGCCAATATGATGAAACCCTGTCTCTACCAAAAATATAACAAAATTAGCTGGGTGTGGTGGTGCATGCCTGTAATCCCAGCTACTTGGGAGGCTGAGGCATAAAAATTGCTTGAACCCAAAAAGCAGAGGTTGCAGTGAGCCAAGATCACACCACTGCACTCCAGCTGGGTGACAGAGTGAGATTCTGTCTCAAAAAAAAAAAAAAAAAGGAAAGTAAAAGAAAAAAATCAAAATAAAGAAGTGAAGATAATTCCATATAAACCCATATAAACAAAAACTGATTGTCACTAGTAGAACTGCTCTACTAGTAATGATAAAAAGAGTCCTTCATGTTGATATGAAAGGGCATAAACACACAAATAAAGTTGGTAGAAGTAACTATGGAGATAAATATAAAATTTAATATTAATGTATTTGTATTTGTAACTCATTTTTCTATAAGATTTAGAAGAAAACTTCATAAAACACTCATTATAAATCTATATTGATGGGACCATAATGTACATACATGCAATTTGTGACAATAACAAACATAAGGTGGAGGGGTCAGAGCTATATAGAATCAAAGTTTTGCATATTACTGAAAATAATTTGGTATTAATTCAAACTATATTGTAGTAAATTAAGATGTTAACTGTAATTTCCAAGGTAACCACTAAGATAATAACTAAAAGTATACATCATGAAGTAAACAAGAAGGAAATCAAAATCACAAACTAGAAAATATCCATCTAACACAAATGAAGGTAGCAGTGGAGTAACTGAGAAACAAAAAGTATATGACATGTAGAAAGCAAATAGCAAAGTGCAAAAAATAACTACCTTCCTATCAGTAATTATTCTAAATGTAAATGGATTAAATTTTCCAATCAAGCTTAGAGACTGCATAGATTGCATAGCTTAGCAAGAATTGACTTTTTAAAAAATATGATCCAACATTTGCTTCCTATAAAACACTCTAATACCAATGACACTAATAGGTTTAAAGTGAAAGGACAGAAAAATGTATTCTATGAAAACAAGTAAAAGAGACCTAGAATGGCTATATTAGTATCAGACAGAGACAAAAATCGTTATGAGACAAAAAGGACATTACAATAATAAAAAGGCCAATCTGTCAAGTATATATAAAAATTATAAACATATACACACTTAAAAACAGAATCTCCAAAATATATCCAGTAAACACGACAGAATTGAATGGGAGAAATAGACAGTTCAACAATAATAGTTGGACACTTCAACACCCCCACTTCTAATAATGAATGGAACAACAGAAAAAATAAACAAGGAAATAAAAGACTTGAAAAACACTGTAAACCAACTAGACCTCACAGACATATATAAATACTTCCTCCAACAACTGCTAAGTAGACATTCTTCTAAAATACACAGGGAATATTCTTCAGAATAAATTACTTTAGGCCACAAAAGAAGTCTCAATAAATTTAAAATTTTGCAGTCATATGAAGTATATTATCTGATCACTATGAAATGAGATTAGAAATAAATAACAGAAATAAATCTGTATGGTAAATTCACAAATATGTAGAAATTAAACAACACACTGTTATACAACCAACGGACCAAAAGTAAATCACAAAGGAAAATAGGAACTCCTTTAAGAATAATAAAAATGAAAACAAAACACTTCAAATATTATGGGATGCAGTGAAAACAATGCACAGAAAGATATTTATAGCTATAAATGCCTACACTTGAAAAGAGGAAAGATTTCTTTTTTTTTTTTTTTGAGACAGAGTCTCACAATGTTGCTCAGGTTGGAGTATAGTGGTGTGATCTCAGCTCATTGCAACCTCTGCCTCCTGGGTTCAAGCAATTCTCCTGCCTCAGCCTCCCAAGTAGCTGGGATTACAGGCACTTGCCACTACGCCCAGCTAATTTTTTGTATTTTTAGTAGACATGGGGTTTCACCATGTTGGCCAGGGAGGTCTTGAACTCCTGACCTCGTGATTCTCTCACCTCGGCCTCCCAAAGTGCTGAGATTAAAGGCGTGAGCCACTGCACCTGGCCGAAAGATTTCAAATTAGTAGCCTAACTTTCCATGTTAAAGAGCTAGAAAAAGAAAAAAAAATAAAGCAGAAAAGAAAAATAATGATTACAGCAGAGAGAAATAAAAGAGAATATAAAAATGGAAAATAATGAACCCAAAAGTTGGTACTCTGAAAAGACCACAAAACAAAATTTGCAAACCTTCAGCTAGACAGAAAAAAAAAGAGCACTCAAATTATGAAAATCAGCAACAAAAGCAGGGAAGTTACTAGAGAGAGAGAGATGCAAAAATACTCAACAAAATTCTAGCAAACTGAATCCCAGCAGCATACTAAACATTATACACTATGACAAGGTAGGGACTTATCTCAGGAGTGGTTCAACATAGGACAGTCAATCACTAAAATACACCATATTAGTAGAATGAAGGAAAACAACTACACAGGATCAACTCGGTTGATTAAAAACCATTTAACAACGTCCAACACCCTTTCGTAATGAAAACAGTCAATAAGCTAGGAATGGAAGAGTATTTCCTCAACCTGATAAAGGGTATCTATGAAAAACCCACAGATAACATTATACTTTATGGTAAGACTGAAAGTTTCCCCCGTAAGATCAGAAACAAGACATAGATGTCCACACTTGCCACTTCTCTTCGACATAGTACTGGAAATTCAAGTCATGGCAATTAGCAATGAAAAGAAATAAAAGGCATCCAGGTTGGACAAAAAGAAGTAAAACTATCTCTATTTACTAAAGCTACAATCTTATATGTAGAAAATACCAAAGAATACACATAAAAAGAAACTTTCATATCTCATAAGCAAAGAATTTAGCAAAGTTGCAGGATAAAGGATCAATGCACAATAATCAGTTGTATTTCTGTACACTAGTAATGACAATTTGAAAATGAAATTAAGAAAGCAATTTTATTTACAATAGCATCTAAAAGAATAAAATATTTAGAAATAAATTAACCAAGGAGGTGTAAGAGTTCTATACCTAAAACTACAGCACACTGCTCAAAGAAATTCTTAAAGGAGACCTAAATAAATGCAAAGACATCCCATGTTCTTGTATTGGAAGACAATATTTTTAAGACGCCAATACTCCCCAAAGTGACCTACAGACTCAATGCAATTGCTTTCAAAATTCCTGTGGCCTTTATGCCATAAATTGGAAAAGTCAATTCTCAAATTCATATGGAATTGCAAGGGACCTTGGTTATCTAAAACAATCTTAGGCAAGATGAATGTAGGAAAACTCGCACTTCCCTATATCAGAACTTTCCACAAGGCAACATTAATGTGGTACTGGCATAAGGACACACATACAGGTCAATAGAATAGAACTGAAAGCCCTAAAATGAAACCTCAGTTTTATGGTCAATTGGCTTTTGACAAGGGGCCCAAGACCATACAAGGAGAAAGAATTGTCTTTTCAAAAGATGGTGCTGGGACAGCTGCATACCCACTCACAGCATGTACAAAAATCAACTCACAATATGGCTGGGTGCAGTGGGTCATGCCTGTAATCCCAGCACTTTGGAGGCTGAGGCCGGTGGATCACGAGGTCAGGAGTTTGAGACCAGCCTGGCCAATATGGTGAAACCCTGTCTCTACTAAAAATACAAAAATTAGCCGGGCTTGGTGGCGCACGCCTGTAATCCCAGCTACTCGGGCTGAGGCAGGAGAATCGCTTGAACCAGGGAGGCAGAGGTTCAATGGGCCGAGATCACGCCATTGCACTCCAGCTTAGGTGACAGAGTGAGACTCCATCTCAAAAAAGAAAAAGAAAAAATCAACTCACAATAAATCAAAGATCTAAGTGGAAGAGCTAAAACTGTAAAACTCTTGGAAGAAAATATAGGGTAAATCTTCTTGGCCTTGGATTTGGCAATGAGTTATTAGATATAATGCCAAAAGCACAAACAATTTAAAAAATAGGCAAATTGGACTTCATCAAAATTAAGAATTTTCATGCATTAAGAACACTATCAAGAAAGTGACAGCATAGCCCACAGAATGGGAGAAAATATTGTCAGATAGTATATCTGATAGGAGTCTGGTATGCAGAATATATGAGGAACTCTTGCAACTCGACAACAAAAAGACAAGATGATTTTAAAATGGGCAAAGCATTGAATAGAAATTTCTCCAAAGAAGACATACAAATGGCCAACAAGCATGTGAAAAAATGTACAACATCAATGGTCATTAAAGAAACAAAAATCAAAACAACAATAAGATATCACATGATACCCTCCAGAGATCACTTCACACCCTCCACCCTCCAATTTTGTCGAATAAAAAAAAACAAAAGTTGGTCAGAACATGGAGAAATCAGGTCTCTTGTTCATTACTGATGGGACTTTTACTTGCCATAGCTGCTGTGGTAAAGCTAAGGTGGTTCCTCATAAAGTTAAACAACTATGTACCCATGATCACTGACGTCAGGTGTTCAAACAAAACAAGTCTTTAACATTGTATACAAATATTCATAGAAGCCTTAATCATAATAGCCAAAATGTGGAAACAACTCAAATGTCCATCAACTGATGAACAGATAGGCAAATGTGGTCTGTCCACACAAAGGAATATTATTCAGCCATAAAAAAGGAATGAAGTACTGACACATGCTCCAGCATAGAAGACCCTCAAAACCATGATGCTAAGTGAGAGAAGCCAGACACTAAAGGCCACATTCGGTGTTTTAGGCATGGTCTTGCTCTGTCACCCAAGCTGGAGTGCAGGGGCTCACCCAAGCTGGAGCACAGGGGCATAATCATAGCTCACCACAGTCCCATTCTCCCAGGCTCAAGTGATACTCCCACCTCAGCCTCCTGAGTAACTGGAACTACAGGCACATTCCACTATGCCCAGCTAATCATTTTGGTTTTTAGTAAAGACAAGGTCTCTATGTGTTGCCCAGGCTGGTCTCTAACTCCTGAGCTCAAGCAATTCTCCCACCTTGGCCTCCCAAAGTGTTGGGATTACAGGCGCAAGCCACCACATCCAGCCAAGCCCACATTTTATATGTTTTCATTTATATGAAATGTCCAGAATAGACAAGACCATAGAGATAGAAAGGAGATTAGTGGTGGCCAGGGAAAGAAGGAAATAAGAAGTGACTGCTCGTTGGTATGGGGTTTCATTTTAGGTTGAAAAAAACATGTACTATAATTAGATAATAACGATACTTGCACAACTTTGTGAACTAAAAACTACTGAATTGTATGTTTTCAAATTGTTAAAGTCATGAATTTTATGTCATGTAAATTTCAGCTCAATTTTTAAAAAAATGTTATATGTGCTCATTGTGAAATTTTTTAAAAATACAGTTATATAAATTAAAAGTGAACATTCCTGTCTTCTTCCACTACTCAGAAATAAACATCATGTTTTGCTCTGTGTCCTTCCAGACGTTTCTGTCATATAAACACACTATGATTAGATTTGAGGTTTTGTAAAATGGCATGACAATCATAATCCGTCTGTAATCTTCTCTATTCATTTAATGTGAGCACCTTTCCTCACCAGCGCAGATAACAAATGCTTTACATTCTGTTTTTAACAACTACTTAAGTTTCTGTAGAATAGAGAAACTACCATTTTTATAACCACTGTCCTCTAGATAGATGTTTAGAATGCATACAACTTTTTGCTATTATTAACAATGCTGCAACTATGGCCGGGCGCGGTGGCTCATGCCTGTAATCCCAGCACTTTGGGAGGCTGAGGCGGGCAGATCACGAGGTCAGGAGATCGAGACCATCCTGGCTAACACGGTGAAACCCTGTCTCTACTAAAAATACAAAAAATTAGCCGGGCGTGGTGGCAGATACCTGTAGTCCCAGCTACTCGGGAGGCTGAGGCAGGAGAATGGCGTGAACCCAGGAGGCGGAGCTTGCAGTGAGCGGAGATTGAGCCACTGCACTCCAGCTTGGGCAACAGAGCAAGACTCTGTCTCAAAAAAAAAAGAAAAAAAATGCTGCAACTAACATCTTTGTGCATTTATCTTTGCATACCTGAAGAGGTAATCCTACAGAATGGATTGATTAAATTTGAATTGCATTCATATGTATTGCATGTTCTGTCAAGAAGTCACCTGGGGGTGTGGAAGAATTAGCTGGCGTCCTTCCTTGCCACCCCCCCGCCCAATGGCACAAGTGGCAGTTCTGGCAAGGAAAGAACCTTGAGGGCTGTTACCATCAGAGGAATAGGGCTATGTAGGAGACAGAACTCTGGAGTTGCCACTTCCCAGAACTGTGACTCCAGCATTTCTCAGAGCTTCCATTTTCTAATTTAGAAAAACAAAGCTGAGCGCAGTGGCTCATGCCTGTAATCCCAGCACTTTGGGAGGCAGAGGTAGGCAGATTATTTGAGGTCAGGAGTTCGAGACCAGCCTGCCCAACACGGTGAAACCCTGTCTCTACTAAAAATACAAAAAAAAAAAAAAAAAAAATAGCTGGGCGTGGTGGCACCCACCTGTAATCCAGCTGCTGGGGGAGGCTGAAGCAGGAGAATCACTTGAACCTGGGAGATGGAGGTTGCAGTGAGCTGAGATCCTGCCACTGTACTCCAGCCTGGGCGACAGAGCAAGACTCCGTCTCAAAAAAATAAAAAAAAAAAGTATCCAAAACATGAAAATGATGCAAAAAGTCAGCTGTCTAATGAGCTCATTCAATTATTTAATACAATGATAACAAAACATTAATTCTCCAGGAGATGTACCTTTGTTTGATTTGCCATTTACTATTATTAAGTCTTTACCTCTGTGAAGTTGCAAATTAACTTGTAAACTTCTGAGCTGTAGATATGCATGATGCTGTTGGGTTCTCTGGGATCCTGCCTGAAATGGAGATGCACCTCCATGAGGCTCCTTACAGGGTGCTCTTGGGGTCACCATGTGTATAAAAGAAGAGAAAGAAGAATTGGACAGAAGAAGTTGAGCTCAGATTCTGGGCAACATATAAGTGTCTACACAATGCAAATGCAAACCGTTTTTATCTGAAATAGAAAAGATAACTGCAAAAGTGAGGCTGTCATTGCCCTGCAGGACATGAAATGGTTATGTCTCTAGCTTAGCAAATTTATTTCAGCATGCCTTACCCAGTGGACCATATACATCTCAGTTCCTCAAGTGCTCTTTGAACCAGCTCTATCATCCTGCTGCTTTCCCTGTTAGTAAGTGAAATAAATCTTTGGCATGTTCTTACCATGTATTTGAATGAGTCATATTTTCAGCTATTTTTAAATTATTCATTGATAGTTACTCCCTGCTTCAAATGTCTGTGGCTTTCCAGTGCTCCTAGAATAAAATCCAAACTCCTTCTTGTGGCCTGTGAAGCCTCGTACCTTCTGGCCTTTGCTTGACTTCATGACATCTCCCCCGGTCTGCTGCATTCTGGGAACACAGCCTTTATTCTAGAACATCTCAAGGCTTCCGAAGAAGCTAGTATCTCTACTGGGAATTTTCAGTTTATCCCAGAATCCCACCTTCCCATCACTCAAGTCTCAGCTTACAAGACACCTTCTCTGGCCACTAGAGCTATACTTCCTAAACCTTGCCCCCCACCCCATTCCTTGCCACTCTGTATCATCTCCTCCTTCTTCTGCATATAACTGAGTCATTTCTGATACGATCTTGCTCATTTATTTGCCTATTTAAATATTGTTCTCCCTTTCGACTGTGGGAGCCCCAAAAGACTACTAGAAAAACCTGTTCATCAAGCAAAGCTAAGTGTACCGAAGTTCTGCAGTAAAGGACAGGACAACCTTAACAGGGTCTCAGTAGTGTACTGAAAATGGAAATTTAAAAAAAAAAAAGATATTTGTGGCCGGGCACGGTAGCTCATGCCTGTATTCCCAGCACTTTGGGAGACCGAGGTGGGTGGGTCACCTGAAGTCAGGAGTTCAAGACCAGCCTGGCCAACATGGTGAAACCCCGTCTCTACTAAAAATACAAAAATTAGCCGGGTGTGGTGGTGGGTGCCTGTAATCCCAGCTACTCAGGAGGCTGAGGCAGGAGAATCACTTGAACCCGGGAGGTGGAGTTTGCAGTGAGCTGAGATCGCACCATTGCACTCCAGCCTAGGTGACAAGAGTGAGACTTCGTCTCAAATAAAAATTTAAAAAAAGATATTTGTAGGGTTTTAGGTCCTGAGACAGATGATTTTAAGGCAGGTTTTGCAAGGTAGAGAACTGATTGAAATTGGGCAGAGTTGATGACATACTGTCCTGGATTGGTGGGCAAAGGAAGGCAGGGGTCTTAAAGCAATTCTTGACAAGAAAACTGTTAGTTCTAAAAAGTACACTGTTTAGCTCACAGTCTTACCTTCTAGAATCAAACTTATTTTGTGTAGCAGGCAGCGAAGTTAGTTTTTGCTGGGGTCCCTGCATTGTTTAACCCAGGAACAAGGAACTATGCTAGTTCAATTCTCTCCCCATAAGTTGACGGCCTGCTCCCTAAGAGCAGAATCCCTATTTATCTTCTTATTCCTGCCTCTTCTTGTATGCCAAGAGCCTAGCCCAGGGTCTGCTGTGTATGTTAAATAAGCATTTGTTGATTATATTAGCACATTATTACTTTGTCATTAAAAGTGGTTGGGACCCTGGGCAAGACACTTTACTTCTGCAAAATAAAGATAGATAAAGATAAATGTATTGAGTTCCTGCCATTGGCCAGATACCCTCTTAAATGCCATGAATTCTGTTATAAACCAAGCTAGGTTTTCACTCGCATGGGACTGAAACTCTGGTGCAGAAAGGCAGACAATACAGAAGCTAACAAGTGAAGAAACAAAGTAATAGCAGACTGGGGGAAGCCCACATTTCTGTGCAACTCTTGTTAGTAAGCCAGGTGCATTTTTTGAGAAGGAACCTAGAGAAAAGTTACACTCCATTGAAACGCACGGCAAAGACAGGTTTCTTCAGTTATATTTCATTAGTGTTTTTAGTACAAAAGCAATATGTGCTTTTTGTAACAAGCGAAGTAATCTTCTTAAGTATATAAAGAAAAAGTTAATAAATCTACCATCAATGTCACCAAGCATCTGGCTGGTAGGGACCCTTACACATACTTTCCCAGGTTTATACAAATATCTAAAGATAGATATAGGGCTCTTGTCTTATTCTGTTTTTAAAAAATAGACACACTTGGGTCCAGCGTGGTGGCTCACACCTGTAATCCCAGCACTTTGGGAGGCTGAGGTGGGCAGATCATGAAGTCAAGAGATCGAGATCATCCTGGCCAACATGGTGAAACCCCATCTGTACTAAAAATACAAAAAAAAAATTAGCCTGGCTTGGTGGCATATGCCTGTAATCACAGCTACTCGGGAGGCTGAGGTAGGAGAATCGCTTGAACCTGGGAGGCAGAGGCTGCAGTGAGCCAAGATCGCACCACTACACTCCAGCCCGGCAACAGAGTGAGACTCCGTCTCAAAAAAAAAAAAAAAAATTGACGCACTTTATGTATGGCCCTGCAACTCAGTTTTTACACCTAGCAATGGATCATGAATGTTCCTTCCAGGTAATAGGTAAAGATCTTACTCAGTCTTTTCCATAGCTGTGTAATAGTTGAAAGAGTAAAAGCTGCCTCCCGTGTTGAATTAATCTCTACCATTCCTTGATGTTATAGATGCAGGACTAATGTTCCAGCTCAGCAAAACCTGACTCAATCAACCATAGCATTTTTGTCTGTTTTGAGACAGAGCAAGATAAACATTCTTTGTTAGGTGATCACACTCAAATAGCTGGTGTTGGCAGCAAGCTCTCAGACATGAAACGTAAGCCCAAAGGCTAACATGTGATCAGAATTCTTTATCATTTAAATTCTATTTTCTTTTATATTCTAGCTTTAAACTAGCACAAGCATTAGAGTGTGGCGATTTTATTGACAGTCATGGTGATGATAGTAATATGTGTCTGACACTTCTTTTGGGAATCTCTGTTGTAAATATGTGTAAGGGATGTACCTTTTGAATTGAACAGTGAATCATGACAATACTTTCCAATGGATGTAAATAAAGAGAATTTTTGTCAGAGTATTTGAAACTTAGATGGTAGTGTGGACTTAATCGTTGGAAAAAAAAATGTTCTTTTTAAGAAAATGCTGAGCAAATGTTCCCTTTTTCTCAATGATTTGTAAGATTTGCTTTTTGGTTGGGAGCTTTTTAAAATCCTCCCAAGGGGACTTAATACCTGGTCTCTGTCTGAGAGCTTTTCAAAGGTTCCTCGACTCCTTCAGGTTTCAAAATGTGCTTTGGTCGAGGGTTCCCAGGGTGAGGAGAGGGCAAACTTGGGGGCACTAAAATCATTTCAAACTCCTGGTTGATGCCCATTCACAGCAAACAATACAGAGTAAGGGGGAAACGCCTCAATTCCAAAGACAGAAGGTCCAGGCTCAACTCCTGGCCCTGCTTCCTCCTAAATGGAACCTTGGACAAAGCACTTAGCTCTTTTGAACCTTAGTTTCTTTATGGTAAAATGGGAGGAAAGGGAGCAGTTCCCGTGTCGAGGGCTCGCAATGACATATCTGGGGCTCCTGACCTAGCCCCTAAATCGTAGCTGTCATCATTATGAATAAAACATAATATCTGATCTCTAGAGCTTACCCCCTGTAGGGGAGAGAGATGCGTCACCAATAAGTATCATAGATGAAGGCAAAACTACAGGAGGAACCAAGGGCTGTGGGAACTCCGCAGCAGTGTGTGGAGGGAGGCCATTGCCACTACTTTGAGAACTATAGGTAAGAATTTGCAGAACAGAGAAGGTGGAAGCAGGAAGGTCTGACATCCTGGCAGTGGGACCTGATTATATGAAAACATGGTGTGAAAACAATAGGTCAGGTTAGGAACGATGTTACTGAGATGGGTGGGGAAGGGTGTGGCAGGAGGTGGTGGAAAGTAGGAAAACTCTGCTTCCATGGGAAGACCTGGATTTGGCCTCTGTTACCCATGATTGTAGAACTGCCCAATCGTTCAGCCATGCTGACCACTGTAGGTGTCCCGTGGTCCTGGATCCCTGGAGAAGCCCTTAGGGCCACTGGGAAGCCCCCATCCGAGCTTTCAAGCCCATTCCCAAGAGAGAGGGTGCTGTGGCTGCCTTGCCTCTCATGTGTTTGCTACAATCCTAGAACTCTTCTGACACTGAAGAAAAGCTGTTTCCACTTACAACCCTTAAGAGGGAATCAGGCCTTTCTGCGCTGAGGCCCAGAGTGGAACATAACCGTGATTTACACACCGTAAACTTTTGTGAGTTTTATTCACCTCAGTGGGCTGATATTACACATTAGGTGCATGGGGGAACCTCAGTGACTGCAGGCTTTCTGTGCAGCCCAGCACTAGGTTTGGAGAAAGACAAAGCAGGAGAGGCAAGAGCAGAGCATGCCCTGGTTTTCAGATGCCTGGTTACGCCCCCGTCAGCATCAGAGGTAGCAAATTCCTGCCCTAAAGGCCAAAGTCCAGCTCACTACAGTTCTGCTCAGCTGACACAATAAGGACCTATGCCTTCTTGAAAAAAAAAAAGTTTGTCAAATACAATGCAAAAGAGCAAAGTGGATGGGAGAGTAGTTGATGGGGTTATATACCCAACTTAGTCCCCCCAGCAGGGAGGCTCCATTAGAATGGGACTTCATATCTGGGTGGCTGTCCTCAGATCAGTTCCTGGCACAGAGTAGGAAGCTCAGAGTTGGCCTTTTCTGCTCCTCAGACACCCTGTATCCCTTCACACCCCTTCCCTAGTTCCATGACCTCGGAAAGTACAAATTCCTCCCCTAATTTCCAGCTCTGCCTCCTTCTCCTAGGTCCCCATCGCTGCCCTTGGACAAATCATCCAACAGTACAGAAAGGGTTGCTTCTTGGGGACCCACGAACACTTCATTGAGCACAAGTTCTGCCGAGTTAGGCAGCCTGATCAAAAACCTGGAAAAGAAGCAAACTTCCTCCAACTCTGCACCTTCCTTCTCTCCTCCCCATTCATTCTTGGTCCTCTCCCTTTCTCCTGAGTCACCAGGGAAGCTCCAAATGTTCTTCCTCAGTTATGGAGCATTTTGGTTCTCCCTGACAGCTAGTCCCAAGCTCTTGTACTCAATTAAATATCCATTTAAGTATTCCAATCATACCATCAGGCCCAACATTTAGGGGGATAACCCATGTTCAAAGGTGTGTGAAATTATAAATAGTAAGAAATGTTTTCTTTTTAAGGGATTCACACTTAGTTCAGAGAGAAAGGCCAAATCCCATTCAAGAGAAACAAGATTTGATTTTCCTGAGATTCATCTAGAATTGTTATATATTAATTATTGATTGCATAACAATTACTCCAAAACTTAGTGACTTAAAACAATATTAATCCTTTATTATCTCACATGTTTTCTATAGGTAGGAATTTGTGAGTAGCTCCACATGGCAGTTGTGGCTCTCTCATGAGGTTGCTGACAGAGGTCGGCCAGGACTGCTGCCATCTGAAGGCTTGGTTGGGGCTGGGGGATCCATATGAACAGTCTAGAGAGCAGTCACAACACAGCTGTTGGTGAGAGGCTGCAATTCATCTCCATACCATCATCATCTCCTCAGAGCTCTTTGAGTGTACTTACAGCATGGCTGCTGACTTCCTCCAGAGCAAGTGATCCAAGCCATCAATGTGGAATTTACAAGGCCTTTCACAATCTAGTTTCATAAATCACACACCATCTCTTCCACCATATTCTGTTGGATGCATGTGCAGATCAGCTCTGATTTCATGATAGGAAGAGGCTGCAAAAGGGCATGAATGGCAGAGGGCAAGGACACCTGCAGGCAGGTGGCATCTTGGAAGCTACCAAAACTACCACAACCAGTTCATAATTTATCTACGTTTTCCTAATGCCTGTCCTTTTTCCCCCATCAACCCCTGTTGTCACTTCCATTTCTGCCAGTTTGGTAGCTTGGTCCATTAGCTCTTACAGCTCTTTTACTTCCCTGATTTAGGGTTCATCTCCTCCTTCCTCTGACAGTTAAAAATAAATTATACTCTTAGTAGTCATAAGATGGGGATTTCACACCCACCTCCATACAACTGTTGTGTAATAAATGTGCATAACTTGCCTCCTGCAGCACCTGGCTCGTATAAGGTATACAATAAATGCTAATGGCTCTTATTATTATTATTATTATTTCTATTACCATTATTACTAACTTGATCACTATCAATACAACTATACCATTATGAACTGCCTTGTGAAAAGTCTAGCCTGGAAACTTACTCCTGTAAATGGGGAAGGAAATGAATGGTAGAGACCATGAAAAGCTGCATTTCCCCTTTCCCCACCTTCGTGGCCTTCAACACACAGTAGCATTCAAAAGAAACCCATATCAGTCCCCTAGCACCTTAGGGTTTCATCCCAGAGCCTAAAGCCACATCTAAATTTTTCTCTAGATATCCCTCCTCTCCCTGCCTCCGTACCCCAGCAGTTGTATTTCTAAGGCTGTGCTTTGCTGCTCTCCTCCAAAACTCTAGCCTGTCTCCCTTATCTTCTTCTGCCTAATCTTCCAAACTTTCCGACCTCCTTTTTTCTTCTTGAAGAAGATTCAAAGGAGAAATTGAAAGGAGTGTTTGCACTCAATGTTGTGCAACATCCAAGCACTTCCTAGAGATCACTTCGCAACCACTGTATCCTAGAAATCCATTGTTATTGTGTCTTATAGACACATTAGTCCGCCATCAATTAAGTGAAATAACAAAAACAAAAATAAGCTGATCATTCACCAAAAACAATTTTGAGTAACTCTAGAGTTCCCAGGAAACACCTGAGCTGTATGTCCAAAATTCCACTTCTCTGCTGCTTCTGGGATCTTCCTGCAAGCGTTGACCTGTGCATCCCCAGCGAAAGGCAGGCAGCCAGACCCCAGCTCCATCCCCACCAGTGTGTGGCTTGTCCAAAGCTGTTCTTGCCCATTGTCATTTTCCTTAGCCTCACAGAGTTATCTGAAGATGGATAAGATGGTGCTCACCAAGCATGAAGCACAGTGCCTGGCACTGAGAAAGTACTCAATACATAGTAGCTATTTGATCCCTGGTAATATTATTCATAGGATAGCAGAGCTATTCCCTTTCTCAACAAGTGACCTCAGTTCCTGAGACAGAACCAGAGGAGCTGTCTCATTTACAGATAGGGCCAAGAGACAGGAAGAAGTTTGCCTATATCACCCAACAACAGAACAGGTCTAGAACACAGAACTCCTGATGGGCAAGCCCGTAGTTAACCAGTGTATAAAAGATGATAAGTGGGAAACTGCTGGAAACCACAAAAGCACTGTGTTCCAGGAGTGGTGATTTGCTACAGAGTAAGGATTCAAGTCTGACACCACCACAGTGAGCTGGCACATCAATTGTTAGCCTTTCAGTTTCTTAATCTGTAGAAGGGCAAAAATAACATCTATTTCACAGAGTGGTGGTGAGGAATTCGTTAGAAAATATATGTAAGGAACTTGCTAAGTAATGGGGTATTGGGGTAACTCCTTATGCTTATGGGATTAGGTTGCACTTGTAGAAACACATAAAAAGAGGCTGAGTGCGGTGGCTCATGCCTGTAATCCCAGCACTTTGGGAGGCCGAGGCGGGCAGATCACGAGGTCAGGAGACTGAGACCATCCTGGCTAACACAGTGAAGCCCTGTCTCTACTAAAAATACAAAAAATTAGCCAGGTGTGGTGGCAAGCACCTGTAGTCCCAGTTACTAGGGAGGCTGAGGCAGGAGAATGGTGTGAACCCGGGAGGCGGAGTTTGCAGTGAGCCGAGATTGTGCCACTGCCCTCCAGCCTGGGTGACACAGCGAGACTCTGTCTCAAAAAAAAAAAAAAAAAAAGAAACACATAAAAACATAGGTCCCCTCAGCTGAGTTCACTGAGTCCCCTGGTATGAGCTTGCACAGGGAGGCATAGGCCATTGTAACATGGAAATATTCACTAATGAACTGGCCATTTAACGAACTGAGTCATGCTCAGATATGGCTTCCCTTATCCCAGTTCTTTCGGTGTGGAGGCGAGTCCATGCTTTTGTCATTTCTGCTGACTGTCCTGTGCTGTCACCCAGTAGTACAATCTAGCAAAAATACAGGATCGTATGAAATCAAGAGAGTCATGCTGGCTCCAATCACTCAGCAAGGCTTTGACAAGCGGGGAAATGGTGGAGTTAGAAGAGTTTACAATTGATGAAAAGATCTTTATAAATGATAGCACCTCAAAGACAGTCAGTTTAAATAGCAACATTTAAAATGAGGCTTAGGAAAACAGGCAAAACCCTCAAATATTTTTATAAAACCGATCCTTTCCATGATGTGCTGTGGAAGTCAGATGCGATCTGAAGGGTGCATACATAGCATCCTAAAGCCCAACACCATTCGTTAGGTTAAGATTTTGCACACCAGTGCATTTATAATGTATATTCTGTTGAACATAAGATAAAAATAAACATCCACTGTGACTGTTTCATTTCATTTTTCAAGATAAAACCCCAGTCACACTTTTTATTTCACTATATTTGCTATGAAATTCTAGTTTCATATTTTAAAGCATCTACTTAAGTGAACTTTTCCTGCTGCAACTTGTCCTGGAAAAATGAGAATCTCTTTCTCCTTATCCTGGTTTCTAACTTGCTCTTCCCTCCACCTGGGATGCTTCCCTCCGAGGCATTCAAGTGGCTGCTACCTCATTTCTTTAGGTTTTTGTCAAATCTCTCCTTTTCTCTCTCCTTTCTTTCTTTCTTTTCTTTCCTTTTCTTTCTTTCTCTCTCTTTCTTCCTTCCTTCCTTCCTTTTTCTCTTTATTTCCTTCCTTCCTTCCTTCCTTCCTTCCTTCCTTCCTTCCTTCCTTTCTTTCTCTTTCTTTCTTTCCTTCCTTCCTGCCCTCCTTCCTTCTCTCTCTCTCTTTCTTTCTTTCCTTTTGAGACAGTTTCACTTTAGTCACCCAGGCTGGAGTGCAGTGGCGCGATATCGGCTCACTGCAACCTATGCTTCCAGGGTTCAAGCGATTCTCCTGCCTTAGGCTCCCGAGTAGCTGGAATTACAGGTACCAGCAACCATGCCCAGCTAATTTTTGTTTTTGTTTTTGTTTTTGTTTTTTTGAGACAGAGTCTCGCTCCGTCGCCCAGGCTGGAGTGCAATGGCACAACCTCGGCTCACTGAAAGCTTCGGCTCACTGAAACCTCCACCAGGTTCAAGTGATTCTCCTGCCTCAGCCTCCCAAGTAGCTGGGATTACAGTGTGCCACCATGCCCAACTAATTTTTTTTTTTTTTGTATCTTTAGTAGAGACAAAGTAGTAGGGGTTTAGTAGGGGTTTCACCGTGTTGGCCAGGCTGATCTCGAACTTCTGACCTCATGATCCGCCTGTTTTGGCCTCCCAAAGTGCTGGGATTACAGGCGTGAGACACTGCACCTGGCTAATCTTTGTATTTTTAGTAGAGACAGGGTTTCACCATGTTAGCCAGGCTGGTCTCAAACTCCTGACCTCAGGTGATCCACCCACCTCGGCCTCCCAAAGTGCCAAAGTGCTGGGATGACAGGCGTGAGCCACTGCACCTGGCCAAATGTCTCCTTTTCAGAGTGTTCTTCTAAATCTGCCTCTCAAAAGAAAGCCTCATGTACACACACACATACACACTCACACACACACACACACACGCATCATACTTCTGCATATCAGTACTCCCGTGCACACATACACACTCCCACACACAACCTTCACACACACACACATCTACAACTACACAAAAACACACCACACACGTGCACACACATTCCTGCACACACCCACACACAATCCTCCTGTCTATTCCTCTCTACTCCCCATCATGCTTTATTTTTCTCCATAACATTTACATCTTCTGGCATGTTAAATAGGTTTTTTGATTATTTGTCTATTAGCTGCCAAAAGATCATAAACTTTATCCATTTTGCTCACTATTTTGTCTCCAGTAATAGGCAGATAGGAGGCCCTCAAATGTTTGTGGGATGGATGAATGGGTGGGTGGGTGGGTGGGTGTGCGTATGGATGGGAAGGTATATGGACGGGTGGATGGATGGAAGAGTGGATGGGTGGATGGGTAGGTGGGTAGGTGGGTGGTTGGATGGATAGGTGGATGGGTGGGTGGATGGATAAGAGGGTTTATGGGTGGAAGGATGGGTGGGTGGTTGGATGGATGGGAGGGTGGATGGGTGAATGGGCGGATGAGTGGGTAGATGGATGGGATGGGTGTGTGGATAGATGGGAGGGTGGATTGGTGAATGGATGGGTGAGTGGGTAGATGGATGGGAGGGCGGGTGGGTGAATGGGTCCCAAAAGAACTTATGGCATTTTGTTGAAATATTCTACTTAATTCTACACCTTCACTTCAGACTGGAGATGCCCTGAAGGCAGGGTCTGTGGCCTCTTTGTCCCTTTTTTAACTGGTGTTTTAGGAAGCCTGATACAGATTTTTCACAAACACCAGCTGGGCTGATATAAAGTCCCAGCAGAGTCTTTCCCACTCTCAAATTCTGAGTATCCTTTAAAAGGCCCAGCTCCAAACTCTGACATCTGTAGAAGGTGCTGCTCCAAGGCCCAGGCCCGTGGCTTTGCCCTGAGTGTCCCTGTGCTGTATAAGTAGGAAAACAGAGGACCACAGAGCACTGAGGAACTCCAAAATAAGCACTCAACCCTGAAGGGCTCAGGGCGTGGGCAGGAATAAGATGGAGAGGCTGCAGGAGGGTGTGCGAGGTGACTGTGGTAGGTCAGTTTGGAGCACAACGTCCTCAATGTTGGGTTCCACTGCAGATTTATTAAAAACACCAATCTAATATACAGCGGAGAAAGTGAGGCTCAAAAAGTTGAAGGGTCTCTCCAAGGGCCACATGTCAGTGAGTGGTGACGTCAAGACTCCAACCCAGGTTTGATGTACCCCAGGTTGAAAATTATCTCTTTTAAACCCAAAATGAAAGTAGAAAGGAGTTATTTTGTGGTTTTAGGAATGGCCTGGGAAAATAAACTGTCATTCTCCTTCTGTGTAAGGAGATAGTACGGAGTAGGGGACACCAGGGGGCTCTGGAGACTGGGACCACAGAGAATGCCCACTCGCCCCTGATTCATGCTGACTTGGGGGCTTACCCTTTCTGTGACTTGAGTTTCCTCATCTGTACTGCAAGAGCACTAACAGAGCAAACCTTGTTTGTGGTTATGAAGATTGAATAACATGTTGCCTGGCACAGAATAAGCTCTCAGCTGGGCGTGGTGGCTCACGCCTGTAATTCCAGCACTTTGGGAGGCCAAGGTGGGAGGATCACTTGAGCCCAGGAGTTCGAGACCAGCCTGGGCAACATGGCGAAACCCTGTCTCTATAAAAATACAAAAATTAGCTGGGCTTGGTGGAACACGTCCGTAGTTCCACCTACTCGGGAGGCTGAGGCAGGAGGATCATTTGTGCCCCAGAGGTCGAGGCTGTAGTGAGCTGTGATGCACTCAGCCAGGGCGACGAGCAAGACCCTCTCTCAAAATAAATAAATCAAAAAGCTCTCATATATACATTTACAATAATTACTGCAAATAAATGTTATTTATTACTATTCTCTGAGAGTTCAAGACAGTTGCAAGGAAACAGAGCTGATATAAAGGGAGTGATACGACACACATCCCCAGTGTCTTGAGCAAGTCATCCCCTCTGACCCTCAGCCTCTGAACAATTTCAGTGTTTTACTGTTTTATCTAGTCGCTTCTACTTTGGTGTCCCTGAAGCACTTTGTACAAAAGTTTATGACAAAACTTAGCCTCTCTTCAGTTTTCCTGCCCCTGTGCCCAGCCGACTGCACCTTGCCCCACACAGGGAATAGATGGCAATCATGGGGCTCTAAATCCTTGCCAAGGACTGCACCAAGCCCATTTTCTGAACCATCCCAACTAATCATCACAGCTACCCTAGGAGGGCTATTACTATCCCCACTTAAGGGGAGGAATCTAAGACCCAGAGATGCTAAGTGGCCTGCCCAAGAACATCCTGTATGTGGCACTGCTGGGATTTGAGCCTAAGTCAAGGGATCAATCACTCCAGAAAAAAAGAAAGACGAGAGAGAGGGAAGGGGCTCAGATAGGGAAGGAGGATGGGACAGGAATATCACTTTGGACAAGTTTATGGAACCAGAAAAAGACTGTAAATGAGCAGAGACTCATATCCCATTCAGTAAGAAATTGAAGTGTGTGCACACGCACGCGTGTGCGCGCATGTGTGTGTGTGCGTGGGTGCGTGAGTGTGTGTATGTGTGTGTGTGCTGCGTGTGGTCGTGTGCGTGTGCGTGTGTGTGCGTGTGTGTATGCGTGTGTGCGTGTGTGTGTATGCGTGTGTGGGGTGTGTGTGCATGTGTGTGTGCACGCTTGCATGCAGCTTTTACTTTCTCAAGTCATACTTAGCAAGTTCACTGTCTACACTTCATTAGTCCAAGGAAGCCCCGCTAGGATCTAAATGTAAATTCAAAAGAAGTGTCACACATTCTGCCTGTTCATCTCATCTGTGTTCCCTATCTTTTGTACTTTGTATCAGACAACTGAATAACTATAGCTATGTCCCAGAAACCCAATTTCCTTCCAAAAATAGAGGGCTTTAAAGGGATATATGCGTACATACATAGGTATTTACGTAAATACATAGGCGCATAGCTTTTTTGAAAAGATTCCTTCTAGGCATGAACAAGGCATCTGTGGTCTTCCTAGTAAAGAAGGCACAGGAATCTAAACTGCCCCTCCCTGTGGCCAGTGTAGCCAGGGGCACATTGACAGCCATGGGCAACTGTTGACCCCATTTGCCCCTCCCTCTTCTTGAACCTCCCCAGGTGAGGGAATGATGGCCTTAATGAAAACGTCTCTTTCTCCTCCCTCTGAAGACAGGGATAAGGATATGCTGGGCGCGGTGGCTCACGCCTGTAATCCCAGCACTTTGGGAGGCCGAGGTCAAGAGATCACGAGGTCAAGAGATCGAGACCATCCTGGCCAACATGGTAAAACCCTGTCTCTACTAAAAATACAAAAATTAGCTGGGTGTGGTGGCACGCACCTGTAGCCCCAGCTACTCGGGAGACTGAGGCAGAAGAATTGCTTGAACCTGGGAGGCAGAGGTTGCAGTGAGTCAAGATCACGCCATTGCACTCCAGCCTGGTGACAGAGAGAGACTCCATCTCAAAAAATAATAATAAAAATAAAAAAGACAGGAATAAGGACAATAACTACCATTCAGATAAAACTTTACAGTTCATGAAGAACTTTCAGATTCCTTATTTGATCCAATCATCTACCAGCCCTGGGAGGCAGAGATTCAGCGCCCACTCTTCAGATGGGGAATCCAAGACTCTGAGACAGAAAGGGTGGCCACGGTCTGCACCTGGAGGAGCCCACGGTGAGCCCCACGCCTGTCTGATTCCTGAGCCCTTGGGTGGGTGTCCAGGGGTGAACACCAACGGTGATCCCACATCAGGACCTCGGCCCAGCCACAGGCTTGAGGCCACTAGGGAGATCTGTGTCACTGAAACTGTGACGTCAGAGGCCTTCAGTTCTTTCACCTCCTGTCATGGCCAGCAGCTTCCTGGCAACTAGAAATTCACAGCCCGGCTCTGGGCGTGTCACTCTGCATGGTGGAGGGCACAGCCCATGGGTTCTCACCCAGCCTCGCCTTTGTGTGGGGCTCCTGCCCTCTCCAGCACCACCCTCAGTAGGAACAACTAGGGGCTAAACCTGCCCTGTCCAGCCTTGCCTCCCTTCCTCCCCCTTCTCCTAGGTTCTTCCCTTTTGTGCCAGAGACCCCAGGGCGTAGACCTATGCTTTTCAATGCGTAAAATAAAATACAGCAAATGACAAAGGAAATTTAGAAAACGAAAATACAATTTTAAGAATATATTTTACAATATGCAATAAACTCAGCTGACACCTATCCTATTGTGGACCTTACAGTATTAGAAACTGCAAGATCACCAGTGGTTCATTTTAGTTTTAGAAGAACATTTTTAGTTCTAGAATGAAATGAAAACAGGCAACTTTTGAAGCTACGCAGAGAAGCACATTTGTCCTTTGAGATGTATTTACAGAATTCGTTTAAAATTAGAGATAAAAAAATCTTTTAATTTTTAAAAAATTTACAAGAAACTTGTATATGTGCGTTTTGTTGTTGTTGTTGAGACAGAGTCTCGCTCTGTTGCCCAGGCTGGAGTGCAGCGGCGTGATCTAGGCTCACTGCAACCTCTGCCTCCCAGGTTCAAATGATTCTCCTGCCTCAACCTCCTGAGTATCTGGGAGTACAGGTGCACATCACCATGCTCAGCTAACTTGTATTTTTAGCGGTGATGGTGTTTCGCCATGTTGGCCAGGCTCGTCTTGAATTCCTGGCCTCAAGTGTTCTGCCTGCCTCAGTCTCCCAAAGTGCTGGAGTTGCAGGTGTGAACCACTGTGCCCAGCCTGCTTTCTTTATTCTACATTAAATAACAAGATCTGTTTGATTTAGCCATTCCACAGTGCATATGTATTTCAAAACTTTGTCATATGTCATACATATATACAATTTTTATTTGTCAATTAAAATAAGTAATATGAGAAAGGATCTATCAGAACAGCAGACAGTCAAAAACAAGATCAAAATACCGTGATTTAATATCTAACGTAATTTAAAGTAGTAATGAGCATAAGTGATATAAAATATCTGCAAATGTAATGTGATATGGGTATCACAGTTATCAAAGTTACTGGTTTGGCCGGGCATGGTAGCTCACACCTGTAATCCCAACACTTTGGGAGGCCAAGGCGGAAGGATCACCTGAGGTCGGGAGTTTGAGACCAGCTTGACCAACATGGAGAAACCCCATCACTACTAAAAAAAGTACAAAATTAGCCAGGCGTGGTGGCACATGCCTGTAATCCCAGCTTCTCGGGAGGCAGAAAAATCGCTTGAACCTGGGAGGCGGAGGTTGCAGTGAGCCAAGACAGTGCCATTGCACTCTAGCCTGGGTAACAAGAACGAAACTCTGTCTCAAAAAAAAAAAAAAAAAACAAAAAACAACTTACTGGTTTGTACCCTACATTCATAATATTTTAAAAATGCCCAAAATGCCCAAATTTCAGTGAGAGGTTAGTGAAAATAAAGAATTTGTTCCTTTCCCGTCTAAGCTGGCACATCCCTGGTGGGGGAGGGTCTATAGATTCTAACAGCCCTGCATACTAATTTTATGTGTGTGCATCGTTTAATCCTCTGCTGATAAGCAGGAGCGAGGGAGTAGTATCTAGAAGCTCCAGCCCTACCAGGAGACAACATGAGTCCAAATCCCCACTCTGTCCCTCAGTGACTGTGTGATCCAGGCAAATTACTTAACCTCTCTGTTAAGTAAATAAGTGGTAATAATTCTCACCTCATGAGACTGCCACTTCGCCCAGTACCTGGCACACAGTAAGTATTTTAAGTATCTTTAGTTTATATTGATTCCTTTTCTTTTGGCCTTTTAAGAAAGCCCTACAAGGTAATTAGTATATCCATTTTTTTCCCCAGAAGAAACTGAGGCCCATAAAGGGAAAGTCATAAGCCCAGCATCACACGGGGTTCAGAGGAGAATTTTGTTAATCAGAGGAAAGCTCTAGAAAGGTAACCTGAAAGAAACACAAGTCTTGTCCAGGTGCGGAGGCTCATTCCTGTAATGCCAACACTTTGGAAGGCTAAGTTGGGAGGATCACTTGAAGCCAGGAGTTTGAGACCAGCCTGGGCAACATAGTGATGCCTCATCTCTGTAAAAAAAAAAAAAAAAAAAAAAAAAAAAATTATAGGGAAAGAAACACAAGTCTGGACAGTGAGGAGATACTGGGGAAAAAGGCAAAAAATATTCCATCATTTGCCAACTAGGAGATTTGGTTTCCAAATTCAAAAACACCCTTTCTTTTCCCCTCAGCAGTCAAACTGCACTATCACTGCATGCATATCTGTGCCAGTCACCATAAGCAAAGCTAGGTTTCTGTACAGTAGCTTCCCCCCGTAATCCACAGGGGATATATTCCAAGACCCCCAGTGGGGTCCACAGATACTACCGAACCCTACATAAGCTATGTTTTTTCCTATACATGCACTCCTATGATAAAGTTTGATTTATAGGAAACAACAGATGCTGGAGAGGATGTGGAGAAATAGGAACACTTTTACACTGTTGGTGGGAGTGTAAATTAGTTCAACCATTGTGGAAGACAGTGTGGCAATTCCTCAAGGATCTAGAAGTAGAATTACCATTTGACCCAGCAATCCCATTACTGGGTATATACCCAAAGGATTATAAATCATGCTACTATAAAGACACATGCATACATATGTTTATTGCGGCACTATTCACAATAGCAAAGACTTGGAACCAACCCAAATGTCCATCAGTGATAGACTGGATTAAGAAAATGTGGCACATATACATCATGGAATACTATGCAGCCATAAAAAAGGATGAGCTCATGTCCTTTGCAGGGACATGGATAAAGCTGGAAACCATCATTCTCAGTCAACTATCACAAGGACAGAAAACCAAACGCTGCCTGTTCTCACTCATAGGTGGGAATTGAACAATGAGAACACTTGGATACAGGGCAGGGAACATCACACACTGGGGTCTGTTGTGGGGTGGGGGGCTGGGGGAGGAATGGCAGGAGAAATACCTAATGTAAATGATGAGCTAATGGGTGCAGCAAACCAACATGGCACATGTATACCAATGTAACAAACCTGCATGTTGTGCACATGTACCCTAGAACTTAAAGTATAATAAAATTAAAAAACAAAAAATAAATAAATAATATAAAGTAAATTTCAAAAAAGTTTAATTTACAAGTTAGGCACAGTAAGCAATTGACAACAATAACTGACAATAAAACAGAACAAACGTAATACACAGGCATCACTACTCTTGCACTTTGGAGCCATTATGAAGTGAAATAAGGGTTATTTGAACCCAAGCACTGTGATATAGTCCACCTGGTCACAAGATGGCTACTAAGTGACTAACGGGCAGGCAGCAAATCCAGTGAATACCAATGTGGATGCGCCAGACAAAGGGAGGAGTCTCATCCCCAGCGGGATGGAGCAGACAGCTTCAGATTTCATCACGCTCCTCAGAATGGCATGCAATTTAAAGCTTATGAACCGTTTATTTCTGGAATTTTCCATTTAATATTTTCAGACCGCAGCTAACCATGGGTAACTGAAACCACAGAGCGAAGCCGCGGATACAGGAGCTACTATATTCTCCGAAGCAGCAGTCTGCAAACTGGAGGAGGCGTGTGCTGCAGCACCGCAGCCATTCTCCTTCAGGAAGCCACCCCTCTGTCCCTCTCAGGACAGGAGGTTCTGGTAGGGCAGCCCTCCTACCATGATCCAGACCAGTGACAGTTCAAGAATCAACACGAGATCCACCCCAGAAGAATGAGGGTCAAATTGATGACTTCAGTTGGAGCATTAGGAAAAGGGTCCTTTCTTTCCCTGGGGCTGCTGGGTTGGTAGGATGGAAACATGGAGCCAATGTTAGTTCCAGGTTTTATCACCACATGGGGACAACCTGCCTGACCAAGAGAACAACGCAAAAGGAATCGAGGCCAATAACTGAATAAATAATGTCCAATCAAGCCAGGCCTGAAGGCAGTGCCCTGCCCTAAACTTTTCATTTCTGTCTAATGCATTTACTTTTTTGTTTAAACTATTATAAGTTGGGTTTCTGCCACTTGCAAACAAAATCATCTTAACTAATAAACTCCCTCCTTCATTTTCTTGCCTCTAACTTCCCTAGCTCAGCTCAGTGGGGTCTAGGGTGCTACCAACACTTGTAGGCGAGAGTCTGCTGTAGTTTCTGAGCCTATCTTTCTGATGAAAGGAGAATATCTTAAACCCCTCAACACTCACCCTCTGCCACCATCACCCAATAAAACCATTTGGAGGATCAGGGTCCCAGAGAAGCCCTTGAGGCTGTGTTGCTGGCTCTGGGGTTTGGCTCTGGGGTTCAGCTCTGGTTCTGTGCTGTGCTCCCCTGGCAGAATGTCAGGCCTTGAGCCCAGTTCTGCACCATGTTTGTAGTTCCTAGTACCAAGACTTCCATTCTGTTAGTGTGCAAGTATGCCTTACACAGGCTGCCCCAAAAACAATCACTTTCCTCCCTGCTGTTTTTTTCAAGGCATGTCACCAACATATCGGCATCTTTCAGCTCAGTCAAATCCTGACTCATATCAAATTTTTGACACTGTTTCTGTATCTGGCAAGAAAATCACTTGGGAAGTCAGACATTGGGTAGACCATTAAACCGAAAATAAATTCCTTATGGAGATCATTTAAACTTAAGCCATTACAAATCCCAGCTATAAGAAGGAGGGCTAAGACTTTCTAATGCCCTGACAGTTAAAATAGTCATTAAAATCCAGCCTGATTCTCTAAGCCGTGATTTTAAAATCCTGTTGGGAAAACTCAGGAGGACAAAGTGGGCTTATTTGATGGTGGGACGATTACAGGAGCAGTGAGAGGAAAGAGAGTGAGTTTTCTCCTCTTCCCAGCTTCAGGGAGGCCTATTTGTACAACTTGCAGGGATTTCTCCAGGTGTGACCACACAGCTCAGAATAGCTTGAAAACGAAGGCAATCTCTTTCCTCTGGTGCATAGAGAAAAGGACAAAACTCAGGCCATCAGTCACAGGATGGTGACAGGTGTGTGACTCCTCTGGCCAGGAATTTAGCTCTGCGCACTGCCTTGGATGAAGCCCATCTGACAGGGAGGAAACCACTGACCAGAAGTTCAGATGGGCATGAATGACAATAGCTAGTATCTGCTGAGTGGCTACCATGTGCTAGGCACCATTTGCAGGCTTTATCTGTACTGTCTCAGTTAAATCTAATAGCCCTATGGCATCGACACTAGCATCAGTTCCATTGTACACATGAAGGAGCTGAAGCTTACAAAGACTAACTTGCTGTATTCGTTATCCATTGCAATGTTAAAAATTATTCCAAAACCTTGTGGCTTAAACTACTTTTATTGTCTCACATTTTCTGTGGGTCAGCAATTTAGAAACTGTTAGCTGGGTGGTTCTGGCTTGGGATCTCTCAAAAGGTTGTAGTCAAGAAATTGGCCAGAGTTACAGTTAACTAAAAGCTGGAGGATCCACTTCCAGTATGGCTCACTCAATGGCTGTTGGCAGGAGGCCTCAGTTTCTCACCACGTAGGCCTCTCCCTAGGGCTGCTTGAGCATCCTCACAACATGGCAGCTGGCTGCCCCCAGAGTGGATGATCCAAGAGAGGGACCAAGGAGGAAGCCACAGTGTCTTGTATGTCCTTTTATGATATCTCGACTGTCATACAACATTTCTGCCATATTCTATTCATTAGAAGGAAGCCACTAAGAATAGCTCACATTCAAGGGCAGAGGACACAGGCTGTATCTTTTGAAGGGAAATGTATCAAAGAGTTTGGACATATTTTCAAACTACCACAGTACCTTACAGAAGATCACAGTGTGGCTGAGCCAGATGATAAGACCCTGCTCCTAACCACAAAACTATTTTGCATCTCAGGGAACAACAAAACCTTCCTTTATTGTGCTGGGAAACATGAACTTAAGGTACATTATTTGAACAGATAAGACATGTGCATGATAAAATACCGAAATGATACAAAAATGGTGTATAGTGTAATGGAAGTCCCCCTTCCTACCCTGGCCCCCTAGTTCTTCTTTGGACAGGCAGCCTCTGCTGAGAGTTTCTCATGAATACTTCCAGTGATAGTCTGGGCCAGCAGTTCTCAGTGTGGTCCACGACCAGCAGCATCAGTGTCACCTGGGAACATTCTAGAAATACAAATTCTCAGACCCCATCCCAGACCTACTGAATCAGAAACCCTGGAGGTGAGGCCCTGCAATCGGTATTATAACAAGCTAGTATCTCACATTTACTTAAAACAAGCCAGTATCTCACATTTACTTATAACAAGCAAGTATCTCACATTTACCTGGATCTCGTGGGGCCCTATGCCTGGCCTGCAGTTGGAGAAATCAGTTCAAGATGGTTCTACCACAAATCTCACATGCCCGGGCCCCATAGTGTTTTCTCTAGAAGTGTAAGTTCATTTACCTGTTGATATCCTGCAGTTTTCCTCCTCAGGAAGGGTGTGTGATGTCAGAATCTTGTTTCTGTCCATACCTTTTTTACTATCATTGGAACTCCCTATTTATGGAAATCTGACTGAAACCTGTGAATTTTGTTAAAGTCAAGAAAATGATAATGACAATAGGAATGATGCAGTTGTATCTACCTAAAGAAAACAGAATATGTTGAAATTGTAATATTGACAAGTCAGGAAATGCCTCTTTATTTACCAAATTTATTCCAGGTACAAAAGTGCTCACTATAGGCTCCTTTGGCTAGCAGTCCTCATCAATGTTAAGCATGATTCAATTTCCAAAAATGCCAGTATTCCCTCATGTAGTGTTCTGGGAATGCATCCATGGAGTAAAGTGATGTCTGCTAGACAACTAGTGTACGCTGACAGTGCCAAGGTCCTTGAATTGTGTTAACATAAGCAACACATCTTACCTTTTCATATTCCAGATGTTACAAAAGCAGTAACAAGGCCGGGCTCAGTGACTCATGCCTGTAATCCCAGAACTTTGGGAGGCCGAGGCAAGTGGATCACCTGAGGTCAGGAGTTCAAGACCAGCCTGGCAACATGGTGAAACCCTGTCTCTACAAAAATATAGGCATGATGGCGACTGTCTGTAATCTCAGCTACTCAGGAGGCTGAGGCAGAGGGATTGCTTGAACCTGGGAGGCGGAAGTTGCAGTGAGCTGAGATCACGTCATTGCAACTCCAGCCTGAATGACAGAGCAAGACTCTGTCTCAAAAAAAAAAAAAAAAAAAAAAAGCAGTAACAAAAATAAAACATTATACTTCATTATTTTCTAAGCATTAGATCAACAAGCAAGCATCTGAGACCTGTGACCATGTGCCAAAATATAAATTCTGTGTGTCTGCGCACACATGTTCCTAAGGTGCGATGATGCCACACCGCCTTGCGTGACCTGGTCCTTCCACCTTATTCTGTTCATTAGAAGCAAGTTATGGAGCTCAGGCGTGGTGGCTCATGCCTGTAATCCCAGCACTTTGGGAGGCCGAGGTGGGTGGATCACCTGAGGTTAAGAGTTCGAGACCAACCTGGCCAATATGGTGAAACCCTGTCTCTACTAAAAATGCAAAAATTATCTGGACATGGTGGCGGGCACCTGTAATCCCAGCTAATCAGGAGGCTGAGGCAGGAGAATTGCTTGAACCTGGGAGGCGGAGGTTGCAGTGAGCCGAGATCACACCACTGCACTCCAGCCTGGGTAACAGAGCGAGACTCCATCTCAAAAAAAAAAAAAAAAAAAGAAGCAAGTTATGGAATCCAGTGTACACTCAGAGCAAGAGCCTGAACTCCAGAGGGACAGGAATCACTGGGGCCATCGTGGAAGCTGGCTACCTCTGTGTGTGTATATGTGCATGTGTGTAATATATGTGAATCTGTCCATGTAAAATGTTCATGTATCTGAGAAAGTTTCATCTTCTTATTAAAGATGTTCACTGTTTTATGTTTAAAATTATGAGTCGGCTGATTTTGTTGTATTATTATACTTACCCAGCCTGCATCAAACTAGGGGGAACAAATGAAGCACCGACAATTTGACAAAACCGAGAGGATTTAAATGGGAATTGAGTGGAGACCTAAACACCTAAAAATAGGGGATTGTTTAATTATGTCTCATTCTAATGACAGACTACTAGACCATCATTAAAAATCAGCACATTGTCGAAAATATACAGTACCATGAAAAGATACTCATAATCTCAAATTGAAGACTATGAGCCCAATTTATTTCAGAATGATGCCTGTATATACACAACTAACATTTCTTGAGCACTTAACTACATACCAGGCACTATGCTAACTGCCACAAATTAATCCTCTCATCTAATCCCTACAACTTGCCTATAATGTAGCTATTGCTATTTTTCAGATGAGGAAATGGAAGCACACAAGGTTAAGACGCCACTCAAGAATGGGGGAAGTTACTTTCAAATAACGTATTTATTTTCCTTCCCTTTTTTTGAGATGGAGTCTCGCTCTGTCTCTCAGGCTGGAGTCTCACTCTGTCTCTCAGGCTAGAGACTCGCTCTGTCTCTCAGGCTAGAGATTGCAGTGGCGCAATTCAGCTCACTGCAACCTCCACCTCCCAGGTTCAAGCAATTCTCCTGCCTCAGCCTCCCGAGTAGCTGGGATTACAGGCAACCGCCACCACGCCCAGCTAATTTTTTGTATTTTTAGTAAAGACAGGGTATCGCCATGTTGACCAGGTTGGTCTGGAACTCCTGGCCTCAGGGGATCCACCCACCTCGGCTTCCCAAAGTGCTGGGATTACAGGTGTGAGCCACTGTGCCCGGCCTCAAATAACATATTTCATAAGGGCCTAATGTCCAGAATATAAAAAGAACTCTTATAACTCAACAACAAAAAACAAACAACCCAATTTTTTAAATGAGTAAAGAGCTTGAATAGACCTTTCTTCAAAGAAGATCTACAAATGGCCAACAAGCACATGAAAAGATGTCCAACATCACTAGCCATTAGGGAAATGCACATCCAAACCACAGTGAGACACCAGTTTCCAGCCACTAGATGGCTACAATAATATTTTCAGGGAAAACAACAAGTGGTGGTAAGGATGTGGAGAAAATGGAACCCTCGTACATTGCTGGTGGTCATAGAATACGGGGCAGTTGCTGTGGAAGACAGTTTGGCAGTTCCTCAAAAAGTTAAGCATAGAATTATTAGCACAGAATATGACCCAGCAATTCCACCTTAGGTATATACCCCAAAGAATTGAAAAACAGTGTTCTAACAAAAACTTGCACAAGAATGTTCAGAGCAGCACTATTTGCTATAGCCAAAAGGTGGAAACAACCCAAATGCGCATCCATTGTTGAATGGATAAACAAAAATGGGGCATATCCATACAATGGAATGTTACTCCACCATTAAAAAAGTGAATTCTGGCCAGGTGCAGTGGCTCACGCCTGTAATCCCAGCACTTTGGGAGGTCGAGGAGGGTGGATGACATGAGGTTAGGGGTTCGAGACCAGCCTGGCCAACATGGTGAAACCCCGTCTCTACTAAAAATACAAAAAAGTAGCTGAGCGTGGTGGTGCATACCTATAATCCCAGCTACTCAGGAGGCTGAGGCAGGAGAATCATTTGATCCCAGAAGGCAGAGGTTGCAGTGAGCTGAGATCACGCCACTGCACTCCAGCTCGGGCGACAGAACGAGACTCCGTCTCAAAAAAAAAAAACAAAAATAGAATTGCTGGATACATGCAACAACAGGGATAAACCTCTAAACATTATGCCAGACACAAAAGATCACATATTATGTGGTCCCATTTATATGAAATATCCAGAATAGGTAAATCCATAGAGACTGAAACTAGACTAGTGGTTGCCAAGGGTTGGAAGTGGTAGTGAATGGGAAGTGACTGCTTCGTGGTTACAGGGTGATGAAAATGTTTTGGAACTAAATAGAGATGTTGGTCGCACAACAATGCGAACGTATTAAATGACACTGAAATGTGCATTGAAGAATTGTCTACTGTATTGTTGTATTTTTGTGAATTCTACCTCATTTTTTTAAAAAAAGAAATCTGCCCAAGGTCATTCAGCTAATAAAGAGCATGATTAGGACCCAGATAGTCTGGGCTCTTGCACCCACTCTTCAGCAGACCAGGAAGAAACATACCAAACTATTAACTGAAGTTTCCTGGATGATGGGCCTGAAGATAATTTATACATTCTTCTGTAAAATCTTGTCTTCCAATTTTTCTTAATAAACAATAATAAATATATGTCATTGAATGATAGGGATCTGTGGGTGTCCTATATGTCACCATATAGCCAACGGCTAGTCTAGGGGATTAAGAAGGTAGGTGAGCCGTAGATTTGCCCCTGAGTTCCCCGGCCCAGCACTAATGGCTCCTGAGCTTCTGTTGCCTGTTCTACACGCCACACCCATCCAGCTACAGAAGACCCCAGAGATCTGCTCGAATCCACAAGCTGCACAGAAATCCACGCAAATCTAGGCACTGGGGGAATGCACAGTCACCTTCTCCAGAGAGGGCCTTTGTTCTGAGCTACCCAATGGGGATTCCAAAAAAGGGGCTCCTTGAAAGAGCCCTCAGGGACCCATGAGTTCAGTTCACTGAATCTTTCCTCAAGAGGGTGCCTTGGAACCCCAGGATTCATTCTGCAGATGGCAGGTGTTTGCAATTTTGGCAGTTTCACATGCAAGTGTTAAGATTAGTCTGTGAAGTTGGTTGTTTTTGAGCTTGAATAATACACCAGACTTACAGAATCAGAATTTTTAGGGATAGGGTCAGTCTTCCATACTACAGCCCTCCCTCCCTACACACACACACACACACACGCACACACACATACACACGGCAAAGAGCACAGGCTTCGTCTCTGCTCTTTACTGGGTGCCCTTAAGCTGTATAATCATCTGGAACCCTCAATTTCTTTATTTGTTAAATGGAAAGAAGAGGACCCAGAAAAACACCTGTCTCAACGGGTTTGTAGTGATGGAGTGGTAGGAAGCGTGTGATAGGCCCAGCCCTGCTAGTCGAGGATAAAGAGGCCCTGGACATAATCAAAAAGAACTTGGGAATCATTTCCACTGGGGTTCAAACCCACCCCCACCATTTATTGACTGCGATGTTTAGACGATCCTTCACCCTCTTTGGCCCCAATAGTACCTACCTCCTACGAGTTTTGTGAACATAATCCATTCTCAGTGCTCAGCTCATGATAGATACTAAAATAGTAGATGTCATTGAAAATGTTTGCTCCCTTCTTCCAAGGAAAAGCATGGGAACCCAGCGGGACTCACTGGGGATGGATGCACCTTTCCCCCTAATTTCTTAAAGCCAAGCTACAAATGGTGTGTTCTATACACTTCAGGTATTAAGGTAACAGTCATACTCCAAGGTGGCTCCAGGGTCATCCTATTTTGTCCCCAGCTTTGCCGACTGAAAGGGAGACAAGGAGAGAATGACAGAAAAGTCACAGCACTAGGTCGGTAACCAGGTAAACTGCTAAGATCCTGTCAAGTTTTATAATACTGGAACTCAGGAGCTGAAGCAGTTGTAGATTATCACATGCCTCAGAGCAGCCTGAACCTCAGGGCTACAAAGAGTGGGCCCGGAGGACATTTGTCCCAAGGTTCAGGTTCACAGTCCACTTTATCATTGAGATATTCTCCCCAAATAGGGTTACATAATCAGTTGCAGAGATTCTGGAAAAGGATGTGATTCGTCACAGGGCTCAAACCTGGGTCCCCTTTGCTGAGCAGGCACCTAGGACCCACAAGGAAATTAATATACAATCATGGCTGCATAAGGCTGTTTCAGGCCGCATATATGACAGTGGTCCCATAGGATAATAATGGACCTGCCCTATACAGGGTTTTTTTGTTTGTTTGTTTGTTTTTTACCTTTTACCCTGTATTTTTACTATACCTTTTCTATGTTTAGATACACAAATACCATTGTGTTACAGTTGCCTACAGTATTCAGGAATGTAACCTGCGGTACAGGTTTGTAGCCTAGAAGCATTAGGCTACAGCTTAGAGTCTAAGGTGTGTAGTAGGCTATACCGGCTAGGTTTGTGTAAGTACACACTATGATGCTCGCCAACAAAACTGCCGAAGGACACATTTCTCAGGATGTATCCCAGTCATTAAGCGACACATGACTGTATACCTATTTTTCCTAAATCTTGTAATAATCTTGTGTCACATGCATTGAGCTTACATGTTTGTTAAAAAGCATCAAGCTTTCAACACCAATACTTTGCACTTAGTGTAATCTATTTGTACTTGTTCCTGGCATTTTTCTTTTCATTATTTTTTCATTACTGAAGGAGCTTCACGAACTGGGTGTAGCCAGGCCCCTGGGGAGGCCGGGAGCCCAGGACAGCTCCACCCAGAACCTCTGGTCCTGGGAACAGACCCAGCCCGCCTGTGGAAGTCCCCGATCTCCTGCCGAACAGAGGGGAGCACGGGGCCTGTGCACCTGACGGCGGACACCCTCGCCAGGACTCGCCCCACAAAAGACGCCGGAAAGTGCCGCGGGAGAAGGGGGCTGCAGCCGGTGGGAGGGGAAACGCGGCCGCCCAAGAGCCCCGGGCCGGTCGCGCCGCCCTTGTCCCCGGAGTGAACTCTCCCTCTGTGCGCGCAGCTGATGGCGGGGCGCGCGGCCGCGGCCCCTCTTCTCCCTCCCTTTAAAGAGAAGGGCGCGATTGTGTGGATTTCACAGTCTGAGCACAGCTGAAAGGGAGAGAATTAAGTCTCCCTCACGGCTCTTTTCAAGGAGGCCGAGGCTGCGATTCGCCTTCATTCAGAATATATGAAGCTTTTGTGCGCCGGGGCCGGGCAGGCGCGGCGGCCCCGCTCCCCGGCTGACACTCTTTACAGTGGAAACGTACAGTAATTAACGCGGGTTCCGCTCCCGCCCGCGCCCCGAGTTGAAGGGGCCGCCGCCTCCGTGCGCCTGGGAACCAGCGCCCGCCCGAGGCCGCATTTGTGTACCTGAGAACGCGGCGGCGCATTTGTATCCGTGCCCTCGCCGCCCGAGACCCATCCATTTTGGCGCGGAGCTGCCGGGCTGTCAGGGTGCGCCGCGGCCCCCGCAAGTGTTGCTAATCAAAGCCGAGCCGGCTCCTCCGCCCCGGGAGCTCGCGGCGGGGGGCGCTGCCAGGGCGGGGTCGGGGGAGCCCGGGGGCCGGCCGAGGTGACCCGGTGGAGGCTTCGCCATCTCTGACTGCGGGGAGTCTGTGATTCGGAAGGGGGCAGGAGGGGTGCAGACAAAATACTTCAGCCTTCCTCCATGGGAATTGTTACCATGAGACTGAAATTTAATTTATTTTTATTTTTATGTTTTTGATTTAAAAGAGATGAAATCTGGCCCGTGTAGCTGGGGCCTGCCAATATTTTGGCTGTGCTTAGTTTTCAAGCTCTTTTTTTTTTTTTTTTTTTTTTTTGTCACTCTAGGTCGGATGATTCATGCTGGTAAGCATGTTGTATCATTTATGCAGTAATGCAGCCTAATAACTCCCTCCCCTTCAAATATGTTCCTTAAAGAGCCAGAAGAATTTGTTCCTGTAGACTCAAACCTATGTTCTTAATAAAGTCTGATTGAAGAAATAGAGCTCTGGAAAAAAAAAAAAAGAGAGAGAAAAGTGGGGGTGTGGGGGGCAACTTGGCAGCTTGCTGATGAAACGCCAACATGGCCCTTGTGCTCTTCCTTCTGTCTCTCCTGGTGGTGTTACAATGTGTGGCTTAACACAAAGTTTTGCATACAAAGTTAATTTTTAAAAACCATCCTTCTCTCAGGATCCGCACTAAAGGGATGCCAATGTTCTTATTTTGTGCTCCATAAGAAGGAAGGCAATTTACTAAACTGGTAATTACTGAACTCAGTGCCCCTGGTTCAGCGTCAGGTTGAGCAAGACATCCACTCTGGGCTGTTGAGGGTTTCAGAGTGGGAATCAGTGGTGGGTCACCTTATCACCCTGCAACGAGCCTCTGGAAGCAGGTACTTCCATCTCTGGGCAGAGCTCCACTTTCTTTGAGCAAGGTGGGAGCTAGTGACAAGCCCCCAAGGCTGACATGGCGGGCAGCTGCTGGACAAGATTCTTATTAAGGCAGCAAAGTGTGGTGTTCAAGCCCAAAGGCTCTGTCTGGGTTCAAGTGCTGCTGCTACCACTAACTTATATGTGGCCTTGGACACAGGAATCCCACCTACTGTATTTCGGTTTTCTCCTCTGTAAACTAGGGATAATGATATTCCTACCACTCCGGTTGTGGCCATCAAATGATGGAATACATGTGAGCTATTGATTGGTTCATTATTTCTAACAGTAACTGCAATTTATTGAACACTCAGTGTGTTAAATGCTTTACATAGATCACGTCTTTCCATCATCCCAATAACTGTACCAATGAATATTATTATCCCTACGTCACAGATAAGGAAACTGAGGCTCAGAGAGAAACAAACAGGTGAAGAAGCTTGCTCTGTTGCAGATTCTAAGGGCCAGGATGCAATTTCAAGTCTTACTGGGAGCTGAGAACAGGGGAGCAATGTGGCCAACAGTAAGATAAGAGGTGAAGGTTAAGATTAAGACTCCCAGCAGCTTGAGAAGCAAGGAACTTTGAACCCCTTTAAAAGGGGCCTCCAAGGTCGTGGAGCACAGCAGAATGGTTAAGAGACTGATCTCCAACATAAGAATAGTCCTGGGTTCAAATCTCATCTCCACTACTTACTAGTTGGGTGACCTCGAGCAACTTCCTTAACCTCATGGGAGCCTCAGACTCCTCATCTATTAAATGGGCATAATATTAGTCTTTGCCCCATGGAGTTGTCGTGGAGACTAAAGTGGAAAATGTTTGTCTCATTAGCGATTGTGACATGAACACAGTCTCCCCACTTTGATTTGAACGGTGCCAATGTTGGCCCACTGGTAGTAAATTCTTTCCCGCAGATTGGGTGTTTTAAATTCCACCACTAGAGGATTATTGTCTAGAATGGTACATTTTACAGATCAGTTTCACATCCCACCTCATTTAATCCTCCCCCTGAGGCTGGAAATCTAGTTACTGGCTGAGCAGGAAGTAGCTCCCCTCTTGTCCCAATTCTCCCCCCTCTTTTTCTCCAGAAGTCTCCTCTGAGCACTTGTCCTGACTAGACCATCTGCTAACACTGGCATGGCACTCTAAACTTGCCCTCCCTAGCACCTAACACCTCTCCCACTATGTGCTCCACTCCTGTCTTCCATGTCTGATTAGAGAGCCAGGAAGACAGGGACTATATCTACCCCATTCCTGTCTACAGGAAGCCCAGGACCAAGCAAGGAGCACCTCTAGTGCCCCGATGGCAGCCTCGAACTCCATTTCCCACTTAAAGGGACCAGCACTCATTTGGAGAAATGGTTGATCCCTTGTCTGGGGCAGGAAATATACAAGGTAGGCCTAGATCACCTTTTACCAGAAAGCAAAGGGGCTTTCGAAGATTATTGACGTTATATTAAAAACACGGGAGCCAACTTGGAAAAGCTTGTGTTGGACAACGAGGGGGGCATTTACTCATCAACAAGAAAATGACTGGAATGGATCGAAACACATAAAATATGTTTAAAGCCATGAACCCATTGTCCTTTGGAGAAGGCTGTAGAACCAACTCATTCTTTTGAGAAATGATAACTGAACAGAAAGGATCAACATTCCTCCTCTCTTTCACACACCGACTATCCCTCAGGGCAACCAAATTGTTGATGGAGAGAAGTTTTTCTTTATAGACCTATCAGGGCTAATAAAGGAGTGGAGAATGATAGAATTAGGATGTTGCTATTTCACAACCCCTAATGAAGAAATGGATCTAGGAATCGAATCGATCATCAACAACTTTAAACAACCAAAAGAGAGAAAACCAGCTATTAAGTGCCCTGTGATGGAAGAACATAATGCCATCCATAAAATCACGTTTCCAAAACCTTCATCTGATCAAGCTTCTAGATCTGACAATTTAGGAGGATTACAGGTGACAGAGGAAAATGCTAAATTATTTCTCAGGGATTCAGATTCCAGGAACACATACAGGCAAAAGTTCTAGTTTTATCAACACGTATATTGCAAGAAAAAAAGGAGAGGGAGAAGGAAACCCAACACATTAAAAGAAACTTTGAGACATCAACAGTTCCTAATGGACTTTCTTTCCATGCTAATTTCAATAATATGTAATTTTTTAAATTATAAGACGAACAAGGAAATTTAAATACTGCCTGCATGTTTAATGATATTAAGGAATTTTTGCTAATTTTTTGATGGGATAATGATAGTATGCTTACTTTTTTTACAATGTTTTTTTATTTTTTAGAGATAAATGCTAAAATGTTTATGAATTAAATCATATAACTTCTGAGATTTGCTTCAAAATAATCCTGGAAGAGAGAAGTGGGTGAGAGTGGTTTAGATGTAACAAGGTTAGACATAAATTGATCACTGGCAAAATGGGGTGATGGTAAGTAGGAGTTTTTAATATAATTCTCTCTCCTTTGTATATGTTCGAAATTTTCCATAATAAAAAATGAAGGAAAACAAACTTTTTAAGTATCAGTTTCTGTTCATTAGAAGAGACATTTGGGAGTCAACAAACGCTTATAAAAGGGGAGGCTCATACATTCCATGTAACTTATGGCTGATTTCACATAAATAAAGAACGTGTTCATTTGTGTTTATGAATTTCCTTGCACTGTTTCCTCTGCTAGAATGTGAGCTCCACAGTAGTAGCATCTGTGTTTTGTTGTTCCGTGTACCTGGCGCTGAGTAAGTGATCTGTAGATACTGAATGAATGAATCAGTGCTTCTCAAGTGGAAGGCCAGGGCTAATGTTTCCATTTTACAGATGAGAACACTGAGGCAGAGAGAGCTGATACTCTTGCCCGGGGTCAGATAGCTGGTTCATAGTGGGACTGGGACTCAAAGCCAGTGTCTCTGATGCTCCCCATTTAGAGTCTTTTACTCGGGGCATTGTAAGCTGGTGCGGGAAGCTAAGACTGGGCTTAAAGGTCCTGGCATTTATAAGCACGTACTTGCTGTTTACTGGCTGTCCTCTGTGACAAATGGAAATGATAGTGACAGTTCACATTTCTTGAGGTTGGCGTTTTACCACAATTAACTTCTTTCATGCTTACAAGCAACCCCATGAGATGGGTTCTGCTATTACCCCAGGAGACTGAGACACAGAGGATACACATGCTCTGGCTGGGCCCAGTGGCTCACACCTGTAATCCCAACACTTTGGGAGGCTGAGACAGGAGGATTGCTTGAGCCCAGAACTTCAAGACCAGCCTGGGCAACATAGGGAGACCCTGTCTCTACAATAAATACAAAAATTATTAATAGCTGAGTGTAGTGGTGTGCACCTATGGTCCCAGCTACTTGGGAGGGTGAGGTGGGGGGAACGCTTGAGCCTGAATGGTCGAGGCTGCAGTAAGCTACCACTGCACTCCAGCATGGGTATAGAGCAAGAGACAGTCTCAAAAAAAAAAAAAAAAAAAAATACACATGCTCTGACCCTACAGCTCAAACCCTTAGTCTCTTCGTTAGATCCTTACCCCCCTATATAAAAACCTTTGAAAAATAAAACTGTACTGTAGCATTCAACCAGGGGCTGGTGCTTCTCTTGAAGACAGCACGGCATGCTGGTCTGAAGTGTCACCTCAGAGGACAGGCACATGCAATGTCCATCTGACAGGAGCCATCGGTTAGTGGGTACTTCAGAACAACACTGCTCTCAACTCTCTCATTCTCCTAGTACAGGGAGTCAGAAATCCGGCAGTAAATCCCTACCCAGCCACACACTCCCTACATTGTTCTAGACAGGTCCCTTCCCCTATCTGGGCCTCAGTTTCTCCATTAAAACCAAGAAAGTTGGACTAGACAGATGTCCCCAAAGGACACCGCATGCTCTGACATCCTTTCATTCAGCACTGAAATTCTGTGATCCCACCAAGAGAGCCACTGGTGCGTCTGGATGTCTCCACATCAAGCAGTTGGAGGCTCATTTTTAACCCCTCATAGATGTCTCTTACAAATTATCCAGGGTCATGGATTAGTTTAAATACAAAAGCTTAATTTCCTCTGCTTGGCTACTGTTATAAGCAATGATCAAAAGGAGTCAAGGCACAAACACAGTTGGCTGGAGAGAGAATGCCGGGGATGCACTGGGGGCCGTTCCCTCCCTGCACCCCTCCGGGTTTGGAAATCTTTGGGGCCTGTAATTCACTGCAGCACTGAGCAGCGCTGAGATGAATCATAACATTTTGAGCCCTCAAAGAAAGGGAGAAGAAAGGGGACAGAGGCCAGGGAGAGGGGAGGCGCAGTGTTTTCTCAGTTAAATACATGTTTTCATTGCAGTGTGATGGGCTGAGAGCAATGAATGGCCATGATTTAGTTATCTTTTGGATGGATGATTTTAAATGCTTGTTGGAAACGGCTTTCATGAGACTGATTCTTAAAGCCGAGGCACAGAGTGGAAGTCTTTGGTAAGGGAGTGCTGCTGGTCTTTCAGAGGTCGTAAAAGCTCGGGGCTTTGAGATTCCTGGTGCATGCTTTCTGTTTCTAGGTTTTCAACTGGCACATGTTCACTTCCAGCCCGTAATCCTTCAGGCTGTCATCAGACACCTTGTTAGAAGCAAAGAGAAGAGAGCAGGGGAGGGAGGGAGGATGTGACGAAGAAAGGTATGACTGTAGAATTATTCTGGTCCATGCAGTGTTTATGTGGGGCCTGCTGTGGCTTGAATGTTTGTGTCTTCTCCAAAACTCAGGTTCGCTTAATCCCCAATGCAACACCTTCTGGAGGTGATTAGACTATGAGGGCTCTATCCTCATAGATGGGATCAGTGCCCTTATACAAGGGCCAAGGGAGTGAGTTCAGCCCCTTTTTGCTCTTCTGTCCTTCTGCCACGTGAGGACACAGTGTTCCTCCCCTCCAGAGGCTGCAGCGTCAAGGCACCATCTTGGAACCAGATAACAGCCCTCACCAGACACTGAACCTGGCCGGCCCCTTGATCTTGGACTTCTCAGCCTCCAGGACTAGGAGAAATCAATTTCCATTGTTTATAAATTACCCAGTATTTGATATTTTGTTATAGCAGCACAAATAGATTAAGACAGGATTTCTATGTGCCTAATACTGTGGTGGGCACTGGAGGACAGGAAAGGAGATTAATGAAGGATGACCAGTGCTGGATGAATTATTAAACCCAACACTCTGCCCGGCTGTTCTTGGGAAAAATGAGTCAGATTTGGAAGTCTTGCTCAGTCATACCTACTTGCCTCGAAATTCAGTAGTTTAGCCTTTTCTCCTGTGTTATCCCAAAAGCCACTAGAGAAAACAGCTAGTTTAACCTTCTGTTGGAGCCCCAGTCCCTGCCTGCAGTAAGACCCCATCAGCCCATCACTCCTGCTTGAAAACTTTTAAAGGCTACTCAACGCCCAAGGATCGGGACCAGAATCTTTCACACAAGGCAGCAAATTCCCCATGTAAAAGGACTTTCTTCAGGCCAGGCATCATGAGTCGTACCTGATACAATTTATCTCATTGTATTTTCACAGCAACTGTCTAAGTGCTGTTAGGATCCACCTGATGCATATGGAGAAATCAAGTTCCAGAGAGGTCAAGCAGTTTGCCCAAAGACAAGGTAGGTACAGCAAGGACTTCAACCCAAGAGCACTGACCTAGAGCCAATACCCTTGAACACTGGGCAATACCACCCTAGTTCATCTTTCCTGATGTTCCTAATAAGCCAATCCAATCACCTACACAGTTCGATAATATTCTATTCCATTTGTCTCTGTTCTCCTTCCCCACCTCCACCTGGAAAGGGATGTTTGTCCTTCAATAAATAGTTGGAAGTTCACCACCCCCACCAACCCTGAAAACTTAGGTTCTCCTTTCTCCCAACTCCCACAGCTCTGACGCTTCCTTTCGTGACTGTACTCCTCTGGGAGGTAACGTGTAATGCCCTGGCTCTTTCCCCAACAAACTGGAAGATTTTTTAGTATAAAACTCCAAGCAGTTTGCATAGTTTATAGGAGAAGATAGACATACATCATCAAATAAACATAAACTTTTTTTTGAGACAGGGTCTTTGTCTGTTGCCCATGCTGCAGTGCAGTGGCACAATCACTGCTCACTGTAGCCTTGACCTCCTGGAATCAAGTGACCCTCCTGCCTCAGCCTCCTAGGTAGCTAGAACTACAAACATGTGCCTCCACACCCAGCTAATTTTTAATTCTATTTATTTATTTATTTTTACAGACGAAATCTCACTATGTTGCCCAGGCTTGTCTTGAAATTCTGGGCTCAAATGATCCTCTTGCCTCAGCCTCCCAAGATGTTGGGATTACAAGCATTAGCTGCTGCACCTGACCTCCTTTTTTTTTTTTTAACTGGAAATCAGGAACTAAGACATTTGCACACCAATGTTCACAGCAACACTCTTCACAAAAACCAAAAGGTACAAACAACCCAAGTGTCCATCAATGGATGAAGACTGGATAAATGAAATGTGGTATATATGTACAATGAAATATTATGCAGCCACCAAAAGAAAGAAAGTTCTGATACATGCTACGGTATGGATGAACCTGAAAATATTATGCTGATATATAAACCTGATATTATGCTCTGTGAAATAAGTCAGACATGAAAGCATGAACACTGTATGATTCCACTTATATGAGGCACCCAGAGTCGTAAAATTTATACAGACAGAAGGTAGAAGGATGGTTGCCCGGGTCAGCAGTGAGGGGGATGGGGAGTTAGGGTTTAACAGGTGCACTTTGGGATGATGAAACAGTTCTAGAGATGGAGCATGTTGATGGTTGCAGAACACTGCAAATGGGAGGGAGGTGGGAGGGAGGGAGGGATGGAGAAAGGAAGGAAGGAAGGAAGGAAGGAAGGAAGGAAGGGGAAGGAAGGGAGGGAGGGAGGAAGGGAAGGAGGGAGGGAGGGAGGGAGGAAGGGAGGGAGGAAGGGAGGGAGGGAGGGAGGAAGGGAGGGAGGAAGGAAGGGAGGAAGGAAGGGAGGAAGGAAGGAAGGGAGGGAGTGCTCAAGGGGAAAAGAACTGAGATATATGAGAAAGACTAACAATAAATAACCTTCTTTTCTTTGTCTTTAATTTTAGATTCGGGGGCACGTGTGCAGGTTTGTTATGTGAGTATATTGCATGGTGCTAAGGTTTGGGTTTCTAATGATCCCGTAGCCCAAGCAGTGAACATTGCACTCAATAGACAGTTTTTCAACCTTTTCCCTCTCCCTTCCTCTCACTTTTGGAGCCCCCAGTCTTCATTGTTCCCATCTTTGTGTCCAGCTGCACCCAATGCTTAGCTCTCACTTATAAGTAGAACATGTGGCATTTGGTTTTCTAACTCTCTTCCCTCTACCATTCCCCTCAATTTTAATATAGTGGAACTGAAAAAAAATTGCAAAAGAGCAACTGGCAGCCCCAAGTGTGTTGGAGGGTATTCCTGCCTTTTCTGATCTGCCTGCTCTCCTGGAGGGGTTGGGGCGGGCCGGGGGGGGGCGCTGGTTATGAATTAACTGGGCACATATAAAGCCAATGATACCAGAAAAGTTGCAATTGCAGCAAACACCTCCCACCACATACCTGCCAGGACTAACTTCAAAAGGCTGCATATTGGGAGGCCAAAGTGGGCGGATCACGAGGTCAGGAGATCGAGACCATCCTGGCTAACACAGTGAAACCCCGTCTCTACTAAAAATACAAAAAATTAGCCGGGTGTGGTGGCGGGAGCCTGTACTCCTAGCTACTCGGGAGGCTGAGGCAGGAGAATGGCTTGAACCCAGGAGGTGGAGGTTGCAGTGAGCCAAGATCGCATCACTGCACTCCAGCCTGGGCGACAGAGCAAGACTCCGTCTCAAAAAAAAAAAAAAAAAAAAAAAGGCTGCATAAATATTACCACATTATCTCTCCTCCACCAATCTCTCGCATATACTGACATTCTTAGCCCCTAACTCATTAAAAAAAAAAAAAAAAAGCCAGGCGCGGTGGCTCACACCTGTAATCCTAGCACTTTGGGAGGCTGAGGCGGGCGGATCACGAGGTCAGGAGATCGAGACCATCATCGCTAACACGGTGAAACCGTCTCTACTAAAAATACAGAAAATTAGCTGGTCGAAGTGGTGGGCACCTGTAATCCCAGCTACTCGGGAGGCTGAGGCAGGAGAATGGCGTGAACCCAGGAGGCGGAGCTTGCAGTGAGCCGAGATCACGCCACTGCACTCCAGCCTGGGCAACAGAGCAAGACTCCGTCTCAAAAAAAAATTAAAATTGAAATTAAAAAATAAAAATAAAAAATAAAAATGTCACGTGTCATTTAGCTTAAATTTTCTGTTTCCTGTGAAGTCCCGCCTCTTCTGAGTACCTGTGACCCATCCCTAAATGTGTGAGCCTGCTTCCTCCTCTACTTCATGCTACCTGCCTCGCAGAAAAAACGTAGGTGACAGAACATTGTAAACTATAAAGAGGTGTCCAAATGTCTGGTCTTACTCATTGGTTCTGCAGTGGGCTATAGGCAAAGCTTTGCAGTAATGGTACCACGTGCCTACCATCAACTGAGAGTAGATGGAGTTACTTGGCGTTCTGAAATGCTCTAAATACCCAAATAAATGAACTAACACAATCAAACCGGAGCTCTCGGCATCACAAAGTGCTCTTTGTCCTTTTATTTTATGTGAGTCATTTAGTTTTAATTTATGATCATATTTCATAACCTACCAGCAAATGGCCTGCTGTATATTTTTGAAAAGTGATGAAGTCCTAGTAACGTGAGACCTCATTCTGGCCCTGGGTTTAGAAATCTGTGTTCTGATAAGTGCCGAGAGACTGTCAGAGTTTGGGGGAGATTTTTACAATGTATGAATTAGTAATGTGTGAAATGATCAAATTTCTTTTCAATTACCTCAAAAATCAAGATAAATTTCACAAAGGTTTACTGTACCCCCAGCTCTGGGTCCTGTGACCTACATATTAAGTCCTTAAAAAAGGTGTGTTTCCCTCAACCCCTAGAGATACTAAGAGTTGAACACAGTTCAGGCTAGTATGGATGACACTTTTTATTCTGAAATTACTACTTTTAAATTTCCTATCTAATCCCTACAAGTGCTCTTTTGCTTTAAAACCCTATCACTGGGCTGGGTGTGGTGGTTCATGCCTGTAATGCCAGCACTTTGGGAGGCCGAGGCAGGCAGATCACGAGGTCAGGATCACGAGGTCGGGAGTTCGAGACCAGCCTGGCCAACATAGTGAAACCCTGTCTCTACTAAAAATACAAAAAATTATCTGGGCGTGGTGGTGGGTGCCTGTAATCCCAGCTACTCAGGAGGCTGAGGCAGGAGAATCGCTTCAACCTGGGAGGTGGAGGTTGCAGTGAGCTGAGATCGCGCCATTGCACTCCAGCCCGGGCAACAGTGCAAGACTCCGACTCAAAACAACAGCAGCGACAACAACAACAAAAACCTCCATTACTGGCCTCGAGGGGGCAGAAATGTTAACTATGCCTTAATTATGCCTTTGAACATACATCTGAGGGCTATAAGAAGAACCAGGAGTCCCATGTTACAGAAAAGAACACTGAGGCCTTAAAGACAATAAAAGAAGGTTTTCTGAGGATTCCCCTCTCTTTCCAAACTAGCTGTAAATCAGAGTCAGAACTCTCTCCCCTTGCATCCCTCTGGGAGAGTGCATTAATTAACTACTGGACCATACTGTAAAACAAACTCTAAAGAAGAGTTTTAACTCTACACAATTTTATAACTCAGAAGGGTTTCATTTAATGCCGTGTTTTAAACATTTTTCACTCGTGAAATATAAGGACAAGTTGAACTGGCTCTATACAGTCTGGCTAACCCACCAGTAGAGGCTGTGAAAGTTTCTTTAATGTTCATCTGTGACTAGTCATCAGAGACTTGAACCAAATCAAGAATATTTTTATAACTGCCTTCATAACACTACCTGGCCCATCTTGCCAAAGGCAAATGATTTTTATTGTTTTGTGAACCAAACCAACTTTTTAAAGGTTTTAACTCATGGCAAACCTGTACATTTTCCAAAGCTTTAAAAAGTCAGCCAAACCCAGAGCCCTCTAGTTTTCCCAGAACTGTTATATGACTTGGTAAAACATTCACCTTCATTCATTGAATGGGCCCTGTGCTCACTGAGCACCTACTATGGGCCATGCAGTGCTCTGAGCACTAGGGATACAGTTCAGAATGAAACAGAAAAATACATTGACCTAATGGGCTTCCTATCTCTTTCCTGGCTGCTAATCCCTGCCCTGGTTTACAGATGCTAAAGTGAGGTGTAGAGAGCCATCAGTGGCTAGCTTGAACTTGAACTCAGTAACTCAGATATATCATTTGGTGCTCTTTGGTGTAAGCACCAAAATAAAAGGAGGAGTATAGCCAGAGCAATCTATTAGGAAGAAAGTATGACGGGGTTGGAGATTTGTCTTGTTGCCTAGCAAGCATACTATTTTGATCTTGATGGCATGTTAAAAGATTAATAAAAATAGCAATGTTTTCTAAAAATACTTTTACTCTGAGCTTGAGAAAATATTATGTATTTGATAAAATCAAATAATATACATATGGCCAGGCGCGGTGGCTCACGCCTGTAATCCCAACACTTTGGGAGGCCGAGGCGGGCAGATCACGAGGTCAGGAGTACGAGACCAGCCTGGCAAACATGGAGAAACCCCGTCTCTACTAAAGATACAAAAAACTAGCCAGGCGTGGTGGCGTGCACCTATAATCCCAGCCATTCGGGAGGTGGGAGGCTGAGGCAGGAGAATCTCTTGACCCAGGAGCAGGAGGTTGCAGTGAGCCGAGATTGCGCCATTGCACTCCAGCCTGGGTGTCAGGTCGAGACTCCGTCTCAGAAAAAAAAAAAAAAAAATATATATATATATAGTGTATATTATCCGTATAATGTGGACGTGGCTGTAGGGGATGGATAGATATTTTTGAAAACCAAAACCCACTTCCCATCCTGCTGTTCCTGATCCTGCTGCTTCTCTTAGTGAGCTACTTAACATTTAAGGTACAGAAGAACTGGATTTCAGGTTGCTCAGAAATCAAATCTCCAGAGCCATTTGAGCTAGTTCTATCTAGCTCAGCTGAACTGAACTAGAAATATGGCTCTCTCTCTCTCTCTTTTTTTTTTTCTTTTGAAATATTGTTCTTTCACACAACTGCTAAGTGACTTTGGGCAAGTCACTTTCACTCTGAACCTCTTGCATGATATGATAATAAAATTCCCTTCTGCCCTAAGATTCTATAGTGTTGCCCTTCAATATTATTCTGCCTCTGATTCGATATTAGCCTGAAATGTCATTTTGCCTCTGATGACAACTTCTTCTTTTTTTTTTTTTCTCTTGAGATGGAGTCTCACTCTGTTACCCAGGCTGGAATGCAATGGTGCGATCTTGGCTCACTGCAACCTCTGCTGCCAGGGTTTAATTAATTCTCCTGCCTCAGCCTCCCGAGTAGCTGGGATTACAGGCGCCTACCACTGTGCCTGGCTAATTTTCGTATTTTTTTTTTTTTTAGTAGAGATGGGGTTTCACCATCTTCGTCAGGCTGGTTCACACTCCTGACCTCAGGTGATCCACCCGCCTCGGCCTCCCAAAGTGCTGGGATTATAGGCATGAGCCACCGTGCCCGGCCTACTACTTCTTATTTAAATCAATTCAGAAACCCAAGGGACTCAAAGACCATTTCTTTCATCCTGGCTTCTGCTCCTATAGGAGACACAAACCCCAAACAGTGAATGCCCTGCAGCAGCAGTTTTGAGAGCGAGTTCCTTCAGAGTCAATAGCTCAAATCTCAGCTTTGTCGTTCACCAGTGGCAAGACCATGAGCAAGCTACATAATCTCTCAAGGTCTCAGTTTCCTTGATTATAAAATGAGGATGATGTGTGACTGTGCTACTATGTGTATTAAAATGAAATTATGGAGTCCTTATGTAAAGGACTTGTTGGCACACAGAAAGTGCTCATTTAATTCAATTATTATCTAATGAGATGCACAGTACATCTCTTCTTTTTCTTCTTAGTTATAGTGAATTTTAATAATTCTGTGTTGAGAATTTCAGGAAAGTCCTGGGGCAACACAGGTTCAATACTCAGGATAACTGGTATGTGCTGAAATTCAGCAATAATAATTATTAACTTACTGCTGATTAAAGGAGAAAGAAGGTTGAGTTTGTATGTTGTTAATATTGTCATTTTGGACCCCAAAGTGTCATTTCACATTCATCTTATTAATCTTATTCTTAAAAAATAGCCTGTGGGTCCTCGTTCTAGTCCCAGACTTAGATAGGGATTGCATGTGGAGAAAAATGTGGGCATCAGTGCCCTGAAAAACTATGTCAGCAGCCCCAGGCTCTGGAAATCTTTCCTTCTGAGGCCTAATTTCCTTGGCATTTTCCTGCTCTTTGTAAGGGGGAAAAACAGTTTTACCTTCTCATGAAAGTGGGCTGTGGCTTAGTGGTGTCTATGCAAGACACGGATGCCCCTAACCTGGTAATAATTTAGATCTGCACGCTCAGTCCCAAAGGCGGTGGCTACTAGATCTGCACGCTCAGTCCCAAAGGCGGTGGCTACTAGATCTGCACGGTCAGTCCCAAAGGCAGTGGCTACTAGATCTGCACGGTCAGTCCCAAAGGCGGTGGCTACATCGCACTACCCTGTGCCAGCACCTCTTGAGGGCACAGAGGCTGAAGCATGTTGCCCCGCCCCCACCCCACATCCATTCTCGATGACTTCACTGCCCAGTTGCTTTCCTGGAATTCTCAGTCGAGATCATATTCCCCACACCCACCCCTGGGATTTTCTACGTTGTCTTTTTGGCTCCTCTCTGTTCCCATTGCTAAACAAAGAGAAATCCAACCGGAAAGACTAGACGGGGCGAGCCGCTGAGGCGGTGGGAAGGAGGAGGAGATGAACACTTGCAGCCTTCAGACTTTCCCCAAATTGGGCAATTTCACATCAATAACTGCCTTATCCATCACCACTACCTTTCAGCTAATTTTCTGTGATGGGATTTCGAGAGGCACTTTAGCGTCTTATACACAATTTCTTTGCAAAGTCAGTTTTTCCATCATCAAGCATTCTCAGCACTGAAATAAAAATAGGCAGAGCTTTGCCACTAAAATAGTGCTTTTTATATCAGACCCTGCAACCCAGAAACCCTTTTCAGGGAAATGTACACTTTGGTGGTTACACACACACACACACACACACACACACACTCTTCCAGTCTATCAAAGACTTAACCTCATCCAGGTGAAAAGACGCTGCACAGCTATCTGTCAAGCTTGGCTCTGTTTCCTTGCTGTGTGACTTTAGGCAAGTCACCTCACCTCTCAGAGCACCCTTTTTATTTTATTTAAGATGGGAATGTAATTCCCCACCTATTGCTTTGAGGGCCACATGAGATCCTGAATATGAGAGTATTTGGACACTGGCATATATTTTATACAAAAATACAGGGGATTAAGAAAGGGTATGAAATAAAGGAAGTCACAGGCTGACTTCAGATGACACTCACCCCCTTCATCTTTGTTTAGAAGTGTAATTATTGCCTCCCCATGAATGGTAAACCACATAAAATGTAGACATGATGTGCTCTCTTGTAAAGCATAGACTCTCAGCAGAAGCAGGATGGCGTAATGCAAATAGCTGGGGCTGGGGCTGACATGGATTTCTGGGCTCTGAGCTCACCCACTGTGTGATTCCTGCCTTGCTGTGTCACCTCCTTAGGCAGTTTGCTGCTCTGGGAAAATGGGAGAAACCATAGTTCTTGAATTTCAGGGTTGATTGGAAGGTATAGAGTGAAAACGGAGTGCAGAATGCTGGGGGAGGGGGAGTGGAGGGCAGCCCGGGGTGGTGGAAGTGTTCAGGCTGGAGAGAGGCCTGGGCCTCAGTTGGAGGGTGAACTCCCCCTAGCTCACTTCCGGAAAATGGGGCTAAGAGTGCCTACTTCACAAAGTTGGTGAGAGGAACTAATAAAATGCTGCCTGAATACTGATTAAAGAGGCACCTGGCTTTAGGTGCTGGTCAGCACACCTTAGTGCCCGGGACCCCAGGTCAATATCTGGCCTCTGGGAGGCACTATTGCCTCGTGCTTTTGTCCATGGGCTGTGGAATCACGGGGTTGCAAAGTCCCATCCCAGTTGGGGCACTGCCTATCTACCCCACCTCGGACGCATTAATGAATGATCTGAGCCTGGTTCCCTTGGCTCCAAAGGAGATGGTAATACCATCTCCCGGACGGTGGTGAAATCCACGAGCACTCACTAGCACCCGTGAGTTGATTGGTGTAAATCGCCGAGCAACAGTGTCTGGCACTTGGGAAGCGCTCAGTTACAGGGGGCTGTTATTATCTGCTCGGCTTGCTTCTTTGGGCGTCGAGGTGTAAGTTTAATGATGGGGGACAAGGGGCAGGGAGGAGGGCGCCTGGTCGGCTGCGATCTTCCGTGCCGGTGGAGCGGGCCGGGCCGGTGTCAGTGCGTATTTATTGATGGCAGGTATTTGGGGAGTAATTGAGCGCGGCGGCCGGCCCGGGGCGAGAGTGGGCCTCCACGAGCAATTAAATGTGATTAGGCAGAGACCTTCGGGATCCAGCTGGGTGATTGATAACCCGGCCGCATTCCTGCCGGGCCCGCGACATCAAACGGGCGGCCGGCAGCGGGCGGGGCGGAAGGGGCCGAGCGCCTGGACGCTTCCCTTCTCGCCTGCGACGCCCACGGTTCTATGGGGAAACCGGGTGACGCGCCCCCTTCCTGCGCAAGGGTCACTCCCTTGCTGGCTTGCCAGGTGCAGCTAAGGAGGGAAGGGCGCCGGAAGGGTCGAGGTGACTAGGAGCCCCCTGCGCTGGGCGCACCGCTCCTGGCGCACTGGGCTGGGCTCCCAGAATCCGCCACGAAATCGCTGGAACAGGGGAAGAGAGAATGGAAAAGAGAAGAGAAGGGGGGAAATAGGAGACGGTGGGAATGAGAATCAATTAGAAAACAAAAAAAATTGAGAGATGCCATGGAGGAGCAAAGTGACAGGCAAAGAAGGCGGTGGGGGAAGAGAGGGAAAAGAGAATTAAAAATGATAACTTGAAAAGAAGTTACCGACAATAAGAAGATAGAGGTAAAAATTAGAAAGGTACAGAGTGCGACAGACAGGAGAAAGAATGAAAGGTGGAGGAAAGGTAATAAAAGCGGGACAGCAAAAAAGAAAAAAGGAAGAGAAAGAGGTGAAAAGGAGGGAGCGCAAAAGATGAGAAAGGAAAATGAGAGACAAAAGAATGAGGAAAATTGAGCCGAAAAGTCAGAGGAAGAAAAGACAGGAAGGAAGCTAGCCTGGGTCCTCCCCTAGCCTTCCCCCACCCCATCCCTGTCCCTGACTCAATTTCAGCAAATTCTGTGCCCAGAGCCAAGCGCTGCCTGGTGCCTGGGAGACCTGGCATTTGCCCCCAAGAGCCTGACTCCTTCCCAGCCCAAGCCATCAAGCCAGCTCCTTCCCCCTCCAGGCAGGAGGAGGGGAACCCCCACATCCAAGTCTGGGGTGAGCCTTGGGCTCTCTGTACCCCAAGCCTAGGCCGCTAGACATAATTCACAAGTGGAGGTGCTGGGGGTTCCCGGGGCTGTTGCCTCGGGATCCTGGAGTCTTCGGAGCCAGGGAACAGTTTCTGTCTGTGCTGACTCCACAGACAGGATCAAAACAGCATGAAAGAAATCAGAGGGAGAACTTCGTCGGCAGGAGCTGGACTTCTAAAACCCCCTTCCGCCCCCATAGGCTTCAATATTAAAAAACCCCCTAGGAGTCTCAGACACTGTATTAATTAGTGCAACCACCCATGAAAAGTTGGGTTTGGAGCGGCATTCTTTGCCCTGTGTGAAAAACCAAGTCTAATAAACAATTGTTAAGTTGGCCTGTTGCCGCTGGTAAATTACATAGCATTAAAAAAATAATGCTTTTCATATTAGGCACTAATTAAAGGTTGGGACAGCATTAAAACAAGATAGGGAGGGGGGAAATCAAAGAAAATATAAAAATGTTCTTTCAAGAGTTATGGGAGGTTAATAAAGTATGTCTGTTAGAGTGAGCCTACTTTGCCCCCAGCTACAGCCAAACTGGAGCCACCACAATTGGGTCTCAATAAGATAATGATATTCCTTTCTCTGCTATTAAAAGCCTCCCAGTGCAAACTTAAAATGATTTATTTAATTTAGGAAATTATGAGGTGTAACTTCAAAGCCTCAGCCGTTAGTAATGGAAAATACCAGGTTGTTTAAAATTATAATAATAATTGTTTGGAGGACTCAGGACATCAAAGTGTTTTCATCAACAAATGCAGAGAGGTCCGGAGGAGGTTGGAAAGAGTCAAGGGAGGTGGATGGAGTTTGGATTTGATTATTATGAACCTTATCAGGGCAAGACTCAGGATTCCTGCAGCCGGGTCCTCTGTTCTGCTTTGAAGCGGGCTATTCTGGAAAGTAATTTTACTGCTTTTTATTTAGTTTGTAGGAGGGAGGAGGTGAGAGGGTGGCTGGGGGTGGGAGAGCGGGTAAAGGGGTCCGGGAGTTGACCGAGGGCTTTTCCTTGTTGCTGTGACCACTTTATTTTGTTAAAGAAGCCTGCAGCATCACCAATGCGGGGTGGAAAACATTTTTGCTTACAAAAATGGAAGGAGAGAGAGGAACAGACACAGTCAACTTCACCAACCAGGCCCTGTGATTTCGGGGAGGGTGTGTGTGACGTGGGTTCTTTTATAAATGAGGTTTATGCTTATTTCAAACCCAACAGTGGAGACGGAGTGGGGGTGGGGGAATGGCCTCTCCAACCCGTGGCAAATGAGCGGCTTTTATAGCAAAGAATGGCCGTGGGAGTTTTCATTCGGTCAGACAAGGTTCTGCTCAAAGGCAGGGATCCTCTTTTCAGTCGGGTCAGGCAGACGTTTCGCCAGCCACCGCTCTCAGCCAGGCCTTCACTGCCTACCTCCTGCCGCCCTGCTCCCTCCATTCCCCGCAAGATCGCCCAGGCAGGGCTGGAAGGGGGAGAGGGGAGGGCTGGATCTGAGCCCCAGGTCCACTGTGTTAGAGGAGCAATGAGGGATAGGAAGGGGAGCTGGAGAGAGACTGCAGATCTGGGATCTCAGGGTCTGGGGATCCAGAGTGTTCCCCAGGCCCTGGCATCATTTCTGAGACACCTCCTGCCTGATTTGCCCTCACCATCTTTCATACCCACCTCCTCCGCTCACACTGAGGCCTGGATTTCCCTGCCCCTACTTATCAGCTCTGTGACCTTAGTGAGCCACCTCTTTGTGCCTCAGTTTCCTCAACTATACATGACATCTATGATACCTCTCCAAGGAGTGTGTGGCAACTAAATGAGAACACCGGCGGGGGGCGGGGGGGGGGGAAGCCTAGTTCTGCACTCTGCAGGGGCTCCATAAATGCGATTTCCCTGCTCTCTTCCTCTCTTTCCAAAAAGCAGAGCTGTGTCTCTTGAAAAGTTTCGAACAAAGCACTGAAAGTATGGAAGGGTGGGTAAATTTGCGTGCCAGGCTTCTGGCATCGGACGCAAGGATATCTAAAGCCCGCACGCTAACATCTTGCAATGCGCGCCTTCGCGGGTCCCTGGTGAGGGAGAGTCCTTTTGCCGCCACAGGTTGTCAATCTGGCCTCTGAAACGCCCTGTGTGCCCGACCAAGCCTGACCGAGGCCCGGACCGCGGTGACTCGGAACCCATCCCCAGACTGCAGGCTTGAAGGGAGGCCCAGAGCAAGGGGGCGGCCCGGCTTCGCGGACCTCCGGCTTGGTTCTCAGCTCGGTAACCCCATCCACCTATGAGGCTGGGATGCGTATGTTCGAGCCTGAACAACTCTTTTTCCCCTCTCCGAGCCTCAGGTTTTGTTTCGGCGTCTGGAGCGATGGGGATGGTGCGCAGTTCCCCAGACGGATTCCAGTCTAACCCGCCAGCCACGCAAGATGCAGCCCTTTTCTCCGGATCGCACTCTGGATCGCGACCCCGTCCTCCTGGGGACGAGCAGAGTCTTAACCCGGAGCCGGCGTCTCCGGATTCCCCACCCGGGCTGAGATCGCCCGGGGCTGCGGGGTCCAAGCGGCGCCGGGAAGGAAGCTCGGTGGACAGGCTAATTAGGGACCCAACCTGGCGGCTGATGACGAAACCGGGAAAGGCTTTGGCCTTTGGAAAACGCAATCCTTAAATGAATATGGCTGGATTCCGGGCTGAGATTAGGAGTTCGAGCCGGAGAAGTCCAGCGGGACTGCAGAGACGCGCTTTCAGGTAGGTTTGGGTCGTTCCAGCGGCTCAGCTCCGGCGGAGCGACTGAGCAAGACAAAATCAGCCTCCGACTTCGAGCCGACCCCTCGGTTTGGATCACTTCTGTGCTGGAGCTTGTGAAACCTCTGAACCACGTTGCCCGACCCCGGCCCCATAAGAAAAACGGAGTTTCCGGCGCCCACTTTCAAAGTGCGTGCGGGCACAATGGAAACGCGGGACGAAGCGCCAGTCCTGGTAGGTGCCAGGTGCCAATCTGCCCGCCGCGCTGTTTACGCAGCAAGAAGTCCTCGCATCCTTTCTGCCTCTGTTCCGAGTCACCGGAGCCTCCCATCTGAACACTGACCTCGGAAAGGTATCAATCATCAGGAACCACTTCAGATTTATTTGGGCAACAGAAAGCTGAGTTTAAGATCCTTCTCAGCGTCCTCCACCTGTCACCATTTTATCGTGACGCCTCAAAACCCAAGCCTGACAGCAGTTCTGTATTGTTTCCACTGGGAGAGGGAGGCTGGGTAGCAAAGGGACTTGAACGAACCACCTTCCCACTTCAAACCGAAGAGTGTTTGCTCGGAGTCCATCTCCTTGGAAGGAGATAGGAATGGTAAACGGAATGCGATTTCACACACTCCTGAAAGGGGAGCCGGCTTCCATCCCCCAGCCCAGCGAATGCGCCTCGTTACCATGTCCACTTGCAAACAGCTATAAGGACCCTTTTCCTCAGTTTTAAGTTTGATGTGTTGGTAGCTGGGAGATTTCAAGTTCAAGATTTTCCCTTGATCATGTACAAATGATTTAGATGCTGGCCGATCTCCGCCTCACCACTTATTTAAAGCTTATCTTTCACTGTACTTTTTCTGAAAAACTCCTCGCAGCAATTCCACCTCTTTTCCATAAGTAACAAGCTGCCAGAGGAAACATTTCAAAGTATTTCAGTAGTTTCAGTTCACTCCCCACCACCACCAATCACCCCAACATGGCTGAATCTGGCCACAACTCTTGGTTGACTTACATTAAAATATTAAAAAAGACCAGCTTCCCCCTCATGTGGGTAGCACTTTCGAGCTAAGCCCAGCTAAGAACAGAGAACACCTCTTAAAATAATTGTGAGTTTGGACAAACTTTACTGCAATAAAACAAATGCTTAATTTAATTCAGAATAAGAGATAACTCTTCAATAAAATATATCAAATTGTACAAGCACCCTTTCAAAGGGATAAAGGTATACCGGAGGGAGGGGACAGATGGACAGGAAGGTGAAATACCAGGGAACTTAATGGGCTGTTTGACAATCCCATTTTCACCAAGTCAAAACATGGCTTTACCTTCTGCCCCCCAACATGTAAAAAAGTATATAAAATTTTCTAATAAGTTTAGGACATACAACAGGTACACACACAGAGAAAGCATATTTTTTTTTCTTTCTGGATCTACTAATTGTTCAAGAATATTTAGCATATAGGTAATGGTTACAAGATACTCATTTTTTAAGCAGAAAATTACTAAACCCCCACCCAAATCACCTTTGCAATCTGTGAGGATGAATGTACCTAGTATTTCTCAGAAACCATCAATTCCTCTCAACAGGTTTTAACATTTTACTCTCCAATTATCTGAAATAAAGTTACCAACAGCCTTGAGAAGAATTAGGAAGTATTTCTAATTTTCTACCTCACCTCCAGGCAGTCTCAGGATTCTTCTCATCCCAGGTATTGGTCTTACAAAAATATTCTTAAAAAAGGAAAAACTTTAAAAATATGTGTGTGGTGGGGCGGTGGGGGGCGGGGGAGAGATAGGAACAACTGTAGTATATAAAGAGGTTTCTTTTAATGCAAGTAAAATGCAGAAATATGATGTGTCCCCTTCACTTTGAATAATCTCTCCATATCTAATATTTTCTGTGTGCATTGTGTCTGTTTCTTTGTTTTCCATAAGCAGAAGTCAATAATCCCGTAAAAATCATTGACTTTAGCACATTTTGCAAATAATTTGTCTCCCTCTTTAAGAAAATACAACAAATGGACTTACACAGTGTCTTTTGGGAAGGTGAGATATAGAAAAAAAGCACATATGTATATAAATTTTGCCTTTTAAAATAATTTGAATTTTTACGTCTGCTGTATAAAAATGTATTATATTTTATTATATATATATATTTATACATAAAAACCATCAGAGCCAATCTTTGTGAAAGGAAAAGGGGGCATCTGGAAGATTACACCAAGAAAACAGGGCTTGGTGCCTCCGCCTACAGAACAAATTTCAGCTATGTCGTGTGGCCCTGTCAGCCTAGCCGCTTAGGGTGGTGCACGCAGGGTTAGCAGAGCAGGAGTACTGGCTGGTACTGCCTTCGTGGAGAGGGAGAGGAAACCCTTTGAAACAAGCATCCATCATGGAGTCTATTGATCTGGTCTTCCTTAGGACAGGTGGTACATGCCATATCCCACTGGCGTGGCATAGAGTCCCACAGGCGGGATGGGAAGCACAGGTCTATGGAACGGGTAGGATGCTCCATATATGGACGCTGCCTGCAGGGGCGAGCTGATGGGGAAAGGGAGACTGAAGCTGGAGGGCAGCATAGGTTTTGCAGCCATTTTCAGCTTTTCCAGTTCTGCCTCCTGCAGTCTTTTCGCCTTGGCCCTTCGGTTCTGGAACCAGATTTTGACCTGGGTCTCTGTGAGGTTCAGAGAGCTGGAGAACTCTGCACGCTCTGCAATGGAGAGGTACTGTTTCTGACGGAACTTGCGCTCCAGGGCGAGGAGCTGGGATGTGGTAAAGGGCGTGCGCGGCTTCCGATTGGTCTTGTGTTTCCTCAGGGTGCAGGTGGTAGGGCTCATATGTCCTAGAGAACAGAGAGAGGAGCGGATTAGCAAAAGAAAGTTACATTAAAATAATACTAAAAAAAACCCATCTCCCCCGTCATCTCTCTAGGTTTTTTCCTTTCGGGCCTCCCCTCTCAACTGAAAGCACTTAGCTTTAAAAAAATCTATATATACATACATATACACACACACACACACACACACACACACATATCTATGTATGGAAAGACATACTTTGTTTCATCTTTGAAAAAGGTACCTTTGTCAAAACTATGTGTGTTTCTTGGGGGGAGGGGGACCATATATAAATGGGTAAGTTGCTTCGTTTTTTAAAAATGAGTTTTTTAAGAAAAGTTTTGGAAATGTAATGGTGTAACTGAACCTTCTATATGGAAAACAAACAGCATTAGAGATAACAGAAATAGAACATTTAATGTAAGACAAGGGAATCAAGTGGTCGGTGAGAAATGAACCGCTATCTCTTCTGAGCATAATTTATCTTCTCTTTAAAAATGGGAGACCAGGTTCATGATTAGCCCAGCCTCCCTTGGACATGGAGACAATCACATATGGGAAGGAAAATGAAAAAGGTTTTAGCAACCGGGTTAGCTGTTTCCCTTGGTCTCCTCTCTGAACCAGAAAAAGTGGATTGCGTCAGCATATTTATGAAGGATAATCGTGCAGATAAGGTCTGTGGTAAATTAATAGCATCTTTGAATTTGGGGGCAGTCCCACGCAATAAACAGTCACAAGCTGTCATTGCATCCAGTCCACAGATTATAAAATCTGAACATCATTTTACAGATCTGGATGTGGGATAAGGTTCTTGGCTGGGCGCTTCTGTAATATAAACTTTACTAAGACGAAGGGAAAAATTAGCTAGCCCATAAATGTAAATGTCAGGGGAAATCATGCTGCCTCCAAATTGAGAGCACGTGATGACATCTTAGTCATCCCCTCTACCCATTCTATGGCTTCGGGCAAATGTGTAAATGATTTGTTTGTCAGGGGGAAAAACAAGCAAAATAAAGGTATGCCAACAGCATCCAGACTCCACATTTAAAATGGATTCAATTACAGCAAATCACGGACTGGGACATCCTTGTGATTCCATAGCATCAACTAACTTTGGGCTTGTCTTCCTCAAGGGTGGGTGGGCGGAGGAGGATAGAGCTGTGGTGATAGAATACTTAACAATTAATTTTCTGCATTTGGCTTTTACGAGCTATGCTAATTTTCCAAATGTGGCCACAGTATTAACTCTAATGTATTCATGGGAGAATGTTGCATTTCTTGTTTAGTTACTTTGGTGGCCCAAGAAAGAGTTTACACTTCATACTTGAGGGTGACACAGCACAAGTCCCAACCCAGCTTCCATTTCCAACAAGAGATGGATTTGTTCCAGTGTCGCATTATTACCCATCACTTTACTGAATCAAAAAGAGATAAGAGGCTTTGTAACCAACCAAAGAACAGAAATCTGGGAAAGGGAAGGATAAGAAACTACCATAAAAGTCTATACTTTTGCATTTGCTAATCCCTAAGTTACTAGACAGCCGGGGAGCCAGCTTCTTAATTTACAAATTAACAACACTGTCAGAGACTCTCAAGAGACCTGCAAAATTCTCGCCCTTTCTAAACTAGGCCGGGCCCTCAGGAGGACTCAGGTGTCTCAGCTCAGATACCAAGTTCCTAGCGTGTATATACTCTTGCTCCTGGCTCTACGTGGGGTTTTGAAGCACTGTGCGCCTGGGCAGGGTAATTCCAGCTGGTCCTTCGGGTTACATTTGAATTATGAAATCCAGGTGACCGGGATCGCACATGTGTATCAAAACCATGAAGCTATGAGGCTTCCTCCCAATGCAACACTCCCCATCCCTCCACCCCCACCTAATTTTAAACCAGCCAGAGGAAGGATGCGATTATATAAGGCAAAACAGCGTTTATCCTACTTCCTCCAAATAACAAAATCAGGCCCGGGCGGGTAGCTCCCTCTCGCCCCAGGCTCCGTCGCCTGGCATTCTCAGGACCCACTACTCTGACCACAGGGTTCCCGCTGCCACCTCCAGGCCCAAAGCACCAACAATTCTTCATGGTGTTTTTTTTTTGTTTTTTTGTTTTTTTTTACTTTAAGTTCCGGGATACATGTGCAGAATGTGCAGGTTATAAACTCGGTTCTCAGAATTTCTGGTTCTTTTCATGGGAAGGTCACAGCCTGGGCCCGAGGTTGCCTTACCCAGAGCAGGGAAGCTTGAGCACAGGGCAGAGATGTTTAGAGGGGTAGTAGTCATTGCCTTTCCAGACCCACAGGCCTAAAGGATGGCAGGATTCCTAACCTCTGGACACTACTCCATTTAAGGCCTGTATCATTGGCTGGGCATAGGCGTAGGCTATGTACTCAATATTTGTTAAACAAATTAAGTCTTTTAATTTTCTGAGCCTCTACCTCACTGTCGATAAAGTGGGTAAGTAACACTAATCCCTCAATGTGGTCCACAGTACTAAAATTTTAAGAGTACCCAGAGCCCTGTCTGTCTGCCACCTGGTAGGTGATCATTAAATGGTCCCCAGCTTTTTTTTTTTTTTTTTTTTGGTCAGGCCCAAACTGCCGATTCCTCTCTGAACTTTGCTGAAATGTCCTCATCTGTTAAGAGGCCGGCTGCTGCCCTACAGAGGAGATAAGATAATACGGTGAAAAGTGCTATAAAGCACTATCCAAACTTGAGTTTAAATTCTTTGAGTCCCTTAATCTCCTCGCCCTTTGAATCTTTCAGAGTTTCTAACAGGGTGGAGAGAGACTGCCAGAGGGGACAGCCACTGACGCCTGGGTATATGGCCTTGTTTTGTTAACAAAATACAGTGCGTCTAGTCTTGAGGGCTGAATGATGTAAATAGTGAAAGGATCTCTCTCAGCTTTGGAGAAAGTCCCTCCACAGCCCCCACCCTCACCTTTCCTACAGGTAGGGGATGGCGTGGTGGGAAATTAGGGGGTAGAGAAACCATAAAAGCCAAGAGATAAAAGTAAAAGAGGCTGTAAAGGATGACGTCTCCAAATTGTAAAAGGACTCAGGGACCAAAAATGGATGCTGAAGCGGAGAATTCTCTGCAGCCTCAATTCTCAAGTGGGGTGCAGGTGCGGATCTCTACCTAGTCTCTCTGGGGAGAGGACGCAAAAGTGGTCAGGGCATATCAAACAGAGGAGCAGGGCGTGGGCAACAGGTGCCCCTGGCCAATCAGTGGTTGTTGGTAACCTGGGACAAGCAAAGGCCGTCTTCTTTAAAAGCCTCAGCGTCCACGTCTGAAAAATAGGGTAGTCACAAGTCCAGTGTCTACACTTGGGGGTTCTAGTGAGGATCTCGATCTGGTGAGCTAGTGAACATCACTCTGCAAACTCTCAAGCCCTGCTGGAATGCGGTTAATTATTACTGTGAGCCAAGAAGAGCCCGTGCGCTTCTGGCCCCAGCCCGCTCCCGGCGAAGCTCAGAACCTTGCCGGGGAGGTGCTGGCTGCGGAGACCACAGAGAGACATTTCCTCCCCGCACCAGACTCTGATGCCACCATCCCTGGTGCCACCATCCCTTCGTGGGATCCGGCTTCGACACCCGCGGGACTCACGAAAGAAAATGGTTTCTCCTCAATGTCTGGCTAAGCCCAGTTAGCTCATCTTTAAAATGGGGGCACAACTCTCAGGGTTGAGTTTTGAACCTGTCTCGTTCCTGGTACATCCAAGTGCTCACTGAACATGGATCCAACTCCTTCACTCCCCAGGCAGAGACTCCGGGGAACAGTGAAACAAAAACAAGCCAAGTGGCCAGAGCGCAGGGCCGAGGGCTGTAGAAACGGACCACCGAGCGACCCCGTAAACCCAGCTGGGGTTCGCTCTTGAAAAAACAATCTGTATGTCGAGGGAGTCTCAGACACACACAGCGCGGTTATTACCCAGAGGGTGTCTTGGATGCGGACGGCGCACTGGGCGCGCCGAACGCCCCGGGCACCCAGGAGTCCAGAGGCCCTGGGCTTGCTTTCCCGGGAGTGTAGCGCACGCAGAAGGGTCTCGGTACCCTCAGCCCTGGAACACCCGCCCCCCGCTCCCTCCAGTACCCCGCGCTACCTCCTACTCCTGCCCCGGCGCGCACTCACTTGGCGGCGGCGAATATCGGCCGGGTTCCTGCATCCACGCCGCTCCATCTTCTGAATTTTCCGACTTGACCGAGGCGGTCTCGAAGGGCTTCACCAGCGGCCCGGGGCTGTGCGCTTCCCGAGCGCCGTGCCCCGACAGCAGCAGTGGCCGCAGGGTGGCCCCGGCCGAGGCGCTTTCGGCCGGCAGCGGGGACGCCTCCTTGGGCGGCTTCTTGTCGGACATGAGCGCCTCCACGCTGAAGGGCAGGCTGGAGACCTTGACGCGGCGCTCCTCCGCGGCCCCCTCGGCGCCCCCAGGCCCCGGGCCTGGTCCGGCCACCACTGCTGGGCCCTCCTCGTCGGGCGAAAACAAGTCATTGCCTTTGGACGGAGAAGCCATGACTTCTCTGCCCTACGTAGCTCCCGACGCGCGACTCCGCTGGCAACCCGGCAGCGGCGACTCAAACTTTTTTGCTGCGGAGACGGGAGGGGCGCGCTGGGAGCTGAGCCTTTCCTCCGAGGGGAAGTGGGAGACGCGCGCCGCCAATCCGCGCCGGGCCTGGCGCTGACGCCAGAGACGCTCGCCCCTGATTGGCTCTTCCCGAAGGGGCTGCCCCCCCTCCTTTTTTTTTTTTTTTTTTTTTTTCCTGTTTGAAATAAATTAGGAGTTAATTACAGGAGCAGTCAGCAGAGTTGTTATTAGGCGATCCCTGAAGGGTTATAATCACGCCGAAACTGAAAAGCCCGAGACCTAATTAAGAGCGATTATTTAAAGCGGAAGTTCGCCGAGTCCCATTTCTTCTCTCTTTTGACCCTTCTTTAAAAGGGACCCTGCGCCCATCCCACTCTCCCTCTACCGCCAGAATAAGTTCAAGATTCGCAAACAGCATTGCAGAAACATTTACGAAGCCCCTACTATGCGTCAAAATTGGCTTACTTTACAGTTCCAGAAAGTCGGTGCTGAAACTCACAGGCCAGTATCCCTGTGAAAGAAATGTATGCACTTAGAAGAGTAACTCGCCACTAGCCAGCGCTCAAAAGCGCCCACTGTTATTATTACAACTCTTTCCCCTGGAAAAGAGGGGCCGGAAGGAGCCCGAGAAGTGGTCAGGAGTGCCTCTCTCCCAAATGGTTCGGAGTGAAGAATTTAAATCAGTTGTCCCCATCTCTCTCACTAGAAAGCAAATCCAGCGCACTTTTAGAAAGTTGAAATCTCTGTACTTGTCTCCTGAACCTCCTTTCTGAGCGCGATCCGGATCCGACCTTTTTCTCAAGACAGTGCAAGTGTGCATTCATGAGTTTGTTTGAGCCTGTGTTTGTCGTGCGTGTTTGAATGCCAGTGTTTGCCTCGGAGGGTAATGGGGGTGGGGGGGAGGAGGAAAAGTCGCCAATATCTAGTGCCTCCCTCTCGTTTGCAAGTCTCAGAAATACCGGCTTCCAAGTTTGCACACCCCAGGCCTACATATCATTTTGGGAAGCACATTTTTATTCATGGCACCTGGTTTTTTATAAAAACATAGATGTCTCCACCCCACCCCAAATTATACCCTCGGTAATTCCTTTCCAAAGCCTCAGTGATGACTGTCTCAGCCTGGGGAAGGGGAGAGCGAGCTTCGAGGATTAGAGGCCTCGGATCTCTCCGCTGGTCCTCAAAATGCCTGACCTAGAAGGTTAGCTTCAAAAGACTTTTTTCAGGCTGCGGCTGTCTTTTCCTATATCTGAACGATTATCCTGCGACTGACGAGGTAAATAGGAAGTCACCCAGTTCAGGACCTCGCCTACAGCAGATGCTTGCTAAACATTCCCTAGAGCATTGGAAGGGAGAGACATTGTTTTTAATTATTTAAATGACCAAGGCTTGGAGGCTACCTCCCAGTTCAGGAGTATTAGAAACTTGACCCCTAGACCTACAGACCCTTATGTACCCTTCCCAATGTACCTCTCTGAGGCACTGTTTGCTTCACCCCAAACCTTTCCCTGAAGTGAAACTGTGCTGGCCGGAGAGAACTGGAAAAAAGTATTACCTGAATCTTAGAGGATAAAGACAGTCTGCACAGGCCAGTTAATTCAGTTTGATTAAAGATGGTCCTGAAAAAGTAAAAGAGTAAGTAAGTCCTAAACACAGTCTTCTAAAACTTCTGAGTTTCTCTCTCACTATAAAGAATATGCACATTTCTTCTTAACCAACTGGAGGCTCAAAAAAGTTAAAAAAAAAAAAACTATGAAAACTACCTGGAGATGTATGCGTTTTCCCCTTGAGTCATACCTGGTGATAGTTGATTTGATATGCATCTCAAATACAGTACAGGTAAATCCAGATTAACTTCTGTACCTTCTAGATGTACAAGGCAAGGTGCAGGCTATATATTTTGGAAGCAAATCTGAAATTCGTTTAGCCCTCAGCTGCCAAAGTGTACAAAAGGGTTCAACTTTCAGTTAGGCTAAACGCAGCCAATGTTTTATAATTATTCCTGAAAACTCCTTGTTAATATCTGTCAGCTATAAGGCACACAGGCTCATTCCTGAGAAATTCGAAACAAAAATCAATACCACTGGAACTCCTTTATTTTAATGAACTTCTCTGGGAAAGGAAAAGCCAGGTCCCCTTTACTACTCTGGAATACTGAAGTCCAGGCAGAGACAAATAAATTACAAAGCCAGGAATAGGAAAACAGAGATAAAAAAATTACCGGTGTTCAAAATCAGAGTGCCAAGCTCTGACCATGAATAGGAAAGATGCTGAGAGAGGAACCAGCCTGCTCCTGGGGTCTTTGCCAGTTCCCTCCCCAGCTCTCTGCTGAGGTGGAGACAAATCGGGAAAGGGGCTCACTTCTGCTGGGAAAGGGCTGGAACCGCAACACAACGCTAGCCCTTTATGGAAAGCCCCAAGTCTGCATTTTATCCAACTTTGGCTGCGTTTTCAGAACGTTTTATTCACCTTTTCCTGGCGGAGTGACCTTGGGCACTCTAAATTGCTTCCTCCAGCCAGCGTTTTTTTTTTTATCTCCAAAATGAGAGATAATAATCCTTACCTGAGATGACTCTGGTGGTGATTAAATTCAATAGGCTACCTAAAGTAACTAGAAGGCATAGGAGGTCCAGGTTAAAACATTATTGTATATCAAAAGCAATCACAATGTATCGAATGCTTTCTCCCTGCCAAGGATCGAAAGATAAGGTGCATCCCAGAGCTTACGGTAGGTTCTTTGTAAAATTTCCGGGGCTGAGAATTTGGCTCGGTCTGAGAAGTGTCCAGGTTTGGGGACAGTGATCTAGCGGAGAACTGGCTTTGTCACGTAGAAGGCACTCAGTAAATGTTAGTTCCCAGGGATGTATGCGTAGCTGCAATATTTGCTAGCAAAAAAGCGGGGTTCCAATAGGAACTCAGCCACCAGGAAGCATCAACTCTGAAGGATGCTTTAGTGCCTGGACCTATCCAGGATCTTATTGGTTTCTTCCAACACACCGCTGCTAGCAGATTATTTTTCCCATTTCACAGATGAATGCCTAAGGCTGGGAAGCGCTAATACTCTGCCCAAGGTCGCGCAGGTAGAAGTGGGAGACACAGGAATCCCTCCCGCGCGGCTGAGGCCTCTGAGCGTAGATCCTCAACCCTGCACCTTCCCGCGCTCCCCGGGGCGCGTTACACCCGCCAGGCCCCTTCTTGAAGCAACCGCGTACGCGCGCTGCGAGTCCCAAGGAGAAAACACTCCTTGCAAACTGTGGAGCACTGCGCGCAGAACGCAGCGTTTGTAACCCCGAGGGCCGAAGGCTAGTTTGTAACCCCAGCGGCTAGAAGGGGGCGGGGGAGGGGCAGCGAAGGGGGCTGTAGACGGGCCTGGGCTTCGGGCAGGCGCCAGGCGCGGGGAGATGAAAGGCGGGCTCCGGGGGAAGGGGCTGCGCCGGGTGACCGGCTCCAGCCGCGCCGGGCGCCCCGCCCCCGCCCTGCCCCGCCCCCGCTGCCCGGGGCAGAGGCGGCTGCCCGCGCCGGAGCCGCGTTAATTGCTCTCGGCCCCAGCACTCAGCCTGCGCGGAGCCGGGACAACCTCGCTCCAGGAGGAATGACAATTCGCCCTAATGGGACAAGCTCGCTCCCAGAGGAGTGACAATTCCTCCTAATGGGAGCTCGTTAGCGGCCTATTCTACCGAGCCCGGGTATCAGAAGCAGGCAGACCCGCGGGCGCCAACATCCGCCAGGAATTCCACAACACCGCTCACCCACCCCCCAAAACATTGGCTGTGTGACTTCGGGCAAAAGGCTACTCGTCTCTGAGCTCATTTTTCTTACTGGCTTGTTGCAGAGTGAGAATGGGGAAGGTTCGGTCCTCTGGTGTCTAGAGAGATCACTTTCCGAGTTACACAGCCCAGGAAGTCGGGTAGATAGATATTCAGGGTCACAGCTGGAGGTTTTGGGGGTACAAACGTCTTGCTTGCGAAGCTCTGCAAGCCCAAGCTTGTTCTTTCCTGTTCTCCTGTTCCCGCCCCCTAAGGTCCGGAGTCAGGACCGAGCCCGGGTTTGAGCCGGGGCTGGAGAGAAGGAGCTTTTGCCAAAAGCACGATGCAGATTACTGAAGGCCCCCTAAAGCCTGAGCTTTCTCCCCATTCCACAGATGAAGTCGTCCAGGCGCAGAGAGGGGAGAGGTTGGCCTGACTTCAGCTGTGGTAAAACCTAATTCAACACGGTGTCCCTGGAAGAAGACCATCACAAGGATGGGGGCGGGGGAGGTAGAGGTAAAAGAAGCTGCATCTCCTTGCAGGTCCCACAGCCTGGAGAGGGGATGGCGAGTTCATGGGGACATCTAGTTCTGGAGGCAGCAGGTGTGAGGGGAGGAGCTGTGGGTCGGCCTTCTGTAGTTCTATATTCAAATCCAGGCCCTACTTCTCACCGTTTTCCGCCGTCACCTTGCTGGGTCTTGGTTTCCCCTTTCAGAAAATAGGCATGCTAATGCCCATCCACAGGGTTGCTGGTGAGAACTAGGTGACAAGCCTTACAAAATACCGAGTAGCGCTGAGTGTGCTGGAAGCAGGCACTGACCCAGGAGACAGCTCTGCTTCGGATCTCCTAGAGCTAAACTGGCTTCAAGATCTAGAGCTGAACTGGCTTCAAGTAAGGTTGAACCATGTATTTCCTGTGAGACTAGATAAATCACTTCACTTTTCTGCACTGCAGATTCAGCAGCTGTAACATGAGAGAGTGCCTAGCATTTAGTAAATGTGGGATATTATTCTCATTTCTTAAGTCATTATCGATGTTACTTTTTACCTCCCTTTCCAATAGATCTTCCTGGGCATCGTGCACATTTGAAATCGAATGATCTAATATTGGATGATTCGAGGCATGGAACTCATTGAATGATTTGAGGCATGCAACTTTCTGGAGCCTCATTTTTTTTTCTTCTGTAAAATGGGAATAACTACCTACCTTTTGGGAAGGAAGCAGATTGGCAGATCTATCTAGTGAGAGGTGGAGATTAAGGGAAGAAGAAACTTTAGGTTTAGACAAACAGCAGGGAGTATCTCCTGTCTCCCAATCCCTGGGTACAGCTCTCTGGTCTCTTCTCAACCCCTGCCTGATTGGAGGAAAGTTGCCACGAGCAGGGCCGAGGCTGATTTGTCTGCAGAGAAAGACCCAAAGGACTCCCTGGAAGAGGTGGTTCCAGGAAGCTGGTGGCTGCAGCCCTAGGGAACCAGCCCGGTCATCCAGGAGAACACCTAGGGGATCTTGCCCTGCCATTCACAAATCTCTGCCGTCCCCCACCCCTTTCAGTTTACCCATCTGTAAAACCAGAATAACCACCCATACAGGGCTGAGCAGAGGTGAGGTTTTAATCGAGGTTCAATAACCGTCAGCTCTCTCCCACTTATTCCTCAAGCAACCCTGTGATGTACGGGCCCTATTCCTCCTGAAGGAAGAAAGAACTGAAGCTTAAGGCTTGATAAGGTTTTTTCACAGCTAGAAAATACCTGGCAAAGATGCAAATCAGGATTTGGCTGATTCTAAAATTTATGTATTTTGCCTGCAGCAGAGGTTGCTGTAAATGTGAGAGGAGAGGCATCTGGAATTGCTCACAGCAATGAAGTATCTACTATTTCCATTTTCTTCCGACTTGACAGATGGGCTGTTGAGTCCAGGATGGGCTCAGTCACTAGCACGGACACACACATAAATTGCTCTCGGCCCTGCCACTCTAGATTATGGCAAAGGGTACCCTGGATTATGGATTCCCAAATAATTCAACAGAAATCTCAAGTCTGTCTTACTTGGTGGCCTCCAAGTTGTTTCAGCTTCAAAATGCAGCAGACTACACGTAGGGAAGATGGGAAAAGGAACTTTGAGGGGTTACTTAATAGGCATAATTGTATTTTTTAATTAAGGCAGATAATCTCTTCCAGTTGCTCCACCCCCTTCTCCCAGTTGCCTGGTGGGGAATAAGCAGGGTTTGTTTTATTTGGAGGATAAAGACAATTAGAAGCAATTATTCTAAGTGTTGTTAGTCATTTTTGGGCGAGGAGTTGGGGTGTTGGAGCTGGGCCCCAGGCTTGTGCCAGCCTTCGGAGGGAGCTGCTGGTCATCATTGGCAGGAAGAGCCCCTGCCTTGGTAATCAGAAAACTGTGCATTTAGCTTTACTCATTGCAATGCTTTCACATCCAAAACCTCACTTGTTACTAGGAGTGTGAATCCCCTCTCCCTCCTCCCTTTCTGCCTCCACCCCTTCCTGTCTATCACCCCATTTCACCGCGGAGGTGAAATGTGAAATGTAGGTCTGAAAGGAGAGGCCACTTGCTGGAGGTCACAGAGGGAGTTAGGTAGGAGAATGCATCACATTGCTTAGGTTTGCCCAGGAAATGCTCTGAGCCTTACAGTGCCCCACTGATGTGGAAACCATGCCTTTTGGGGCCTGGATCCATGAAGACCCGATGTGGGGGCCCCCAGGATTTGTCATGCATTCACAGCACTGTGTCCAGTGCCCAGAAGAGCCTTTGGCATGGTGAGGGACTCAATAAATATTTGTTGAATAAATGAGTAAATCCAGGTGGTGGTGGAGACTGCAGGGGTGACTCACTGAAAGGTTGCCTTCCCCGGTGACTCCAGAATGAACTGTGAATTATGAGGGCTGCTCTCAGAATTGTAACTAATGCTGGATTGGATTCTTGCAAGGCAGGGGCAGAATTTTAACCTGTCCACTGGGAAAACTGAGTGTTCATTCCACCCCAGACCCAGAAAGTCGTTAGACTTGCAATTAATTGTCACATTTCCCTATAGTTACTCATTTCACAAATGGGAAGAGTTGGGGAGGTTGTGCTTGCCCAAGGTTTTGTAGCATCTAAGTGTTTCAGTCAGCATGTGACCCCAGGTGAATCTGACTCCAGACCACTAACTGATTTCTCTTCATCATCCCTCAGATTGAATTTCTCTTATTCCTGGCTAAAATCAGCCAGAGACAGGCCAGGAGCAGTGGCTCATGCCTGTAATCCCAGCACTTTGGGAAACCGAGGCGGGTGGATAACCTGAGGTTAGGAGTTCAAGACCAGCCTGGCCAACATGGTGAAAGCCCATCTCTACTAAAAATACCAAAAATTATTTTGGTATCTGGGCGTGCTGGCAGATTCCTGTAATCCCAGCTACTTGGGAGGCTGAGGCAGGAGAATCACTTGAACCTGGGAGGTGGAGGTTGCAGTTAACCGAGATCGCACCATTGCACTCCAGCCTGGCAACAAGAGTGAAACTCCATCTCAAAATAATAATAATAATAATAATAATAATAATAAAATAAAATCAACCAGAGAAACTCGACATCACACTGTTATCTTTGCCAATTTGCTTTAGTAATATCTTGATCTTTCTACATGAAGGTGTGTTTCTACAATGGAAAAAAAGAGACCCATATGTATTTAGGAAAATATTAAACTGATAGTTTTAAGTTGCTCATCCCCCTAATAATAGCGGTTGATGCTTTTTGAGCACTTACTATGTGTCATGCACTGTTCTAGGCACACAACAGGCACCAATTCATTTACTTCTCACAAGCCTCTTGGTAGATGGTATCATTATTTTCATTTATTGAAAGGTTTGATTCTCAGACATGAAAAATCAAGACATGTATAATTTCTTTTTTTAATTGTGTATTGTTAAGATGTCATTCCCTTATCCTCTACCTACCCTCCAACCCTAAGAGAGAATAGTCACCACTGTTTAAATAGGAAAAAGAAATTAGAGCTATGGGTGGAATTTTTTGCAAAAGGCATTGTAATATCTTCACAATTTTATGAGATCCACAAACTTTAAATATAGTTAAGCCTTCCTCATCACGATAATACTATCTATAAATTGAATACCCCTTATGTATTATAGCTTGATAAAACTGGGACTTTTTCTCTTTGCCACCTTTCCACAGCTTATGACTTTTGCCAGTGAATTTGCAAGTCTTTGTAGGGAAGGTGGGAAAGTGAAGGGAAAAGACCTAGACACACCCCCTGCCCACTCCCACCCACCCCCACTACCAGGAAGGAAGAGTTCTGATCTCTACCTGTCACTCTCTTGCTGGGTGACTTTGAAAAGATCTTCCTGCTCTCTGGGTTCCTCATCCCCCTCACTAGCAAAAGGAGGGGGTTTAGTTGCATTCCAAGTCTGCTCTGGTTCTATAGTTGTTCTATGATAAAAAGGAGTGAATGAAAAATTCGGCTTCTTGTTCCTGTCTACCACCAGGCTGACTGAGGTTTCCAGTCAGATGGAAGGATCACAGGAGTCAGGCTGGGTAGGTTGGAAACCAAATTTTATCCTGTGTCCAGCTTGTCTTGGGACAAGTCCTCCCACTTCTCTGAGTAGGACTTCATTCTCCACATCAGAAAATGGGGGCCACTAATCCCTATTTCAGGGGTTGAGGAGAATTACATGGGATCATGCATATAAAATGCAAGGAACACAATTTCTTCTGTTCCCTGTTGCAGGTCTCCCATTCAAGAAAGGAGGGAAGTTTTTGACTCAGCAGATGGGAAGACTGGGAGGAAACCAGATGGATCATTGCTAATGACACAATTAATGCTAACGCTGTTGGTGTGGACAGTTGCAAAGAGGCTTATGAAAATTACATTGCTAAAAACCCTCAGGGCCTTTCGGGCAGCACAAGAAAGCTGTGCCCAAGTGGTGGCACCAGCTTTACCCAGAGAAATGATTTTGGAGAGTCTCTGGACAGGGTATGAAGTAACATCTAAGTACATGACAACGAAGTGATTTCATTTTCAATGATGTCTGTTAATCCTTCCACTTTACTCAGGAGACTGTGTTTGGTGTTTTGTTTTGTTTTGTTTTGAGATGGAGTTTCACTCTTGTTGCCTAGGCTGGAGTGCAATGGCGTGATGTTGGCTCACTGCAACCTCCACCTCCCAGGATCAAGTGATTCTCCTGCCTCTGCTTCCCAAGTAGCTGGGATTACAGGCACCTGCCACCACGCCTGGCTAATAATTTGTATTTTTAGTAGAGACGGGGTTTCACTGTGCTAGCCAGGCTGGTCACGAACTCCTGACCTCAGGTGATCCATCCACCTCGGCCTCCCAAAGTGTTGGGATTACAGGCATGAGCCACCGCGCCCGGCCAGGAGACTGTCTTAGTACAACTTGAACACCACGATAATGATCACCAGTGTCCCTGGGGACAAAGCACCAGGTTTCAGCCTTCAGGAGACCACAGCATCAAGCCGGAAAATAACACAGTGTTGCTTTCACTCTACTCATTTTCAGAGTTAACCCAGCTAAGGTTGATAAGTAATACTGTGACATAAATTTCACTTTACAAATTATTTTTTAGTGTTAAAATGAGAACTTAAGTTAAACATTAATTAAATAATAGCACTGTTGGTACTGGGATAAAGCCAACAATCATGATTGTTCTTAGGAACAATTGTGTAGGTGGATGCCTGAAATTGGGGTTAACACTGATTTACAGGAGAGAACACTGCATTTCCAACAGCACAAAATCTGGATGGAATCCTGCCCCACCTCCTTCCAGCTGGGTGGCCTTGGGCAAGTTACTTTCCCTCTCTGAATCTTGGATCCCTTATCTGTACTATGAGGGTTGTGATCATTCTGACCTCCCAGGTTTGCAGGAAGAATTTACTGTGGAGATAATAGAGGACCACATTATTATTATGAAGACAGAGATAATAGAGGCCTCCACATTTTCCTGGATGTTTGGAGTTGTTAGTATCATTAGTAAACAGTGAATAGGTGAATTTGGTCAAAACACAAACTTATTTACTCTGAACCTGGTTATCTACTAGCTGAGTAGTAATTGCAAAAGAGGGGAAGAATTCTTTGAAATCCTAGTTCTGTTTAAACATCACTGTATCCTTTGTTTCACTGGTTCATCTTTAGTGCCTGGATATGGAAACTGCCATTTCCCTAGCAGGCATTTTTACAGTATCCATAGAACATCTATACCGTGTGGTCAAAATTAAGATACACCCAAGTTGCAGGCCAGGTACGGTGGCTCCCGCCTGTAATCCCAGCACTTTGGGAGGCCAAGGCGGCAGTACCACATGAGGCCAGGACTTCATTGAGACCAGCCTGATCAACACAGTGAGACCTCTTCTCTACAAAAAATAAAACAATTAGACAGGCACGGTGGCAAGCGCCTGCGATCCCAGGACTTTGGGGCTGAGGTGAAAGGATCACTTGAGCCCAGGAGTTTGAAGCTACAGTGAGCTATCATTGCACCACTGCCCTCCAGCCTGGGCAACAGAGTGAGACCTTGTCTCTAAAACAAAAACAAAAACACCCCCCCCACTCAATTTTGAACAAAGGCTGGTTGCAGTGGTTCATACCTGTAATCCCAGCACTTTGGGAAGCCGAGGTGGGTGGATCACTTGAGGCCAGGAGTTCAAGACCAGCCTGGGCAACATGGCGAAAACCCATCTTTACAAAAAATACAAAAACTAGCCGGGCGTGGTGGTGTGCGCCCGTAGTCCCAGTGACTCGAGAGGCTGAGGCACGAAAATTGCTTGAACCCCGGAGGCGAAGGCTGCAGTGAGCCTAGATAGTGCCACTGCACTACGGCCTAGGTGAGAGAGTGAGACTCTGTCTCTAAAACAAACAAACAAGAGAACAAAAACAATCTGTAAGTTGCAAACAAGATGGAAAAAGGTTTTCACTTGTCCTTTTCGTAAATGATTAAACGCATTGCCTGGTGTGCCCTTTTATCCCTTTCTTTCATCCTTCTGGCTGTTTCCCGTGTTTCTTCCCTTCTTCCTTAAGTATGTGTGTGCTGGGTTGTGCTAAATCTGGAATGCAAAGACTACCCAGACAGGTTCTTGCCTTCAACAGTCTCCCACTCCAGTGGGAACACAGATCTACCAAATACCCAGTTACCCAATACTGATGAAGCCAGACATATCTCACAGAATTTCTTTCTTTCACTCTCACTGTGTTGGCCTGAAGACAGTTTATTGAACACTTCAATAAGTTGCCAACAGTTAAAAATCAGGGGGCTTCCCATAGAAATCTGGAATCCTGGGGGCTGGGCGCAGTGGCTCACGCCTGTAATTCCAACACTTTGGGAGGCCGAGGCGGGCGAATCACAAGGTCAGGAGTTCGAGACCAGCCTGACCAACATGGTGAAACTCTGTCTCTACTAAAAATAAAAAAATTAGCCAGGTGTGGTGGTGTGCACCTGTAATCCCAGCTACTCTGGAGGCTGAGGCAGGAGAATCGCTTAAACCCAGGGGGTGGAGGTTGCAGTGAGCCGAGATTGCACCACTGCACTCTAGCCTGAGTGACAGAGCGAGGCTTCGTCTCAAAAAAAAAAAAAAAAAGAAAGAAAGAAAGAAAGAAATCTGGAATCCTGGCTTCTCTGCATCAGTCCAAAGGAGGGTGGCCCTGGGCCGTCCAGGGCAGTTTCTCTAGGTGGAACCTGCAGACTCTAGTCGCCACCAGCCAGGCGTTTGAAAGTGCAGCCCCTGTAGCAGGTACAGTGGAATGTGGTACCAGAGGGTACAGGGCATATAGGAGCGCAGAGGGGGACTGACGGACCCTTGGAGGCAGGAAAAGGCTGTTTGGAGGAGGTGGCATTTGGGGTGAACTTTGAAAGAATTTGGCAGGTTGAGAAAGAGGAGGTGGTTTCTGGCAAAGGGGGCAGGATGTAAGAAAGCGTGAGAATTGAAATGACCTGGTCTGTGTATTTGGGTGCTAATACAGATGTGGGGAGTCGGGGCACAAGCAGTCGGGGAGAAGGACAGGTGGAGCGGGGAGCCGGGACTTGGAAAGCTGCGGCGAGACAGTGAAGGGTTTTTTTTCTTTCTTCCTTCCCTCCCGCTCCCTTCCCTTCTCTGCTGTTTACTTTTCTTCTTTCTTTTCTTTTTTCTATCATCTTATCTTAAATGACTCTTAGAATTTCAAAAGCAATAGGTTTCCACTATGACCAGCGAAACAAATCAAAGACATGAAAGCAATTAATAATCTCCCTTATCTTCTCTTCATTCTGCCATCCAAATCAACTAGTATTAACAATCTTGAGGCTGGGCACGGTGGCTCACGCCTGTAATCCCAGCACTTTGGGAGGCCGAGGCAGGTGGATCACGAGGTCAGGAGTTCGAGACCAGCTTGACCAAGATGGTGAAACCCTGTCTCCACTAAAAATATAAAAATTATCTGGGCATGGTGGCACATGCCTGTAGTCCCAGCTACTTGGGAGGCTGAGGCAGGAGAATCGCTTGAACCTGGGAGGCGGAGGTTGCAGTGAGCGGAGATCATGCTATTGCACTCCAGCCTGGGCAACAAGAGCGAAACTCCGTCTAAAAAAAAAAAATCTTGACTGGGTGCAGTCACTCATGCCCGTAATCTCACCGCTTTGGGAGGCTGAGGCAGGGGATCACTTGAGTTCAGGAGTTTGAGACCAGCCTGGGCAAGAGAGGGAGACCCTTGTCTCTACAAAAAAAAAAAATTTTTTTAAAATTAGCCAGATGTCTGTAGTCTCCGCTACCAGGGAGGCTGAGGTGGGAGGATCACTTGAGCCCAGGAGTTTGAGGTTACAGTGAGCTATGGTTGTGCCATTGCACTCCAGCCTGGGCAACACAGTGAGACCCTGTCTTGAAAAAAAAAAAAACAGTCTCATGTGTATCCTTAGATGCTAGTATCTATATACAAACACAAAAATAGCAGATACAAATTCAGAAAGGTGGAAATTGATGGTGCCTTTGTGTGCTTGTGTACCTGCATGTGTGATATGCAGCTATCTACCTATGCAACTTGCTTTCTTGTTTAACTCATATCCTAGACGTTTCATCATGTCAATCAATAACCCAATCCATTCTTTTTATATTCCATAGTAGTGGCATATTATAATGCGTTTAACCATTTTCTAATTGATGGATATTATTATATTTTTTATCCAAATTGTTACTGCTACCAACAATTCTTGAGAGAAAACTTTGCAAATGTTCATAGTTACACTCTTTTATTTATTTATTGAGATGGAGTTTCGCTCTTGTCCCCCAGGCTGGAGTGGAATGGCACGATCTCAGCTCACTGCAACCTCTGCCTCCTGGATTCAAGTGATTCTCCTACCTCAGCCTCACAAGTAGCCGGGATTACAGGTGCATGCCACCACGCCCGGCTAATTTTTTTGTATTTTTAGTAGAAACGGGGTTTCACCATGTTGGCCAGGCTGGTCTCAAACTCCTGACCTCAGGTGATCCACCCGCCTTGGCCCCACAAAGTGCTGGGATTACAGGCTTGAGCCACCGCGCCCCGCCACACTTTTATTTTTAAAGGTTTAATTTCCAAAATTGAGATGCTGGAGCCAGGTGTGTGTATTTTTAACCTGAATGGGCACTGCTGGATGACTTCCTAAAAACCCTGCTCTAGGGCACATGCCCACTTGCAGTGTTCAGCTCCCCCTTTCTCTGCCAGCACTGGAGATCATTGCTCTGTTTTAACTTCTGCCATGGATGGTTTTGAGCAGGGGAGTAATAGAATTCTATGACATACCTCTTTAAGAAACTATCTGGGTGGGGTGCGGTGATTCATGCCTGTAATTCCAACACTTTGGGAGGCCAAGGCGGGTGGATCATTTGAGGTCAGGAGTTCGAGACCAACCTGACCAACATGGTGAAACCCCGTCTCTACTGAAAATACAAAAAACTTAGCCGGGCGTGGTGGCGGGTACCTGTAGTCCCAGCTACTCAGGAGGCTGAGGCAGGAGAATCGTTTGAACCCGGGAGGCAGAAGTTGCCCTGAGCCGAGATGTGCCACTGCACTCCAGCCTGGGCAAAAGAGTGACACTCTCAAAAAAAAAAAAAAAAAAAAAGAAAAGAAAAGAAACTATCCGGGGAAGCATTATGCAAAATACTGAAAGCAATATGACCAGGCAGGAGGTTGCTGCAAAGTTTCTGGGATTGCTGAAGAGTCTGGAAGAAAGGAGTGGCATTGGAAATGGAGAGTCAGGGAGGAAACCGAGAGTGAACTCTGGAAGACGTAGAGATGCTACCTAACACATCCCGGATTAGGGGGACGCTGCGCTGGCACTGCAGGTCTGCATGGTAAACTGATGGGCAGTGGTCTCTCTTCATGCTGTCTTCATGCTATACTCATGCTATTCCCATGCCACCCAAACGTTCTGTCCTCAGAGTTCTTTTTTTTTTTTTTTTTGAAACAGGGTCTCGCTCTGTTGCCCAGGCTGGAGTGCAGTGGCACAATCTCAGCTCACTGTAACCTCCCCCTCCTGGGTTCAAGCAATCCTCCTGCCTCAGCCTCCTGAGTAGCTGGGATTACAGGTGTGCGCCACCACACCCCACTAATTTTTGTATTTTTAGTAGAGATAGGGTTTCACCATGTTGGCCAGGCTGGTCTCGAACTCCTGTCCTCAAGTGATCCGCCCGTCTTGGCCTCCGAAAGTGCTGAGATTACAGGCATGAGCCACCATGCTCAGCTCAGAGTTCCATTTCAGTAGCCGCATACACCTAAGTCCTGGGCCGAGGCAGCAGGCGACTTAGAACAGAAGAGCAGTGTTGCTCCATCCACTCCCGGTCTGGGTGAGTGGGCGGGGCAGAGAGGGCAGACAGATGTACCACTGTGCAGGGCAAGCCTTGGATACAGCCTTGCCAATGGAATCCCAAGGGACTTCACAAGGCAACTGGATAATTAACTGTGTTGTTTCATCTAATCCTCACTGATTTGCTTTCTAACCGATACAGCATTTGGCAATGGATGTGTTAGAAGCAGCAGCAGTAACGGAATTCCCAAGGCTTGAATTCCTAGAAAAGGGCCAGGTAGGACAGGCTGCTGATACTGAGTTTGGAATTCCTATTAATGCTCATGGGAGCCCTTGAGAGTTTCTTTCCAGCTCCCTTTGCCCTCTACCTTTTGCTCTATTGCCCTTTCTTTAATCTTCTGGCTCTATCCTTCTCCTCAACCAGTAGAGGAGACTTATTTCCCCACAGGCCCCTGTAATTTCTTCGAGCTCTTAGAAAGTCCTGAAGCCCAGGATTGGGATCATTTTGTTCTGAAGGATTTCTCCAGACTCTGTGGGAAGCTGAGGCAGCTGTTTAGGGCCTGGGGAGAACCAGAGATTGCCATCAGTACAGGACAACCTGTCCAGCCAGCATGTTTGCTCAGCCCTTAAATGGTCCAAGAGAATATGGTAAGTTTCCTTGACAATGGATCCATCCGACTTCGTAATTAGCCCCATTCTCAATGGAGCAGAATACGGGCAGCTCAGACCCAGTCACTAACATTTCTACTCTTGGCATGAGCTCAGAACTGATTCTTGAGCAGTCACATGGATCTCCAAGCTCATGGACATCAAATAGAAGAATTTAGCAATAGCAGTGCTGGGCATTAAAATGTGAGAGGTGGAATGGAAATTACCCATTCTGACTTTGACAATAGGTCCTCAAGTCAAAAATACCCAGGTCTTTTCTTCAAAGAAGCAGACCACATTTGCTAGCTTATTAGTTCTGATCTGGACGTCGCTGCCATAGGAAGACCACAGGCTTCAGAGTCAGACAGAAATGTGGGGCTGTGTGGCCTTGGGTAAGTCGCTGACCCTCTCTGATCCTCATTTTCCTTGTCTTTAGAAGGGGAGGTAATCACACCGAGCTTGAAGAACTGTTGGGAGTATTCGTGATAAACTACAGCAAGCATTTGCCTGTTTAGGCACAAAATAGGCATTTTAATAAATGGCAGCGGAGGTTTTTGAAAACCGTTGACTGAAATGACTAACAGAGACCAGCTGACTATTTGAGGAGGAGGAGGAGGCGGGGTGATGGGAATTGTTGCCCGGCTCCCACCCTATTCCATTTCTGAGGCCGGCTATCGGTTACCCAGGCGATGCCGCACAATGCAACCTGAGTGCCGGCTAGAACTGTGCGCAGCTGCCGAGGCTCCTGCGCTTCTGTGCGGGGCTCAGGATGAAGCCAACTTGGCCATGTGTTGACACCAGCAATAAGTCAGCTCTTGCCACTGGCAGAGGTTGCCGGGGCCAGAGACTAAACTCCCACGGTGAGAGGGAGCTCAAAACCAGTTGGTATCATATTAAAAATAAATAAATCAATAATAAATGAATTTTTTCAAGAAATGGTAATTTATTTCAATTTAAATACAGCAGCAGCAACGACAACAACAAAACCTAGAAAAAACAAAAGCAGGTTGGTGTCTAGGGGAGGGGACTTCCTCGGCATGGTTTATAAACATAGTAAAAAATAAATAAATGAAGGAAAAAAAAAGAGAGAGAGAGAGAAGCAGCCTAGAGCGTCTTTTGGGCTCACTTCCTCCGTTTCTCATGGAGCATGTTTCCCATTACAAGGGGAAGTGCAGGCCACACATGGGCAGAAAGAAAATATGCAGACGAGAAAGTAATTGAGGGTGTTGGGGTCGTGGGATAAATCTGTGAGTTCGTTTTCAAAATCTTCTTGAGTGCTCCGTTACTTTTACTATTAAAGGCGTTTTAAAAGTCAACTCTAAGTCGGATTCGGCTGGAACGAACCTATTCTGTTGTCATGATTTCCCATAGAATGTGTCTTCCCATTTACTCCAGGAAAGGACTGAGGTCATTTTCGTTGCCCTGCCTCCATTTTTCTACGATTCATCTCCTATCCATCCTGCATGATCGGGTTTGGTCAGAACCCGGGCACTGATTTCAGAGGGGGTTCCCTTGCTGGCCAGGTGTAGCACATATGGAGGAAGAAGGGTGGAGAGACAGCGTGCCACCAACCCGCACATAGCCTTGGTTTTCTCTTTGCTACTGACAGGTGAGGAAACTGAGGCTCGGAGGGAACAAGCTCTTTGCTCGGGCTTAGTCAGCTATTGTCAGGGTGAAGTAGGATCCGAACTTCGGTTTTCTGAATTTAAGTCGAGGTCTGTTTCCAGCACCACAATGGCAGCCAAAAATAATTCCCTTTCTTGGAAAATGCCTCCTTCTGGAGTCTCCTAGGCAGTATGGGGAGCAAGACAGCGATATTTATACCCTTGTCTCGAGCATGAAACTGGGAGGCCCTCTAAAGTTTGCAAAGGGGGCCAACGTATACAAATATCTGTTTCTCCCAATCTCCCTCACACTCTCTTATCACCCAAGCGTTTCACTGTGAAGAAAACCCAAGCGTCATAAAAAGTAATCGGGATAGAAAACAAATCAAGATCTGGTTTGTGAAGGGAAGCCAACATTCCTCATTACCAACAACACTGCTTCTTTGGATAAATATTTACACAATCCAATTCTTCCTTTTCTCCCTCCTTCTTTGACAAGAATGTTCCTCCGTCTCGGCAGCTACCGTGGCCCTGCTGGAACAGACGACGTTCAATGTTTCCATCATAAGGCATGTTTTCTGGGGTTTATTACTCAGCTGTAAAAATGTGCTCTAGGCAAAAACTTGGCATATTAAGTCTCATCTCAGAGGTAATTGGTGGAGGGTTTTTAAAAAACCTTATTTTTCCCTTTTTACAGACAATCTTGGAAAGAGAAACAAAAAGGTCAAGAATTTACTGCTGGAAACTATAGGGTTTGCCCCCATGGGTTTTCCTCTCTAGTTTGGTTTGTTCTGCATTATTTTTGGTTTCCTCTAACCAGATATTTGGAGGCCAAGTTATAGAGGCTATAATCCCAGACATTCATTTATTCTTTCTTCAACAAATATTTACCGAGTGCCTACTGAGCACCGGCCACACGGTTCTAGGATCTGAAGGTACAATGGCAGGCAGAAATACCGGTGTGGTCTAGAGTCTTATGAGGCTGAAGCGTGCACACAATCACACACAAACCCCACATGTTAACAGACAAAGTAAAACTTAACTTTGCAGTAAGCCCAAGGACAAGTGCCCCCAAGGAAAGGAGCAGGGATCTATGTGAGAGAATAACAGAGGGAAGATTCATAAATTAGATTGTGGCGGGTTTCAGGGACAGTGCTCTGGAGAAGTCACCCATCCCCTATCGGTAAGCACTGGCAAGGGGAAGAGTGCGTGTGTGTTGGGAAGGGAAGAGAATCATTCCAGATTTAAGGACTGGTAGAGACCCTCAGTTGGGATAGGGCGTGATGTGTTTGAGACAGTGAAAGAGAGAGAGTGTGTTTGAAGCTAACCCAGCAAGGAAGAGTGACAGGAGAGTGGCAGGGCCAGAAGGCCAGGATGCCATGGGCCACAGTCAGGAGTTGAGGTTTTATTCTAAATTGGAGGGAGACATGAATTTAATGTTTCAGGTGGAGAGAGAGAAAATCTGATTTACATTTGTATTTTTTTAACTTTCTATTTTTTTCTGAGATGGGGTCTCACTCTGTTGCCCAAGCTGGAGTGCAGTGGTGTCATCACAGCTCACTGCAGGCTCAACCTTTTGGGCTCAGATGATCCTCCCATCTCAGCCTCCTAGTAGCTGGGACTGCAGCTGCACACCATCACGCCCAGCTAATTTTTTTTTTTTTAATATTTTTTTGTAGAGATGGAGTCTCATCACCTTGCCCAGGCTGGTCTCAAACTCCCAGGCTCGAGTGATCCTCCCCATCTTGGCCTCTCAAAGTACTGGGATTACAGGCATCGGTTATCATGCCGGGCCATGACTTACATTTTTAAATGACCTCTTTGTCTGCTGTATGAGATGGGATTGGGTATGTGTGGAGAGAGGCAGGGAGGGTGGCAAGAGTGGATTCAGAGAGACTGTGTGAAAAAATAGGCTGATGCCACAGTTCTGGCAAAAGAGGATGGTGGCTCGGAAGAAGATGGCGATTCTGCAGGTGGAGCGAAGCGGAATAAGAACTATTTTGAAGATGAAACCAGTTCCAACTCCTTCTCCACAAGACTGCCATGGTGATTCATTACACATACAAATCTGATTGTGTCATTCGTCTGCTCAAATCCCTTCAATGGCTCCCCAGTGCTGTTAGTGTAACCCCTAAATTTCTTGCCTTGGCTGCCAGGCCAGCCTCCTTCTTCCCTGGAGGACCTTGCCCTCCTCTGCACCTTACCATCTGTGCCCTGGGTATCTTGGCCTTCTCTTGTCTCTCAGAATGCACCTTGCTGCTTCTCTCCACAGGGCCTTTGTACATGTTTGCTTTCCTCTCTTGGAAACTTGTTGTTATCCCTCCCAGAGCCCCAAGGATGAATGGCTGTCACCAGAAAGGAAGCCACTCGGATTTTTCCTCTGGACTCTATGTGTTCTTCCTTAGGTGTAGCCAGCCCTGGCATAAGGATGCCAAGCCTAGGTGTACAGTGAGGAGGTGTGCAGGCCTGCCTACCTCTTTCTGATGTTGATCGTAGTCCCCTCTCCCATAGCTGGGCTCTAAATGTGCTCACTTCAGTTGTTAAAGTGAAAAGTTGGGCACAGTGGCTAACACCTGTAATCCCAGGACTTTGGAAGGCTGAGGTAGGGGGATTGCTTTGAGGCCAGGAGTTCTAGACCAGCCTTGGCAATATAGTGAGACCCCATCTGTATATAAAACATAAAAGAAAATGAAAAAGAAAAGTTGGATCAGGCTTTAATGTGCCCAAGTAAACAGATCAATGCACTGTAGTTTAGCCATCAAAGGCATGCAATGGGCTGGGCACGGTGGCTCACGCCTGTAATCCCAGCACTTTGGGAGGCCAAGGTGGGTGGATCACGAGGTCAGGGGATCGAGACCATCCTGGCTAACATGGTGAAACCCCATCTCTACTAAAAATACAAAAAAAAAAAAATTAGCCGGGCATGGTGGGGGCGTCTGTAGTCCCAGCTACTTGTGAGGCTGAAGCAGGAGAATGGCGTGAACCCGGGAGGCAGAGCTTGCAGTGAGCCGAGATCACACCACTGCACTCGAGCCTGGGCAACAGAGTGAGACTCCATCTCAAAAAAAAAAAAAAAAAAAAAAAGGCATGCTATGATTGGCAAGCCCTCTGTAGTCCTCCTCATTCTCTAAACTCATGCTCTGTGCCATCAGCTGGCCAGGCCAGGCTCAGAGAAAGGAGCTAAGGCTTGACTGAGGACATGCTCAGGGACTGTGCTTCACCCACCTTATCTTGTCTAATTGTCTATCTTGTCACAACAAGTCTGCCAGGGAGACAGGGCAGGTAAGGACACTGGGGCTCACAGAGGTGAAGCAACTCACCTAAGGTCATCAGGTAGTAAGCAGTGGAGCAGGGTTCAGTCCCAGGTCTGCTGGAAGGCCACCTATTTACCAGGCCTGCACACCTCCTCACTGTACACCTACGCTTGGCATCCTTATGCCAGGGCTGGCTACACCTAAGGAGGAACACATAGAGTCCAGAGGAAAAATCCGAGTGGCTTTCCTTTCTGGTGACAGCCTTTTGTCCTTGGAAGAACCTGGGTCCTTTCTTCCTTCAGACCTTCAATCTCACCTTCTCTCCTTTTTTTTTTTTTTTAGATGGAGTCTTGCTCCTATCGCATAGGCTGGAGTGCAGTGGCACGATCTTGGCTCACTGTAACCTCCACCTCCCAGGTTCAAGCGATTCTCCTTCCTCAGCCTCCTGTGTAGCTGGGATTATAGGCGTGTGCCACCACACCCAGCTAATTTGTGTGTGTGTGTGTGTGTGTGTGTTTTTAGTAGAGACAGGATTTTGCCATATTGGCCAGGCTGGTCTCAAACTCCTGACCTCAGGTGATCCACCTGCCTCAGCCTCCCAAAGTGCTAGGATTACAGATGTGAGCCACCACACCCAGCCTCTCACCTTCTCTTGAACTGATAGGGAGGTGGTACCTCACAAGTTGGATGCTTGGCTTCCCCACCAGAACCCAACTTAAAACCCAGTAATTCAACAGTAAAGCAAGAAGAACCAGAATTTTATTTGCCTCTGTGGTTCCCATTTTCCAGGTGGCAATGTTAAGGCAAAGTAAGGTCAAGGTTAGCTCCAGTCTAACTCAACTCCTCTCAGCCAGGGCCCTGGAAGCCTTTAAGTGCAGACACCCAGACCCTGCACAGTTCTTCCTTGGCTGGTGCTTGTCAGAGCAGGCAGGGCCAGCAAGGCCATTTCAACCTTGCTGTCACACAGATCTAGAACAAAGCATGGAGACTTAGGCCTGGGGACTCAGTGCCCCTGGATCGCAATCTTATGTCTACTCCCTTGAGCCCCAGGACCTCCTCCTCTGTATTCAACCCCCCAGATCCCTAGCTTGGATGCAAGCCCTTCCTGAGAGCCCCCAGACCTCTGCTGGATCTTGCTGCCCTCAGGTCTTGTTCCTCCAGCCCCACCATGATCTGCAGGGAGCTGGACTGCAGCCTCATCTCTCCCTAGGAGCACTGCTTCCTGTGGTATATGTGTGACTGATTCTCACACATCTGCAGGGACAGACCTGCTCCCAACCCCAACCCAAGACCATCAAATCAGAGTTGTATGGGTTGGGTTCATGAATCTATTTTTTTTTTGAGACAGAGTCTTACTCTGTCACCCAGATGGGAGTACAGTGACACAATCATGGCTCACTGTAGCCTCAAACTCCTGGCTCGAGTGATCTGCCTCCCTCAGCCTCCAGAGTAACTGGGACTGTAGGAATGTGCTACCATGTCCAGCTAATTAAAAAAATATATTTGGCCAGGTGCTGTGGCTCACGCCTGTAATCCTAGCACTTTGGGAGGCGGAGGCGGGTGGATCACCTGAGGTCAGGAGTTCGAGACCAGCCTGGCCAACATGGCAAAACCCCGTCTCTACTAAAAATACAAAAATTAGCCAGATGTGGTGGCACATGCCTGTAATCCCAGCTACTTGGGAGGCCGAGCCAAGAGAATCACTTGAGCCTGGGAGGTGGAGGGTCGAGGTTGCAGTGAGCCGAGATCATACCACTGTACTCCAGCCTGTGCAATGGGAGTGAGACTCCATCTCAAAAAAAAAAAAATCTATCTATCTATCTATCTATCTATCTATCTATCTATCTATCTATCATCTATCTATAGATATATATAAATATACACACACACACTTTGTAGATAGTCTGGGCAACGTAGTGAGACCTCGATTCTACAAAAAAATCTAAAAATTATCCAGGTGTGGTGGTGAACACCTGTAGTCCCAGCTACAGGAGGCTGAGGTGGGAGAATTGCTTCTGAGTCCAGGAATTTGAGGCTGCAGTGAGCCATGGTTGTGCCACTGCACCCCAGCTTGGGTGACAGAGCAAAACCTTTTCTCTAAAAAACATAAAAATAAAATAATGAAATAAAATAATTTTTTTTGTGGAGATGGGGTCTCATTATGTTGTCCAGGTTGGTTTTAAACTCCTGGCCTCAAGTGATCCTCTTTTCTCAGCCTCCCAAAATGTTGGAATTATAAATATGAACCACCGTGGCTTCCAAATCTGTTTTTAAGAGCTTCCCGGGGCATCTGAAACAAGATGCAGAGCTAGGGGCCATCATAGAAAAGAATGAGAACTTTCTTATATATAAATGAAAAAATCATTACGAAAAACAATTAGTTAAAACACAAACCATAAAACTGCAAAGACAATTTGTAACATAAATGCCAGAGGGATTTTTTTTTTGCTTTTTTTGCTTTACAAAAGATTGAAATAAATACAAGAACAATTTGATACGAAAATTGGAAAAGGATGTAATTCAGCAGTTTGCAGAAATCAAAATAATAAGAATCAAAGTATACAAAAGAATGTTTAATCATTTTATGATTAAAGAAATCTAAGACCTGTGCAGTGTCTCACACCTGTAATCCCAGCACTTTGGGAGGCCGAAGCGCCCGTATCTGAGCCCAGGAATTCAAGACCAGCATGGGCAATGTGGCAAAACCTCATTTCTAAAAAAAAAAAAAAAAAGAAAGTACAAAAATTAGCCGGGCATGGTAGCACACACCTGTGTTCCCAGCTACTTGGGATGCTGAGGTGAGAGGATCACTTGAGCCTGGGAGGTTGAGGTTGTAGTCAGCTGTAATTGCACCACTGCACTCCAGCCTGGGTGACAGAGTGAGACCCTGTCTCATGAAAGAAAGAGAGAGACAGAGAGGGGGTGGGGAGAGAGAGAGAGAGAGAGAGAGAGAGAAAGAAAGAAAAGAAAGAAAGAAGAAAGAAAGAAAGAAAGAAGAAAGAAAGAAAGAAAGAAAGAAAGAAAGAAAGAAAGAAAGAAAGAAAAAAGAAAAAGAAAGAAAGGAAACAAAATTACGCTTCTGTTTTTTCCCTAACATATTGTTTGTAATGATTAAGCATTGCAGAGGGCATTGAGTAGTTACTTTCTTACTCTTCTGATATGAGTTCAAATGGGCGAATAGACATCAGTTAGGCAATATCTGTCAAAATGTAAAATGCACATGCTGGCTGGGCAAGGTGGCTCACACCTGTAATCCCAGCACTTTGGGAGGCCGAGGCGGATGGATCATCTGAGGTCGGGAGTTCGAGACCAGCCTGACCAACCTGGAGAAACCCCATCTCTACTAAAAATACAAAATCAGCCAGGCGTGGTGGCGCATGCCTATAATCCCAGCTATTCGGGAGGCTGAGGCAGGAGAATCTCTTGAACCCTGGAGGCGGAGGTTGCGGTGAGCCAAGATTTCGCCATTGCACTTCAGCCTGGGCAACAAGAGCAAAATTCCGTCTCAACAACAACAACAAGAAAAAAAAATGCACATGCTGTTTGACCTAGCAGTTCCCCTGGTCAACATTTATTCACCTGAAGGATCTACTCACAAGAGAATGGAAAGGTTATACACCCAAGGACATTCACAGCAGCATATTTTTGATAACAAAAAGTGTAAATGACATAAGTGTCCATTAGTCAGGATGCATTAAGTAACCGAAGATCCAGCTATAGAAAGGAATACCAGAAATCAGTGAAAAAGGTAAGGGGCAGGAAGTGATCCCTGTGATAAATAAAAAAAATACTTATGCAACAAGAATGTATTGAGTGACTCTTAGGTATTTGGTACCCCTCTAGTTACTCAGGATCAAGAAGTGAATCACAGTCTGGGCACGGTGGCTCACACCTGTAATCCCAGCACTTTGTGGGACTGAGGCGGGCAGATCACAAGGTCAGGAGATGGAGACCATCCTGGCTAACATGGTGAAACCCCGTCTCTACTAAAAATACAAAAAATTAGCCGGGTGTGGTGGTGGGCGCCTGTAGTCCCAGCTACTCGAGGCAGGAGAATCACTTAAACCCGGGAGGCACAGGTAGCAGTGAGCTGAGATCACACCACTGCACTCTAGCCTGGGTGACAGAGCGAGACTGCATCTCAAAAAGCAACCAAAATAAAACGGTTTGTGTTTTGACTAATTTTTTTACATTCCCTTATGGGAATGTAAGTGTGTGATGCACACAGACCAAGTCCATGGAACTGATTGGCCACTAGAGGAGACTAGGTAATAAATAAGTAGACAATACACTTCCTGTGTTAAGTAGTGGTAAGTGCTATGAAGAAAGTAGAAATTAGAACAGTGTAAGGTGAAGGCCAGCTGGGGAGGTAACTCTAAAACAGGATGGTTCAAGAAGGTCTCTCTGATGAGGTGACATTTGAGCAGAAACCTGAAAAAACTGAGGGAGTGAGCCAAGATGCCACATCTGTGGGAAGAGTGTCCCAGGCAGATGGAAAGGCAAGTGCAAAGGCTCTCAGCAGAACTGGCTGGATTTGTTGAAGAAATACCTCTAAGGTCAGGTAGCTGGAAAGCTGTAAGTGATGGGGATGGTGGGAGGGGATGAGAGCAGAGAGCCTGGACCAGATCAGAGGCAAAGAAATGTTGGAGAGAGGGCCAGGCGCGGTGGCTCATGCCTGTAATCCCAGCACTTTGGGAGGTCAAGGTGGGTGGATCACCCGAGGTCAGGAGTTCAAGACCACCCTGGCCAACATGGCGAAACCCCATCGCTACTAAAAATACAAAAATTAGCTGGGCCTGGTGGCCTGCGCCTGTAAACTGGCTACTCGGGAGGCTGAGGCAGGAGGATTGTTTGAATCCAGGAGGCAGAGGTTGCAGTGAGCTGAGATTATATCGCTGCACTCCAGCATGGACCACAGAGCGAGACTCCATCTCAAAAAAAAAAAAAAAAAGATGGAGGGAGAACAAACCTGTTTTCTGGAACAATAAATAGGAAGCTTTCAATAATTTACATGTAGTGAGATGGGTTCTAGCATAGGGGTGAAAGAGGCCTATTTTTCACTTCTTTATACTTTGCTGCTGTGTTTGCATTTCCTTGCTACATAGAGGTACTGTCATTACTTATGGTTATACTAATGTAAAAGATGTTATCAGGGTAGAGGGATTATGGGCATATTTTGTTTGCATTAGACAAACAAATGAAACTGCCTCTTGGTGTGATTTCCATGCACAGCTGGCGTTGGGAACCACAGACCCCAAGGCATCCTGACCAGACCCTCCCAGGCTCATGGCAAAGCTGAACTGGGCTATGCCCTGTCGTGAGGCACTCAACCCACTCTCCTGGGTTTTCAAACATTCCTGGGAACGTAAGTGTGTGGAAATGTAACAATTCCAAGAATAACCTTGAATCCATTCAGTGACTTTGGGAGTTTATCACTAATGTGAGTAACAAACTCCTCGCTGGATCGCCCCGGGCCCAGTACAGGCAGGGGCTCAGGGAAGCTCTGCCTTGGATTGCATGGAACTGGCTTTCCCACTGGCCCATCAGGTCCTGCCTGCGGTAAGCAATGGGCAGGCCCGGTCTTGAGGGTCAGAAGCCCTCTGGCTTGGTCTTCCAGCCTTAATTTCTAGCCTGGACTATCAGCCCATCTTGGAGCCTCGGCTTGCTTCACAATTGCAGCCCTGAGTTAAGACAAGTAAGGGTGCATCTGGAACTACATTTGTTGCTTTGTTTCCTACATCTCCCAACTTCTACAAACATAACCAAGGAGGCCTCGGTTGAGGCCTCTTGTACGTGTCTCAGATCAACTCAGACCCGAGTGATAGGACTCATCTGCTGGGAGCGTGGAGCTGAGCTTTTCCAGAAAAATGGCATCTTTCTTATCACCAAAAATGATGCCTGCATTTAGATCCTAGAGCCATTTGGAGATCCCCACCTAGAGAGGCCAGCAGAGGCCTTGGCCACCAGCAGAAGCCCCGGCCACCAGCAGAAGCCCCAGAGAGCAAGACCTACTCTGGAATCTGTGTGCATTCCCCACCTGCTTCAAGGGAGGATCTCCAAGCACATTATACATATTAATTTAAAAACGTAGCATCCCGAGGGGCTGGTGTAATTATCACCGTTCAACTGATAGGAAAGGGAAGGTTTGCTGGGCTTGGTGAGGAGAAGGCCACAGACAGCTGAACAAAGGCCTGTGGGAGGCAGTAACAAGCAGCTACCGCTGGGGCTGATCTGGGCTGCACCGGCGCTGAGCCTTTAGCATGCATTGTGAGTAGCATTATTATCTACATTTTGCAGACGGCAGAAACCAAGATCCAGAGTTTCTGGACTAGAAAGTGATATGGCTGGGTACAGTGGCTCATGCCTATAATCCCAGCACTTTGAGAGGTTGAGGCGGGCAGATCACTTGAGGTCAGGAGTTCCAGACCAACCTGGCCAGCATGGTGAAAAACCATCTCTACTAAAAAAATACAAAAATTACCTGGGCGTGGTGGCAGGCACCTGTAATCCCAGCTACTCCGGAGGGTGAAGCAGGAGAATCGCTTGAACCTGGGGGGCAGAGGTTGCAGTGAGCTGAGACTGTACCACTGCATTCCAGCCTGGGTGACAGAGTGAGACTCTGTTACAAAAAAAAAAAAAAAAAGAAAAGAAAAGAAAAGGAAAGAAAGAAAGAGAGAGATAGAGCAGGGACTTGAACCCAGGTATTTGGGATTCCAAGTCCCACGGTATTTCCACCGCCCCTGTGCTGTACCTCGGTAATTATTCTTTATAGCTGCATAGTACTTTATAGTTTACAAAGCATTTAAACATGCATTATCTTATTCATTCCTCACAATAACTCAGCTAGGGAAGGAAGGGCAGATGTTTAAATTAAATAAAATTAGCTCCATTTTATAGATGATAAAATGGAGGCTCAGAGAGGGGACGATAACGTGCCTAAGTTCTTATAATAGCAATAATAACTCATACCTATATAATGAATTATAGCTTACAAAATGCTTTCTGGTTTTAGACATTACAATAGCTCCAAGAGATAAGTAGTCTTGGTGCTATGATTAATGCTAGTAGTAGTATTCTTAGTATTCCTATATTACGGATGAATAAACTGAAATTCAGAAAAGTTAAGGAAGAAGATGAAAAGTAAGTATTGGTATGTCAGACACAGAGCTAGGTGCTCTGGTTATTCTATCTCACTGAATTCTTTGAAAAGCCCTCGAGAAAATATTTGCAGAGGCTTTTCATTCATTCATTCATTCACTCATTCAGTAAATGTTTGCAGAGTGCCTACTGTGGATCTGATACTGTTCTAGGCACAAGGAATACAGCAGTGAAGAAAACAAATCCGTGTCTTCACTGAGCATATATTCTTTTGGTATGGATGGAACAGACCATAAATAAACAAGTAAATATATACTATACCAGATAGCACTAAACTCAAAGAAGAAAAGTAAAGTAAGGTAAGGCAGCAGAGACAGAAGTGGGAGGCGCTGGTTTTGACTGAGTGGTCAGGGAAGGTCCCCTTGATATCGTGACATTAAGAAGAGACCTGAATAAAGTGAACAGAGAAAGGTTTAGGCTGGGTCTCAGTAAGAGCTAATATGCTTTAGTGGGAAGCAACAGAGACACACCAGTGTAATAAAAACCCTAGTTAAAGCAGCTACTGTGTCTTGAGGGTTTAAAATATGCCAGAATTTTACAGTGTACTGCTGGGCGCGGTGGCTCACGCCTGTAATCCCAGCACTTTGGGAGGCCAAGGTGGGTGGATCACTTGAGGTCAGGAGTTGGAGACCAGCCTGGCCAACATGGCAAAACCCCATCTCTACTAAAAATACAAAAATTAGCTGGGCATGATGGCACACACAACTGTAATCCCAGCTACTTTGGAGGCTGAGGCAGGAGAATCACTTGAACCCAGGGGCAGGGTGGAGGTTGCAGTGAGCTGAGATCAAGCCACTGCACCCCAGCCTGGGCAAAAGAGCAAGACTCTGTCTCAAAAAAAAAAAAAAAAAAAAAGAATTTTACAGTGTTCTTTCATTGAATCCCTACAACCGTGGAAAATGAGTGTTGGGGGAAATTGAGGCTGAAAGATTAAGTGGCCAGTTCACCATCTTACCGCGAATGAGTTGCAGATTTAAGATTTGAACCTGTCCTTGTCTGACCCCAAGGTCCCACCCCTGACCATCCCAGGTCCTCTGTGGGAAGGCCTGGAATGAAGCACACAGTGACTTTGATTGCATCCAGGCTAGAAGGAGCCACGGCAGGAGTGATGGGAAGGGCAGCTGGCCCTGTGAGCAGAACACAGCCTGAGGGGCCTGGAAGGCCGTGGTCCACTGCATGGAGAGGGAGGGGCTGGATCCAGGAGGGCTCCTGGTCCCTGGAGGGCTGGGGGAGACACTTCCTGACATTGGGAGGTGAGGGCAGGGCAGCTTCTTCTTTGGCAATCCACCTGTGAAAGAATCTCATCTAATGTAGAAGTTCTTAAACTGGGGGTCCACGGACTACTTTGGGGGCAGAGAGAGAGAATATCTGTGAGGTTCCATGGGAAAACATAACATTTTTATTTTTGTTATCCTCTAACTAAAATGTTTCATTTCCTTTCATTATGAATGTTGCCAGCAACCCACAGTAGCATGACCAGTAACTGCAATTTTACCACCAGTAGACACCATGTGTTTTCATGCCGCCTGACAGTTCTTACAGACATCTTTTTTTTTTTCTTTTGAGACAGAGTTTCACTCTTATTGCCCAGGCTGGAGTGCAATGGCACAATCTCGGCTCACTGCAACCTCTGCCTTCTGGGTTCAAGCGATTCTCCTGCCTCAGCCTCCGGAGTAGCTGGGTTTACAGGCATGTGCCACCATGCCTGGCTAATTTTGTATTTTTTTTTTTTTTTTGGAGAGATGGGGTTTCGCCATGTTGGCCAGACTGGTCTTGAACTCCCGACCTCAGATGATTCGCCCGCTTCGGCCTCCCAAAGTGCTGGGGTTACATGTGTGAGCCACTGCACCCGGCCTTTTACAGATATCTTGAAATATTGTTTCTATTTATCATTACTTCAAAATTAAGGAAGTAATTGGCTCAGCACCATATCTTGTTTTTGTTTTTGTTTTTTTGAGACAGTGGTCTCACTGTGTCGCCCAGGCTGGAGTGCAGTGTTATGATCTTGGCACACCATAACCTCTGCCTTCCAGGCTCAAGCGAGCCTCCCACCTCAGCCTCCTGAGCAGCTGGGACCACAGGTAAGTGCCACAGCACTCGGTTAATTTTTTTGTATTTTTAATAGAAACGGGGTTTAGCCATGTTGCTCGGGCTGGTCTTGAACTCCTGTGCTCAGGCAATCCACCCACCTCGGCCTTCCAAAGTGCTGGGATTACAGGGGTGAGCCACTGCGCCTGCCTTCAGATCTTGTTGATTGATACATTAACAAAGAAGTTCCTGTATTAGCTTATGGCAACATTTTGATAACTGTACTTAAATATAATCGGGCACCTTTGTTATTTGATTTCATGCATTTTTAAATATTCTGAGAAGTCCACCATTTCAGCAGACTGCCAAATAGACCCACTTCACCAAAACACTTTAGAATGCAAGAGTGAGACCCATCTGTTTCTTTTGCATCTTTTACCTTTAATTCTCTGCTCTGGTTAGCTAAGAGGCAGTAGTGACTCTGGCGTGGAGGCTCTTGCAGGCTGGGGTCTTGTCTTATGCAACTCTTTGGCTTCAGGGTTCGTGGACAGAGCTCAGGAATGTTAGTTTAATTTGAATTTGATGTCGACATTCAAAAACTAAGAGTTTGCACACATATCTGGATTTCTGGCTTCTCTAATAGAATCAGAAGCTCTGACGGCTCTAGGGTCGGCCTCTCCCCTCCCTGTGGTGCAATTTCAAGAGTCAAGTAGGGGCCGCCACTGGGGACAGAGCACCAGGGCTCTGCCAGCTCACCAGGGCTCCTCGCACCCCGCTTCAGATGTACATTCCCTGGTGACTCCCAAAGCATTCAAGTTATTGATCCTCAGGAGGGAGGGGACAGGTATGACTTCAGGATACCCCAAAGTCACGCTCCAACTCCAGGGACAGTCTGAACAGCACGTGGTGATTCCCCGAGCTGTTCTTAAGGAAAGAACTTCTGAACACAGAAGCTTTGACGAGGCCCAACTGACCTGTCAGAACGCAGGGAAGTCGGGAGCCACAGACAGCTCTGGGCTCCGTGCTCCTAGTCTTGCTTCTGGCTTCACCGCACTCCTTTACTCAAAACCTTCCGGTTGCTTCTGTTTGCACTGAGAATAAAACCCAGGCCCTGGAGAGCTTGCGGGGTGCCTGGCCCCTCACTCCCTGCCCTCTAGCCATGGGTCCTCTTTCAGCTTCTGGATGTCGAGTCTGTTCTCACCTCCTAAGTACATAGACTCATGTACTGTTGACTTTGCTTGGCTGGCCCTTTGCCAGTGCTCTCCTTCCTACCATTCAGGACAAACGTCACCTCCTGGGGTGGAGGGTTCCCTGACATCTCTCTCCAAAGTTATGCCTCTTTCTTCTACCGAGACACTTTCTCTCTTGCTACCCTGCTTTCCTCTCCTCGAAGTCCTTAACATTGTCCAAAAATCATGTTCATAAATAACTTACTCTAGGTCTCCCTCCTACAATGCATAGTTCTCGTGGGCGAGGTCCCTTTTGCCTAGACACTGCTGTTCCATAAATACCGCTGGACAAACAGGTAACCCATGGGTGGCTCTCTGCCATCCTGGCCCTGCATCTCATCTCTCTCTCTCTTTCTCTCTCTCTCCCCCCTCTCTCCATCTCTCAACCCAGGGGTCAGGGTCAGTCCCAGGGACTGGGTAAAGATGACACTTTGCTAAATTTTAAAAAGCTGATTTTTTTTTTTTTTTAAAAAAGCATTGTCAAAATATTCTCACGGCCAAACGCTGTTGCCTGCTGCTGCCTTCCCGTAGGTTATTGAAAAAAAAAATCACATAACTTTCCTGCCATTTCCTCACGCACATCACAGGGATAAATAATATTTACCTCCTGGGACTGTTTGTAGGGATGAAATGCGACAATGACTTGCCTAGGAAGTTCCCCATCAGCAGCACACAGTAGGTGCTTGAGTAAATAAACCGAACCCCTCCCCATTCCCTGCCCCAGCCCCCGACACCCCCCTTTAAGTCAGAGCTGGAAGAAAGAGCGTCAATCACGGGATAATTTATGCAGCATGATATGCCTTTATTATTCCACGCTGAGTCGGGGCTCCTACTGTCCAATGAAGGTCAAAAGGAGGTATGGCTTTTATCTCTCCAGCAACTCTGGAAACACAGGGGGGAGGGGGCAGGCTCACAGAGGCTTCCTCCTGAAAACAAACAGATCCTCGCCCCAGCCCTGAATAGCTTTCCTCAATCAAAGCTGTAAACGTCTCAAAGCAGCAGGACTTCGCCCTGAGACTTGAGGGGGCTAATAAAGCGTTGAATGGAGAGAGTGACCCCTAACTGGCAGAGGGGTCCCCGCTGGGCTCGGGGCCCGCGCCTGCTGCCTCGTGGAGAATCCAAAGGTCACGTGTCATTAGTCAGTGTCTTACAGCGACCCTTTCAAAATTATCGATAAAGGGGAAGGAGGCCCTTTCTGTTTCGAAACCCGAAACAGTTTTCTTCTTCTCTCTTTTCTTTCTTTTTTTCACTGTTGGAAGAACTACACAGCCCCATCTTTTTCTTGTTTTCTTTCAGAGGCAAAGAGAAGTGGTTTGAAATCAGGAGTTTCATGCCTTGGGAGAAATAAAGGTTGGGACCAGACTCTTTTCCTTTTGATGCAGTTTCTCTGCGAAGCCCTGGCTCTGAGAAGTTACTGGGTTTGCGTTCCCATGAAAACGCGTCTTGTTTCGTTCTTGTCCTAAAATCCTTTTTCAACAGATCCAAATTCTTCTGAGGCCCGTCTCGCCTTTCTTCTAACCTCTCCCTAGTTTGATCAAAGGCCTGGGATGTCTGTAAAGGCATGAGGAGGGCGTGGCAACTGTGAACTATCAGCAATTGCTTCCTCTCGTGTGACTCAGTTTCCTCGTCTGCACAGGAGGACACGCAGAGTCCGGGGCCCAGAGAGAAGTGACCCTAATGACCTCATTAGGCTCTGAGGAGCACTTTAAGGAGATCATCAGCCATGCACCTAATGGACAGGGTGACAATGATCTTATTTCCTTTATTATTTACTTAGCCCCAGCAGTTTACAGCTGAGGCCAGCATGTGGTTGTGGTCGCGTTAATCTTTAACCCATTAGCCACGGATTGATTCGATGACATTGCTGGGTTTATAGGTAGTCATTATATTGATCTTTATTTGCTGTACATTTTGTGAAGTAATTAAGGGCCACATCATTCCCCTTCTGAAAATGCCTATTGGGAAGACAAATCTTGATGCATTGGGGTGTGTGTGTGTGTGTGTGTGTGTGTGTGTGTGTGTGTGCGTTGTGTGCGTGTGTGTTTATTAAATTCCTCACTTTGCAGAAAAGGTAGAAATCACCTGTGGTCAAAGTTACTCTGAAAACTGCTGAAATCCTCCATGAAGTGCTGTATCTGTAGCTGTGTAAATATCACTGTATCACTTCCATGGTGAAAACGCTCATCAGCAGCAGGAACACGTTCCTATTGCTCTGGACATCAGATGAAGTACTTGCTTGGTATGATGTGAACACATGAAGTGAATTTTTTTTTATCTTTAAACACTAGGATTGTGCTTCTCAGGGCAGGATGCTCAGAGGTGCCCCACCCTATTTAAATCTCTCTTGTTAAAATAAAATGTGATTAAATCGAATGCCCTTGTCATGTGACCCCCACAGACACAGTTTTTCTTGTGCCATCTGTTAAGTGTTATGTTAACTCCAAATAAATTAATACTCCCACATCTCACTTGTCTCCTTGGAGGGGAACAGCACGTGTGTGGGGAGGAATATGCCACAGATAGCCACGTAGTTTTATAAAGCAATGACGATGACATTGAACTTCTGAAGCCACAAAACAGTGTCCCGGACTAGGAGGATGAGGGGCCTCCCTGGCATGGGCAGGCAGCTGCCTGGTAGAGAGCTCAAGGCAGGACCTCTGGGGCTGTTGCCTCTCCCTCCAACAGAGGGGTTCCTGGAGAGGAGAAGAGGGCTGTGTTATTTCTGTGGCCCTAGTCAACATCAGGCAGGATCTAGTAAAGAGCAGGTATCCATGAACGTTTGCTGGATGAGGAAACACTAAAAAGGGATCTCAGCCTGAAGTTTATAAAAGGAGAGGGTGGGCCGGGCATGCTGGCTTATGCCTATAATCCCAGCACTTTGGGAGGCCGAGGCGGGTGGATCACGAGGTCAGGAGTTTGAGACCACCCTGGCCAACATGGTGAAACCCCGTCTCTACTAAAAATACAAAAATTAGCTGGGTGTGGTGGTAGGTGCTTGTAATCCCAGCTACTTGGGAGGCTGAGGCAGGAGAATCACTTGAATCTGGGAAGCGGAGGGTGCAGTGAGCCAAAGTCACGTCATTGCACTCCAGCCTAGGTGACAGAGTGAGACTCCATCTCAAAAATAAATAAATAAAAATATAAATAAATAAATAAATAAAATAAAATAAAAGGAGAGGGTGGGGTGCTTGAGAAGGAGAGTGTCTAGGGTGTGTCTTGTTTTCTGTCCTGCGTCAGTCTGTCCCTGACAATGTGGTCATCATCTCAGATGGTCACAATAATAACATATGATACTTCAATATCTTACCTTTCTCTATTCAACTATGCTGGAAAATAAATACAATTATTCATTCATTTATTTTTATTTTCTTAAATCACAAAACAAGGGGATGAGGGTGGGCAAGGAGGAGTTGGGAGGCAGAGCTGGGAGAGCCAGGAATTAGTTGGAGAAAAAGATGGGGGGATGGAACTGTGAAGGGTCAGGTTTTTATGTGAAAGAAAGAACAGATAATGAAGCTGAGCTTATTTTGAAAACAAACAGTCCAAGGTCAAAAGCTGTGCGTTTCCAGGACTCCCTGAGCAGGATCTCACTCTTGGCTGTTTCCCAACCCACTCGGATCGCTTCCCTTCTTTCGATTCCTGCCGCTTGCCCCAGCCTGGTCTATTGCAGGAGGCTGCAGGATCCTGCAGGGCGAGGAGGCTGACCCATTCATCTCCAGTTCCTCCTGCCCCAATCAGGGCCTGGCCAGAGCAGCCAGCTGGTCACTCAGTGACTCAGTGTTTAGAGGACGACATCCCTCTAAGCTGTGACCAGGCTTTTTGCTCACAAGCATTTAGGAGCCTACCAGGTCCTCGCCCCTTTGTGTTTTCTGGTTGTCCCCAGAGAATCCCGAAAGCGAGGTGCCTACCCAAACTGTGGAGACCCAGTTTTTGTCCTACCCTTCCTGGACTTCTGCCTTGAGAAATGGAGCCCTATGGGGGACTGTCCTTCTGAGAAACAAGCCCCTGGTTTCCTGATGCCTCAGCTTCCCCACCTATAAAATGGGCTTTATGAGACTTCCTACCTCATAGAGTTGTTTTAAGGCTTAAATAATGGATACCCGAAAAGTGCTTAGAAGAGTGCCTGGCACATAATTAGTTGCTATTGTTACTATTATTGTTGTTATTGCTGATTTTAGTCTGTTTTAAATTATTGCTTTATGTTTTATTTTATTTCATTTACGATGATTTTTTTTTTTTTTTGAGATGGAGTCTCCCTCTGTCGCCCAGGCTGGAGTGCAGTGGCGCAATCTCGTCCCACTGCAACCTCTGCCTCCCAGGTTCAAGCAGTTCTCCAGCCTCAGCCTCCCAAGTAGCTGGGGTTATTTTTGTATTTTTAGTAGAGACAGGGTTTCACCATACTGGTCAGTCTGGTCTTGAACTCCTGACCTCAGGTGATCCACCCTCCTCCGCCTTCCAAAGTGCTGGGATTATAGGCATGAGCCACCACGCCCAGCCGTACGACTGCTTCTTATTTCGTTTCTTATAGATGAATATAGTTTTGCTATATTTGCTGCTGGCTTTGATTCTATGTATTATTTTTATTATTGATAATTAGCTATTACCATGATGCTTCTCAATGATTTTGTTTAAGCAGGCTAGATTATTTTCTGCCCCGTCTGAGTCTGTTTCTGACAATGTGGTCATCATGTTAGATGGTCACAATAATAACATATGATGCTTCCATAGATAAGCCTTCCCTATTCATCTCTGCTGGAGAAGTTATACAATTATTCATACATTATTTTTATTTTTTCTTAAATCACAAGGGGCATCAAAATGCAACATGTCTCCTTTGGCTCGACTTGGACTCTAAGAGAACACAGTTGCTAAGGCTGGGAGGGCAGGTTCAGAACCAAAGGAGGCTGGGGGAGCATCTGGACCCAGTAATATAGGCTCAGTGCGAGCCTCAGTGCCTGTGACTGGGGGATAACAAACAGCGCATGCTCAGCATCGAGATGGCTAGGAGCGGCTTCGGGTTCCAGCATCAGCCCTTTCATTTGCCAGCTGTGAGACTCTGGGGATATCACTTCACCTCTCTGAGCCTCAGCTTCTTCCTGTGTAAAATGTGGCTTGTCATGAGGAATAAATGGGACACTGCCGAGTCCTTAGTATCAAATGATTCACAAATGTTAGCCTCAGTTTCTTCATCAATAAAACGGACGTGGTGACCCTCCGTGCCTGGATTCCAGGAGGATTTCGGGGTATGTGGTGTGGGTAAAGTGCCCAGCATTTGGTTAGTGCTGCATACCTGTTGATTTCTTCCCATTCGTTCATCCTTGAATTCCAGAGAGCCCCTGTGAAAGGGGAAATAGAAAGCGTGTCCCTGCCCATTTCAGGGACTTACTCTTCCAGGGAGCCCTGAAATAGTAGCCCGGCCGACGGAGCAATGAAGTGAGCCGACAAATGGGTGCCTGTCCCCGCAGGAACAGAGATGACAGCACGATTCTTTTTTTAAGTTTTCCCTTGGGGACTGACATTTTATTAGCACAGAGATCAATAATGCCAGATAAGAGACCTCTGATTTTACATCTGGGGCTCCCGGAACGATGTCTGGGAGAGAAAACATGACGTTTCTTGCAGAGGCGAATCCCAGCCCGGGAGGAGGGAGGCCGCTGGGATGTGCCGCCGGCGGCTTTTGGGCTCGGTGGGAAGCAAGTTTTGGCAACGGCAATGCTAATTGATTAAATGTTCTCATCAGAGACTACGGTGCCGAGAGTGATCACATTTTTATTTCTTTCGGGAGGGTAGGGCATCCCTTCCTTTAATATCTCTATTTATCCATGTATTTTCTATCCATAAGTACAAGAAGCCCCTATAAGTTACTCCTAGACCCTGAGGCTCAGTCTTCGTTCCTCTTAAATAACAGGTTTACTACAAACGATCTTGTGCAATTGCCCTTGGTTTTCTGGGTCTGATTGGAAACAAAATTTGCAGCTGGACAGAGTGTTGGGCTTTGAAGTTGTGGCACTGAGTCCTGGCTCTGCTGTTTACTGGGTATACGGATTTGGGCAGCGCATTTGCACTCTCTGGGCCTCACTTTTCTCATCTGTAAAATAGAAAGTTAAATATATCGATATTGTAAAAAAATACACACATATATATTTTCACCTGTGCAGGAGCAGGTGAAAAAAAAAAGCAAAACCCATAAGCTTTTCTTAAAAAACAAAACAAAAAACAATAGAAACCTTTGTCAAAAGACCCTGTTAAGAAAATAAAAAGGCAGCTAGAGACTGAAAGAAAATATTCACAATGTGTACATTTGACACAGGATTTGCAATCAGAATTGAAAAAAAAAAAAAACCTCTTCAACTCAATAATAAGAAAGCAAACAACCCAGTTAACAAATGAGCAGATTTGGTCACTTCACTAAAGAAGTTATGCAAATGTGCAAATGGCCAATAAGCACATGAAAAGATACTCAACCTGATTAGTCACTGTCATTTGCAAATTAAAACCACAATGAGATACCACTATACAGTAATAAGAATGGCTAAAATCAAAAAGACTGCCAACATCTATGTTGGCCCAGACATGAAGCAACCAGAGCTCACACCTGCCAATATGAAATGTAAAATGTACAACCACTTAGAAAAACAGTTTGGCAGTTTTTAATACTAAAATTAAATGTGTACTTATTAAGTGACCTAGCAATCCTACTCTTAGGTATTTACTCAAGAAAAAGAAAAATAAAAACTTCTACAAGAATATTGACAGCAGTTTTATAGCTGTTATATACAGCTATATATATACAATATACAAGTTATATTGACAGCAGTCATAATAGCTCCAAATTGGAAAGAATGCAGATGTCTAAATGAATAAATTATGGTATACTCACAGAATGGGATCGTACTCAGTAATAAAAAATAATAAAGTAGCCAGTGGGGCGTGGTGACTCACACCTGTAATCCCAGAACTTTGGGAGGCCCAGGCAGGCCGATCACCTGAGGTCAGGAGTTCGAGACCAGCTTGGCCAACATGGTGAAACCCTGTTCCTACTAAAAATACAAAAATTAGCCGGGGGTGGTGGCGCATGCCTGTAATCCCAGCTACTCGGGAGGCTGAGGTAGGAGAATTGCTTGAACCCGGAGGCAGAGGTTGCAGTGAGCCGAGATTGCGCCACTGCACTCCAGCCTGGGTGACGGAGCGAGACTCCGTCTCAAAAAAAAAATAATAATAATAAAGTAGCAGTAATAAAAAAGAATAAGGTAGAGGAAAAATGAATCTCAAAAACATGATGATGAGCAAATAAATGCCACACATACAAGACATACTGTGTGATTTTATTTATGTGAAGTTCTGTTACAGGCAAAATGAATGTATGGTGAAAAAATGAGACCGGTGGTTATCTCTTGGGGAGTGGTTTGAAAAGAACCTAAGGGAACTTTCTACAATGTTGATTACTATGTTTGTCTGGGTGATGGTCTCTTCATTTTTTTGTGTGTACAAATTCACTGAGCTATATACTTAAGAATTGTACATTTTATGTGCATGAATTATACCTCAATAAAATGATGTTAAAAACATTATCAGGCACATTATCCTCATGACTGAAAATGGGGAAGCAGGACAATTATTTTCCAACTGAAGCTACCTGCTCAGGAACTCATCTTTCTCAAACTGACCACGAGCAAAGCCAGTTCCATCTTATTCAAAAACATGCTTTTTTTTTTTTTCTTGAGATGGAGTGTCGCTGTGTCGCCTAGGCTGGAGTGTAGAGGCGCGATCTCAGCTCACTGCAACCTCAGCCTCCTGGGCTCAAGTGATTCTCCTGCCTCAGCCACCCGAGTAGCTGGTATTACAGGCGCCTATAATTTTGTATTTTTAGTAGAGACTGGGTTTCACCATGTTGGCCAAGCTGGTCTCCAACTCCTGACCTCAGGTGATACTCCTGCATCAGCCTCCCAAAGTGCTGAGATTACAAGAGTGAGCCACAGCGTCCGGCCAAAACATGCATGTTTTCAACCAGAATGGCTACAATGAAAAAGACAGATGACAATGGGGAGCGACTGGAACTCTCTCGTATCACTGGGGGACTGTGAATTGGTGAAACTGTCCTGGATCTGGAAAACTGTTTGACAGTATCTACTAACACTAAACACTTGGGTAGCTTATGACAGACAATCCCATTTCTGGATATATATCCAGGAAAGCTGAGTCCGTATAACCACCAAAGACATAGACAACAATTTTGTTTTTTGTATTTTAAAAGCAACTTTATGGAGATTTAATTCACACATAATACAATTCACCCAGTTAAAGTATACCATTAGGCTTTTAATATATTTACAGAGTTGTGAAGCTATCACCATAATCGATTTTAGAACATTTTTATAACCCCCAAAAGAAATCCTTTACCCATAAGCCGTCATTCTCCATTCCCTCATACCCAACCCTGCCTCAGCCCTAAGCAATCACTAATCGACTTTCTGTCTCCTCAGCTTTGCCCAATCTGGACTTTCCATATATATATATATATATATATATATATATATGGAACTGTACAGTAGGTAGTCTTTTGGGACTGGCTTCTTTCACCTTGCATAATGTTTTCAAGGTTTATCCATATTTCAGCATGTTTGACTCCTACCCTCCTTCTTATTGCTGAATAATATGTCATTTGCATGTATATACCACATTTAATTTATTCCTTCATCAGTGGATGGCCATCTGGTTTGTTTCTACTTTTTAAAAAAAAAAAAAACTTTTTATTTTATTGTTAAATATAGACACAGTGTTGTATAGCAGATCTCTAGAACCTATCCATTTTTCATAACTGAAATTTTATACTCACTGAATTGCAGCCTCCCTCCAGCTTCTGGCAACCCCCATTCTACTCTGTTTCCCTGAGTCTATTTTAGATACCTCAGGTAAGTGGAATCTGCTGTATTTGTCATTCTATTATGACTGGCTTACCTCACTGAATGTTCTCCAGGTTTGTCTGTGTCGTTGCAGAAGGCAGGATTTCCTTCCTTTTTTAAGGCTGAATAATATTCCACTGAATAACTGAGAATGTTGAAATCAGCACCCTCCTTAATAGTTCTGAACTTGAAATGAGCCCCATGAAACTTGCAGTAGAATGCCTAAATAAATTGTTGTATAATTCATACATTGAAATACTATACAGTAATGGGAGCAAACAAAATCCAACATGTAACAACATAATATTGAGCAAAATAAAAAAAAAAAGAGTACACAGTGCGCGATCCTATTCATTAAAGTTAAAAAAACAGGCAAAACTAACCTATGGTGAAATAAATCAGCACATGATTGCTTTTTGTGTGGGAAGGACAGGAATTGACTGAGAAGGGGCACAAAGGATCATTCTGGGGTCATGGAAACGTGGAAGTGTTCTATACCTTGATGATATTGCTGCTTCCACTGCTGTACACATTTATCAAAAGTCATCAAACTTTACCCTTAAAATGAGTTCATTTTATTGTATGTAATGTATACCAGTATAAAATTTATTTTTAAAATATCAATCTTGGAGGTCAATTGGAAGCTAACTGGCACATAATAGCCTTTTTTCTTTTTTCTTTTTTTTGAGATGGACTCTTGCTCTGTCGCCCAGGCTGGAGTGCAGTGGCACGATCTCGGGCTCACTGCAACCTCTGCCTCCTGGGTTCAAGCGATTCTCCTGTCTCAGCCTCCTGAGTAGCTGGAACTACAGGCGCACACCACCACGCCTGGCTAATGTTTTTTGTATTTTTAGTAGAGACGGGGTTTCACGGTGTTAGCCAGGATGGTCTCAATCTCCTGACTTCATGATCTGCCCACCTCGGCTTCCCAAAGTGCTGGGATTACAGGCATGAGCCACTGCGCCTGGCCGTTATAATAGCATTTTTTTTTTTTTTTTTTTTTGGAGACCGAGTCTCACTCTGTCACCCAAGCTGGAGTGCAGTGGCGCGACCCTGGCTCACTGCAAACTCCGCCTCCCGGGTTCAAGCGATTCTCTTGCCTCAGCCTCCTGAGTAGCTGGGATTACAGGCGCGCGCCTCCATGCCCAGCTAATTTTGTATACTTAGTAGAGACGGGGTTTCACCCTGTTAGCCAGGCTGATCTCCAACTCCCTACCTCTGGTGATCCACCTGCCTCAGCCTCCCAAAGTGCTGAGATTACAGGCATGAGTCACCGCGCCCGGCTGTTATAATAGCCTTCTAGTAAATATTACGTCTATCATTGGAGAGAAACATGTAGAAGGGAACTGAAAGGGTGTTAGTTGATGAAGTGATAAAAATCTCTCTCCCCTAAATTTGTAAACATAGAGATGAATTTGCTGCTGGTTCTGATAACTTGGTAGAAGTTGCTGTGAGCATGTTAGGCCTTGGACAGACAATACAGAAAGGGACTGAGTCACCCAAGCTTCCTATAGCAAGCTCATCTTTTCTCCGGGGAGCCAGTAGCACTGCATTTTGGAGCTGGACTTCAAATAACTATCATTGTGGCCAGGTCTGATGTTGCTTTTCATTCTTTAATAAACATACTTGCTTGCATGTTTTTATTTGTTTGCTAGTTTTAAAAAAAATTATTAAAAGCCGGGTGCAGTGGCTGACGCCTGTAATCCCAGCACTTTGGGAGGCCGAGGCAGGTAGATCACAAGGTCAGGAGTTCGAGACCAGCCTGGCCAACATGGTGAAACCCTGTCTCTACAAAAAATACAAAAATTAGCCAGGCATGGTGGCACGTGCCTGTAGTCCCAGCTACGCCGGAGGCTGAGGCAGAAGAATAGCTTGAACCCAGGAGGCAGAGGTTGCCGTGAGCCAAGATTGGGCCACTGCACTCCAGCCTGGGAGACAGAGCGAAACAACGTCTCAAAAAAAAATTATTAAAATATAGTATATGCTCTTTAACAAGCAGAAAAGTAGAAAGAAAAAATCACTTCAACACTGCTCTCCAAAAACAACTACAGCTAAAGTTTAATAGATTTCCTTCTAATCTTACCTGAGTGTGTTCTTTCTTGCTATGGGATCACACCATAACATAAGCAATTTCCACACGTTTATAAGCTACCTGTCAATGTTATTCTAAGGTACCATACCGAGCAAGCCCCATGGATTTATTTATCTATTTATATTTAGATTTTCCAGACAGAGTACAGTGGCACCATCATAGCTCACTACAGCTTGGAACTCTTGGGCTCCAGCAATCCTCCCGCTTTAACCCCTGGAGTAGCTGTGACTACAGGAGTGTGCTACCATGCCTGGCTCATTTTTATTTTTAAATTTTTGGTAGAGACGGTGATCTCACTATGTTGTCCAGGCTGATCTCTAATTCCTGACCTCAAGCAATCCTTCCACCTCGGCCTCCCGAAGCACTGAGATTACAAGTGTGAGCCACCATGCCTGACCCCTCCATGGATTTATTAACTGTTCCTTCCTGTTGTCTATTTTTCAACATTACAAATAACTTTGTAATGATTTCCATCATTCAGAAAGGTGGGTTTTTTTTTTTTTTGCTTGTGATTAATGTGATTTCCTCAAGATAGAGTCCCAAAAATGGAATTATTATGCTATAGGAATTTTTTTTTAGACAAAGTCTTGCTCTGTTGCCCAGGCTGGAGTGCAGTGGCATGATCTTGGCTCACTTCAACCTCTGCCTCCTGGGTTCAAGTGATTCTCCTGCCTCAGCCTCTGGAGTAGCCAGGATTACGGGCATGTGCCACCATGCCCGGCTAATTTTTTTGTATTTTTAGTAGAGACGGGGTTTCACCACGTTGGCCAGGCCGGTCTTGAACTCCTGATCTCAGGTGATCTGCCCACCTCAGCCTCCCAGAGTGCTGGGATTACAGGTGTGAGCCACTGTGCCCGGCCTGCTATGGGTAATGTTTTTAAGGCCCTTGATACATAATACCAACTTGTACTCCAAAACATTTGTATCACTGTAGGACACCAGCAATAGCACACAAGTTCAGTTTTATCCCACAGCCAGTGCCAGGTTTTATTTTTTTAAAAGCTTGGTATTTGGGTAGGCAGAAATGATCTTTTCTTTCCAGGTATATTCTTTGGTGTCTGAGGCATTGATACTTTTCTTGTATGCTAGTTGGTCACTGGTGTTTCCTCTTTTGGTGATTATCAGTCATTGACCTTCCCCACCAGTCAGCTGAGATCTCAGATTCCCTTTCTTCAGGAGGATCACTGAGCCCAAAGATGAGTGAATGACTGTATTGACTCCCTGACCTCTCTGCACTTAGTACATTGAATCATGGGATACGCCCCAGACCCCAAAACACTGATTCTCAGGCTTCATTGTGCTTAAGATTTACCCAGGGAGCTTGTTTAATTGTGAGATGCCTGGGCTCATGCCCACGAGATTCTGAGTTAGCAGAACTGTAGTGGGCTTTAAAAATCTGTATTTTTAACAAATAACCCAGGTGATTCTGATGCTGATGGTCCACTAAACCAGCTCCAAAGTGAAAAACTGCCTCAGAGTGAGGACTGGTTATCACTATCATTATTTTCACATCGCTGTGGTCAGTCTGGGCAGTGTGGAATGAGAGCACTCAGTTTCATCAGCAATTGCCTGGTGTATAGTAAGCACTTGATACAGCCTTTTTTCATCGGTTGACATATCCTAATTCTAGGCATTCAGTAGGTGCCCATTAACTAGTATTTCTGCTTGGCTATTAGAGGCTAGGAATGCAGTAGACAGTCAATAAAGACTTATTGCACCAGGTAAATGCAAGTGCTGGGCATACAATAGGTGTTCAGTAAATGTGACAAGCAGCCAGGCGGCCAGTAGCAGCAGGGGGCCAACGATGAGTGAATGACTGTAACAAATCCCTGAGCTTTCTGTATTTACAACAACAAATCAGGATATATGCCTAGACCCCAAAGCATTGACTCTATGTGTGTTAGGGCACAGGTTTCAGTGTAGCCCTAACTTATTCTTAAGGAGAATGGGTTGCTGGAAGGTTTCTTGGATGCCTGGTTTGGGAGGCTAAGGGACGAAGGTATGGGATCAACGTACTTACATTCCAGACTCAACCAGAAGAACTTGCAGATCCTGTGAGAAGGGCCTGCTCCCCAGACCCTCAGGCCTGTGTCTTTCATCATGTGACTTGCTATTTGCTGTGGAGCATGTGACTTGTTGTTTGCTGTGGGTTTGCCCCATTAAGACGTGAACCCTTTTATTAGCTCATTCACCCCTAGCAGCAGGCTTGGAAAGGGCTGTCACCCAGGTAATCTCTCCCGTCTCATTTTTCTTTCTTCTGACCCCTCCTCCCATAGTTTCTGAAGCTAAGATCTTCCAGAGACCTGCAGAAAGAAATGCTAACCCAAAGGCATTCAGAAGACCTCTAGAGAAGACCTGTAAAGGCATTCAGAAAGCTGCTGAGGTGAAGCTCCCTTTGAAAGACAAGGACCCCTCTTCTGGGCCACTGGGTTTTGAATAGCAGTGCAGGAGGGACTCTCTGTTTTTGTGGACTGAATGCCTCACTTTTTAGGATTCCCCTTGGTTTTGTTTGTTTGTTTGACTTTTGGTGAACATTGTCCATAAGCCCCATGGCCCATCCAGTCTGCAAAATTCCATCAGCTCTCTGAGATTTCTGAAATACAACATTTCATAAGCATCCACTGCTTAGGAGCATGGTCCTTAGGAAACAGGAAGGATGTGTACTGAGCCTTCTGTTCATGGAGGAGTTTGGGAGCATGTGTCCATGTGTGTGTGAGCATGTCAGGCACACACTTCTGATTAGAAGTAGCATCCTTGTGTTTCAGCCAGCTGTACCTTCTGCAGCTAAACTCAGAGATTATAACAGATACTGGAAGGAATGAAGACCAGAAGCGTGGTTGGGAGGAAGGGAGTAAAACAACTATGAATCGTTAGCAGCCTACAAAAATAATGCCTGGAAGAATACACAGTGACAGAGGAAGATGTGCTAGAGCTAGTTATAATTGGAAAACACAAGTTACAAAGACCAAGCTCACTATTTCAGTTAAATAAGTAAACCAGAAAAAGAGCCTGCAAAGATATTTATTAAAATATTAACAGTGGCAGGTCAGGCGCAGTGGCTCACACCTGTAATCCCAGCACTTTGGGAGGCCGAGGCGGGTAGATCACGAGGTCAGGAGTTTGTGACCATCCTGTGCAACACAGTGAAACCCCGTCTCTACTAAAAATACAAAAAATTAGCCAAGCATGGTGGTGGGCACCTGTAATCCCAGCTACTCAGGAGGCTGAGGCAGGAGAATGGCTTGAACCCAGGAGGCGGAGGTTGCAGTGAGCTGAGATCGCACCATTGCACTCCAGCCTGCGTGACAGAGTGAGACTCCGTCTCAAAAAAAAAAAAAAAAAACTTTACAGTGGCAGTCAGTGGTGAGATTGCAAGAGATTTTTATCATCTTTTTATTTTTCATGTTTTCAAAAGTTTATACAGTAAATATATTGTGTTTTTACTCTGTATTCAAAATATATACCCAAAGACCATAAATGAAAAATGATATTTTTTACTTTTCCCAATCACTATCCCTATTCTTCAGGCCACATATACTTAATAGTTTGTAGGTGATCTTCAAAAAATTCAGAGCATAATAAAAATATATATATTATATATGTGTGTATCTTTTTAAAGACACAACAGAATCATACTGTATGCACTTATGTGCAATGTCACGTGGCCTTATTCTTTTTAATGGCTACATTGTATTCCATTGCGTGGATATGTCACAATTTTTTTAGTCTCCTCTTGTTGGTCATCAGTAGCATTTTTTTCTATTAACAAATATTATATTGTATTTTTAAAAATAAGGAAAAAGACCAAGCATGGTGGTTCATGCCTGTAATCCCAGCACATTGGGAGTCCGAGGCAGGTGGCTCACCTGAGGTCAGGAGTTCGAGACCAGCCTGACCAATATGGTGAAACCCTGTCTCTACTAAAAGTAAAAATTTAGCCAGGCGTGGGGCATGTGCCTGTAATCCCAGCTACTTGGGAGGCTGAGGCAGGAGAATTGCTTGAACCAGGGAGGTGGAGGTTGTAGTGAGCCAAGATCGCGCCACTGCACTCGAGGCTGGGCGACACAGCAAGACTCCATCTCAAAGAAAATTAAAAAAAAAAACAAAGAAAAGGAAAAAAAGTAGAAAGGCAGGAGGGCAAGTAGTTAGGGATTTGATTACCAGAGAGAGATATAGAGCAGAGAATTACGAAAGGCACAAAAAGCCAACTGAGCTAGTAAAACAAAACTCAGCAAATTCCAAACTCCAAAAACTTACTGGTGAGCCCCTTCCTGGCCCTGTTTGGTACCCCTCTGATGGGTGAAGTATCGAGATGGGCACAGCATAGGAGCTAATCCTCAGAGAATGAGGATCTTTTTAATAACCCACTGACTCCCAGGGGTGTCCAAGAGAGAGAATACAGTCATGGGTTCTTAGTTTCTATTTCTGCCTGAGCCAGTAAAGCCCCTTCCTCATCCCTCTTTTTGGCTTATCACTAGAGACAAAAACTAAAAACCATGGCTTCAGGCTGCTAAAAGCCTAGAACAAAATGAAACGGAACAACAAAATAAAGCGAGTTAGACAAGCTTGCGTGAAAAGAAGCAGTTCAATGATATTTCAACCATTTTCTCTTTAAATCCAAGCCACAAAATTCTTTAGATATTGACATGTAGATATCTATCACATACCTAGTAAAATTATTGAGTGTAGGATGTGCTGTTCAGGAGAGAGATCAATGCTTTAGTGGATACCACAGACATACAAACTTAAAACCTAATGTAGAATCATCTCTTGAACAGAGGAGAGAATTCCTGACTCTATCTGGAAGGCTCTGAAGGTTTCATAGATGAGGGCACAGTGGAATTGGGTCTTGAAGGATGAATAGGAGTTCTCCAGCCAGAGAGTAAGGGCATAGCCTGGGCAAAGGCACAACAATTTTATAGTAGGATTTGCTTATTTGGATAATGGTAAGTCAGTTGGTATGGCTGAAATATAGGGAAGTGGCAGGGTTAGGATAGAAAAACAGGTTGGATGAGGTTGTAAATGTCCTTGAATGCCAGGTTAAGATTAAATTTTTATTCTAAGGACAATGGGGAGTCTTGGAAGGCTTCAAGCAGGAAAATGACACAATCAGACGGACATTGTGGAAATGATCACATTAGCAGACAGATTGGGTGTACACGGAGAGTGTTTGGAAGCAGAAAGATAGATTAGTTCAATGCTAAAAGCCCTGGAATTTTGTTTTGTTTTGTTCCTTGGTGATCCAAATTCTTAGTAGGAAAGCTAGTATCCTGCTAAAGATATGCCAGTTCCAGCCATTTCTCTTATAACCCAACTCTTATAGGATATGTACATGGGTACTCACTGCAACATTGCCTGTATTACATGGAACCATATGAAATTGTTATTTTTGTAGGTCAAAAATAATCAAATATTGATTTTTTTTTTTGAGATAGAGTCTTGTTCTTTCACTCAGGTTGGAAGGAAGTGGCACGACCTTGGCTCACTGCAACCCTTGCCCCCCAAGTTCAAGCTATTCCCCTGCCTCAGCCTCCTAAGTAGCTGGGACTACAGGCACCCACCACCACTTCCGCTAATTTTTGTATTTTTAGTAGAGACAGGGTTTCGCCATGTTGGCCAGGCTTCTCTAGGACACCTGACCTCAGGTGATCTACCCACCTCGGCCTCCCAAAGTGCTAGGATTACAGGCGTGAACCACTGTGCCCAGCCAATGTCATATGGCTCACCAGTGGCAAAAAACTGGCCGCAATCTGAATGCTGATTGGCAGGGACCTGATCAGGTGTGGCATTCATATGAACGAGGTAGCTTTATGTGGGCACGTGAGCTCCATCCTTGTCTCCAAGACATATTAAGGAGGTTCTGCTTTTTTAAAGGTATGATAATAGTATTGTGTGTATACTGTAAATGGGATCTTTATCTTTCAGAGATATAACCTGATCTATTTACAGTTAAAATAGTATGATATCTGATACTTGCTTCAAAAAAGTCCAGAGCAGGGTGGGGTGGGTAGGAAGTAAGGTGGAGGCAAGAGTAAATACGAGAACAAACGTTTGTCAAAGCTGAGTGATGGATAGATGGGAATTTATTTTACTATTTCATCTGTTTCTGTATATGTTTGGCATGTTTCCGTAATAACACATTTCTGAAAATGCCAGAAGTGGATCAGTTTTCAAAGAATGCTGCCATTGGCCGGCTGTGGTGGCTCATCCCTGTAATTCCAGCATTTTGGGAGGTCGAGGTGAGCAGATCACCTGTGGTCAGGAGTTCTAGACCAGCCTGGCCATCATGGTGAAACCCCGTCTCTACTAAAAAAACAAAAAAAATTAGCTGGGCATGGAGGCACATGCCTGTAATCCCAGCTACTTGGGAGGCTGAGGCAGGAGAATCGCTTGAACCCGGGAGGTGGAGGTTGCAGTGAGCTGAGATGGCGCCATTGCACTCCAGCCTGGGCAACAAGAATCAAACTCTGTCTCAGAAAAAAAAAAAAGAATGCTGCCGTTGTATAAAAGAAAATAATATATGGATGCATACATATATAGATACTATGCGCTGGTATAGACATAGAACATTTCTGGAAGGAAGGTTAGGAGTGAGAGGGAGATGTACTCTTGTACTTTAAAAATTATGTATGTATTATTTTTAAAAAGTAAAACACGATGTAAAAATTTTTAAAAAAGTAGACCTGTGTTTTATTACTAGCTTGATACTAACTCAGAATGTGTGTTGGCCTCAGTTTCCTCATTCAGAGACTGCAGAAAACGGTCCCTCCCTACCCATTGAGCTCGGAAGAGGTTTTGAAATGATGTGTGCAAATTGCCCAGCCCAGGACTGGGGACATGGACGTTTCTCAGTCATAATAATAAGAATGGTGACGCCACTGTGTGCACGCCATGAAATTGTAGAAGGGAAAAGAATCTTTCTGAGTCCTTTGGAAGAAACACACTATAAGGTATCCAGGTGTGATGTCCGTTTCACACTCACTGTGTCCTCGCTACTCAATAGGCAAAGAGGTCAAGTTTCTGCCCCCAGCTGTCTACATTAATCAGATTCACCAGATAATTGCTCCACTCCCTCCTCTCCTGCCCTCCACCACTTCCTATTTGTGGACTACCCTCAAACTCCAGGCTCCTTTCTCCAGGGATGAACCCAAAAGCTGACTCAGTCATTTCTGTGTGAGTTAATTTCTAAGGGTGAGCCAGAGGCAGACCTTCACAAGAGCAATGTATGACTGTGTCGGCTCACATTTCATAAAGTTCTTCCACGGTGACATTGGGGACCAGCAGAAATGGTCGACCCATGCATGAACTCCAGTCCAAGAGAGGTTAGATTACCACCTGGGCTGTTTGTTTAGAATGGCTTGGAGGTCTTGGGGCTGTTTGTCCAGCACCTTGATGTATACAAAGGCTGAACTTTGGCCCTCTTTTTCACCAACAATCTCCATCCCTGTTAGAGTGTCTGTCTTTTCTTACTTGCACCACGAGGTCTCTCCAGGGTCCAGAAGGTTAAGGGGGATCAAGCTAAGAACGTGGTTCTGAATCCAACATTCAAAGTTGATCTCTCTGGGAGCTGACAGTGAGGATTAGATGCCTTAAGGCAGCCGCTCAGAGAGGTTATTTCTTCCATTTTATTTTATTTTATTTATTTTTCATTAGAAAGGGATTATAAAATATATTTGTCTTCTTCAATAACTCATCAAATGGATTTTAAATGAGGTACCCCTTGTTGAAAAAGAGAATGTGAAACGCATGTCTCAGAGAAGTAACATTTGCAAAATGAAAGTGATCTTAGGGGATTGGGATCTCTGGAGCAAGACTTTCAAAGGCAACAAAAGGTAACAGATACTTTCATCACTCACCAGGTGATTGTCATGATTAACTGCTCAGAGGAAGGAATGTCTGTTGAACACTCAGGAACAAAGTAAATGGGGATGGGTTCATTCTACCTGGGTTGGCCCAACGTGAGACATTGTGGCATTGTAGCTTTCAGGAGAAGGGCTTGACTTCTTACCTCCAGTGATTATAATGAGTGCCAACAGATATTGAAATATTTACCCTGTGTAATAAATTTGTAATAATTTTTTTTTTTTTTTTGAGATGGAGTTTTACTCTTGTTGCCCAGGCTGGAGTGCAATGGCGCGATCTCGGCTTACCGCAACCTCCGCCTCCCAGGTTCAAGTGATTCTCCTGCCTCAGCCTTCCCAAGTAGCTGGCATTATAGGCATGTGCCACCAAGCCCGACTAATTTTGTATTTTTAGTAGAGATGGGGTTTCTCCATGTGGGTCAGGCTGGTCTCGAACTCCCGACCTCAGGTGATTCGCCCACCTCAGCCTCCCAAAGTGCTGGGATTACAGGCGTGAGCCACCGCACCTGGCTGATAAATTGTTATAAGTGCATTTTAAGTGTGTTTGTGCATTTCACAACAACCTTTGAAAGAGATGTTTTTTATTGATATTTTACTGATGAAGCAGTAAAGGTACCAAAAGATTTAGTAACTCACCCAAAATTACACTGCTAAAAAACAGAAGATTTGAAGAGTTGACACCTGACTCACAAGCGTGTGCTTAATCTTCAAAAAGTACAGAAAGGAAATAAACGCTTTCTTTTTTTTTTTTTTTTTTGAGACAGAGTCTCGCTCTGTCGCCCAGGCTGGAGTGCAGTGGCACCATCTTGGCTCACTGCAAGCTCCGCCTCCCGGGTTCACACCATTCTCCTGCCTCAGCCTCCCGAGTAGCTGGGACTACAGGCACCCGCCACCACGCCCGGCTAATTTTTTGTATTTTTAGTAGAGATGGGGTTTCAACATGTTCGCCAGGATGGTCTCGATCTCGTGATCCGCCCGTCTCGGCCTCCCAAAGTGTTGGGATTACAGGTGTGAGCCACCGCGCCCGGCCGGAAATCAACACTTTCAAAGTGGCTCTCCGGGCTCTCTCTTGGTGTCTCACCTTGCTTGATAGCCTCACCGATACCTGTGAGGTTGGCATACTTACTCTAAGCTCTCATTTGGTTGCAACCACAGAAACCCAATTCAGACTGGCTTAGGAAAAAAGACAGAATATATTGGGGACCATAATTAAAAAGTACAGGCAAAGATCTGGTTACAGACAAAGGTCTGGCTTCAGGCACAACCGTCTCCAGGGCTTGGTTTCCCTCTTGGCTGCCTCAGACCTTCTGTGTCCATAAGCTGAGCCAATCTCCATGGCCAAGGTAATGTACTTTTTAAAAATAATACGTACATAATTTTTTAAGTACAAGAGTACATCTCCCTCTCACTCCTAACCTTCCTTCCAGAAATGTTCTATGTCTATACCAGCACATAGTATCTATATATGTATGCATCCATATATTATTTTCTTTTATAAAATGGCAGCATTCTTTTTTTTTTTTTCCTGAGACAGAGTTTGACTCTTGTTGCCCAGGCTGGAGTGCAATGGCGCTCTAATTGGATGGGCCAGTTTCACAGCAACCTGGATGGGATTGGAGAGTGTTATTCTTTTTTCTGTTTTGTTTTGTTTTGTTTTGTTTTTTGAGATGGAGTCTTGCTCTGTTGCCCAGGCTGGAGTGCAATGGTGCGATCTTGGCTCACTGCAACCTCCACCTCACAGATTCAAGCAATTCTCCTGCCTCATCCTCCCGAATAGCTGGGATTACAGGTGCCCGCCACCATGCCAGGCTAATTTTTGTATCTTTAGTAGAGACAGGGTTTCACCATATTGTCCAGGCTGGTCTCGAGCTCCTGACCTCGTGATCTACCTGCCTCGGCCTCCCAAAGTGCTGGGATTACAGGTGTGAGCCACCGCGCCTGGCCTGGAGAGTATTATCAGGAATGGAAAATCAAACATCGTATGTTCTCTCTCAGAAGTAGGAGCTATGCTATGAGGATGCAAAGGCATAAGAATGATAAAATGTCCTGGCCGCGGGGAGGGGGGCAGAGGGCAAATGGTGGGAAGGGGGTGAGGGATAAAAGTACAAACTGGTTCAATGAACACTGCTCAGTGCACCAAAATCTCACAAATCACCACTAAAGAAATTACTAATGTAACCAAATACCACACGTTCCACAAAAACCTATGGAAATAAAAAATAAAATAATTGGATGGGCCAGGGCATCCTTAAAACCCAAACCATATAACTGCGGATGGGCAAGAGAGTGTCCAGAAGGAAAAGTTAAGGAGCCATTACCAGTAGGGAGAACAAGGCTGGGTTGGACCAGTTAAGTGACGCCCTTCACTCTTTATCCCTGGGTGAGGAAGTGAACAGTCACAGACAAGAAGTGATTGGTCTAGACTCCACTGACTATAACAGTTGGTTTCTAGCAATAATAATAATTAGGGGGACTAGATGAAAAAATCTGTCACAGTGTCTGGCACATAGTAAATGCTCATTAAAAGTTTGCTGCACCAAATTGAGTAACAATTTTCATTAACAAAGGAATAACTTGGCAATACTAAAAAGTTATGCTCTAGAAAATCTAATATCATAGTATATTCTTTTCTCTTTGGGAACTAAAGTAGAAAATCAATATTTTTCTTTCTCTCTCTCTTAAGATTCAAAACAACTTGGGAGGCTGGGGTCAGGGGTCGGGGTCTACCCTCACAAGTTCTCCTAGGTACTTTCACACCAGAAGTCCTGCCTCCAGCAAAGACTTCCCATACACTCCCTACAGAAATCTGCCTGTTTGTTCCTGAGTGATAGTGGCAGTGGTCGCACAAACAAATTTCTCAAAAATGATTTCTTTACTTGCTCTAAGGTGAGCTCAAAAACTTTGCCTGGATTAAACTAATCTTTGATCTAGATTTAATAAAGGCACAAATACAGACATACGCCATTTGGGTTTGAGACATACTCTGGGAACGTGTCGGCAAAGCAATTTGCTAGGACTAATGAAAGGCTTTTGGCAAAGGGGTTTCAAAGCCAGTGTCAGAAGCGGCTCTGTTCGAGGCATGGGAGGGCCCAGGAGGTGCGCAGGCTGGCTGGGAAAAGGCCTCGCTTTCTAGACTGCATTCAGATATCAGCCCCTCACCCAGCCAGGCCGGGGTGGGGCTGAGTCAGCATGATAGGAGCTGGAGGGAAACCTGTGAGGGGCACAGGGCACGGGGTGGACACACAGGAGGGTCTGAGGGACTCAGCTGAGGATGAAGGAAATTTACAGGGGGCAGGACAAACCAGGCAGTTAGTTCTAAGGAGGCTTAGGAATCCAGGCAAATGCAAGTGCCAGACAGATAGATGGTCTTGGAGCAGTGGCTGTCCCTGGAAAGGCTAACTGGGACCCTGGATGTGGCGGTGGGAGGAAAACGTCCTCACCTCTCTGTCTACCCTTTTGCATCTTACCTCTCAGATGATAGGCATGCATATGGCTTCATTATTGCACATTACAAAAATGCTATTTGCATAGACATGTAGCCAGTAATGGATTTTTTTAATACACATGTATGTAAAAGTTTAAGAAAATGAATTGGAAGAATGTTCTTTGTTTCTTGGAAGGAAGAGATTGAAATGGGTGGTAGATGGTTAAGGGGAATTTAGTTTTTTCTCTAATTTTATTTCTTTCAAGGAAATGAGTGGAAGTAAATACAAAATGTTATGTGATATGGGAAGTTTTAATATTATTCCTAATGGCGTTACTGCGTTTTTTATTTTATTTTAGTTTAGTTTAGTTTATTTGACAGAGTCCCACTCTGTCCCCCAGGCTGGAGTGCAGTAATCATAGCTCACTGCAGCCTCAAACTTCTGGGCTCAGGCGATCTTCCTGCCTCAGTCTCCCATAGCTAGGACTATAGGCATGCACCACAAAGCTTGGCTAATTTTTGTATTTTTTTGTAGAGACAGGGTCTCACTGTGTTGCCCAGGCTGGTCTTGAACCCCTAGCCTCAAGCATCCCTCCCACCTCAGCCTCTCAAAGTGTTGGGATTATAGGCATGCACCACCGTAGCATGCCTACTGTATTTTAAAACACCTGCCAAAACAAAAGAAGAATTGTCCGAGCAAAGGTATGGCACATTTGGGAAACTAGAAGAGAGTCGTTAAGTGCCAAGTTCAGGTTCTAGTACAGGGAGACAGGGGCTGGAGGATGACAGACCCAGGCCTGATATAGGGGAAGGGGGTCTCCATGTGGTTTCAAAGCCGAAGGACTCCCAACCCCGGGCCGTATCCCTCTCCTGGATTGAGTAAACAGAGTCACTGATGAAAGTGCTTGGCCTTCAGTAGCGGGGGAAGGTGGGTTCCTTGGGGAGGTATGGATTGAAAGGAAGAAAAATCGAAGGCAGAGATGAGAACATCAGGCAGTCTCTGGACCCCAGACATGGGGCTGAGACCTGTGGCTGTTGCAGGGGAACTGAAAAAGAGGGATCCCTTCTGAACCTTTCCAAGGCCCCCAGGCACCCAGTGACCCTGCGGGGAGAGAATGGAAGAGGGAGGTCAGCAGCGATCTCAGTGGTCAGCGGGGATACAATCACTGAGGGCAGAAGAACAGGAAAATATCTGCCAAGTGGCGAGGACACCTATTAAAGAGACTTAAGGGGCAGCTCCACCAGATTCCAGGCCTCTGTGCCCAAATGAGATCCAAAGCAGGTCAGAGGAGACCTGGGGTGTGACGTGGGCTTTCATTCCTGCATAGTCAGGATTTTCCTGCTGTTCCTTTTCAACAAGGAGTCTTTATCCCTGGCCCTGGGTTGGCACTGCAGGCCTGAGTCAATGGAACACTTCACACCCACTTGGCCAAGCCCATTTATTTTCATTACTCTCATACCCTTGTCAAAAATGGCACCAAGGTGTATAAAGAGACCAATTTCTGGGATTGTTTCAATCTAATCATATTAAATTATTTGCTTTCTTGGCCCTGGGGGGTTCCAACGGAAAGCGATTGAAGTTGGATCCAAAAATAGCTACCTTTGATTTCCAATCCTGGTGCTAATGTGGGTGAACTTCTCAGAGCTTCTGGTGTTGACGTCAGTGAGCCGGGATCATCCGAATTAGGGACTGGGAAGGGGGTGCTTATTTTTCTCCCAAAGCCTGGTGACAAGAAGAGACATTTTAAGTAAGGCTCTCAGCAGAGACAGCTTCAAATGCCAGCTGCCCCCACTAAAGGAGCATAAATTCAATATCTGGGCCATGTGTTGGTTGGGAAGAAAGAGATTGTGGCCAACTCTAAAAGGGCAGAAGGAGGCCAGAGAGGAGAAATAATGTCTGAAAACTGGCATGCTTTGACCACAGACACTAAAGCCAAGTCAACCAGGCCTGATGGGAAGAAACGCAGTGTCATGAAATGCAGAGGCTTTGGAATAAGGTAGATATAGGTTCATTTCCTATGTGACCTTCGGTAAGTTCCTGAATCTCCCTAAAGTTCAGTTCTCTTCTCTGGAAAACACGAATCATAAGGATCATGCCAAGTTGTTGTGTCCTTTTAAGAATGTCTGTTGAGTGCCAAACTCTGGGCACAGTTTGCAGAGAACAAGCATTTTTCATGAATGTGTTCCCCTTTCCAGCTACTACAACAGCTGCTTTGCACCACCTTCAGTCCTGGGGCCCTTCAGTGTTTTACACATTGTAGGTGTTTGTTAAATATTTGCAGATTGAATAGAGGGCTATTCTCAATTCATCCTGCAATTATCTGGTCTTTAGGGAGTATCGGTCAGGGTGAGACATAGTCCCTCCAAAATCGGTTCTAAGTAGGAGTTGTGAGAACTACATTGAGTCAAGTGCATTGGAGTAGAAAATATTAGCCAGTGGGGTCTGATGGAGATGTAACTGCGCAGGTGCCCTCAGCCTGGCAGCTTCCCCCTGATGCCATTGACAGTGCCAGGCCCATCATTATGTCTCCACCAACTCTGGGAGTAGAACAAGGATTAGTCACATTTCAGCCTAGCAGCTCCTAAGTTGCAGAGAGACACTAGAAAGAAAGACAATGTCACCTACATCCATAGGATTCAAAGGCAAACATCCATATCCAACCCAATCTCTCCTAAGGTTTATCCAGCTGTCTCCTGAGCATCTCCAGGGGGTGAACCCCTTCATCTTCACTCTCCAGCATTACCCATCTCAATAACTGGCACCACCATCCATCTGGTCACCTGGAATGGAATCACTGGTAACATTGACAAATGCTCATGGAGCGCCTCCTATTAAGCATTACATATGCAGTAGAGAGCAAAGCAGAGGAGTGACTTACCCTCGTGGGACTCACATTCTAGGAGAAGCATGATGATTACCCTTGACTTCTGTTTACTGTGATTCCTAAATATGCTTCATAGAAGTTGTCTTCTTTCCATTTCTAAAGCCACTATCAGAGTTCTGCTTTTATTTTTAGAGATAGAGTTTTGCTCTTGTTGCCCAGGCTGGAGTGCAATGGCACGATCTCAGCTCACTGCAACCTCTGCCTCCTGGGTTCAAGCAATTCTCCTGCCTCAGCCTCCCGAGTAGCTGGGATTACAGGCATACACCACCACACCTGGCTAATTTTTTGTATTTTTAGTAGAGACAGGGTTTCTCCATGTTGGTCAGGCTGGTCTCGCACTCCCGACCTTAGGTGATCTGCCCGCCCCAGCCTCCCAAAACACTGGGATTACAGGCGTGAGCCACTGCACCTGGCCTTCTGCTTTTATTATTTAGATTATTTCAATGGCTTCCTGGCTGGTCTCTGGCCTCCAGTTTAATGCTCTTTTTCAACCTATCCTCCACACTGCTCTGGAATGATCATCCCAGTACTCAAATCTGATCATGTTACTCCCCACTTTAAAAAGCCAGTAACTTCCTATTTACCAGTGGAATCAAGCCTGAACTATTAGTCCGTTACAATGAATATAGAGGTTGCAAACAGGTGGCCTGAGGTCTGTATCTTCCAACAGACAGCTCCTGTTTGACTTGTACAATATTGGCTTACAAGGCATTTAAGACATGAATCAGTTACCACCATTTACATATTGGGAGATAACACCCGAAAGTTCAGATTTCCAGCCTCTCTTGAAAAATCCTAAGATCCGGCAACCTTGGGCCAGCATCCCTGCATGGCAGCAACCTCTCTGGAGCTGATGAGCCACTACGCTTTTAATTGCTCGTGCTTTCTCCCTGCCTCTATAGCCCCCTGTTGTCCATGGACACTGAGCTGACTATAAAAGCTATTTATCACATGACACCTGGTCCTTTTATTCATTTATGTTGCCCATTTGGCTTTGCGTAGGCATTGGAGTCTGTGATCCTAACCTAACTAATTCCCACATACCTTTCCAGCATTACCGTCTTCAGTTCATTGTCTATGTCCTGGTGTCCCTAAGTCATCATGGTCTTTCATGCCTGAATGCCTTTCCTCATGCTGTTCCCTTTGTCCCTCTTTCCCGAGAACTTGTAAGCAACTCAGCTCAAAGCTCACTTCTGTCCTTGGAAGGCTGCCTTCCCTTCTCCTCTGTACATCCTCCACCCACTGTAGTGTAAGCACCTGTTGGACTTCTCTCTTAGGCTGTGAGCCCTTTGAGGCCAGGAGCAATGCTATGATTCATGCTAGAAGTATGTGTCAAGTTCCTGTCATGTGTAGGTCTCAAATGTAGTGAAGAAGACACAGTCCTTGTTATCTTGGAACTTGTATTCTAATGGGGGAACATCAAAAAGTAGAACGGGTAAATGTATTTCAAGGAGAGTTAAGGTTTGTGAATAACCGAAAATGAGATATAATGAAGGATGACAAGGGAATGAGGGAGGGCACTAATTTAGCTAGGGTGGTCTGGGAAGATCTCTTTGAGGAAGTGACATGTAGCAAGGAGGGGCCAGCCCATTGAAAGTCCTGGCACAAAGTAAGCATTAGGAAACATTTTTGGAGTAAGTAAATGGGTGTGTGAAATACTCCCCATCACCATACAAACACTGAAAGATGATGATTACATCTTATATTCGTATAATATAATGGACTGAGATTTCCCAGCTTCATGAGTTAGGCTATGTTAAGTCCCAGCACCACATCCAGAAAGCCAGTATAGGGTCTATACTGACCTGTGATTCAGGAAACATGTAATTGTACATCACTTAGGATTGCCTTTGACTGCAAATAACAGAAAATGATGTCCAGTGGTTGAAATCACAAAACTATTTATAAAACACTTGACATTGGCATCCTTAACCTTTTTTTATACCATGGCAGTCTGATGAACTTCTTGGAAAAGATATTTTAGTGCTAATATAAAATATATACAATTACAAAGGAAACTAGTTATGTTGAAATAGAGTCACTGATATAACAACCTATAATACTGTAGATGTGATTTTTGTTAACTTATTACATAATAAATGTAGTGGCAGGTCTAATAGCTACTAAAACTTAAAGTCATGATGAATGTAAAGGGCATTTCAAAATATGTGCTCCAACTATAATAGGGTATGAAAATACCTGTGATTTCTATTGGTGACCATGGTGGACAGAATAACGGCCCTCAAAGATGCCCACATCCTAATCCCCCAAACCTGAAAATGTTTTCTTACATGGCTAAAGGAATTTTGTAGATGTGATTAAAAGGATTTTGAGATGGGGGGATTATCCTGCATTATAGGGGTGAGCCCGATGTTATCACAGGGTCTTTATAAAGAAAAGAGGGAGATAGGAGTGAGTGTCAGGGCCAGAGAAAGATCTGTGATGAGAGAAGCTGGGGCCAGAGCAATGTGGGATCATAGGCCAAGGAATATGGGCAGCTTCTAGAAGCTGGAAAAGACAAGCAGCTAGATTCTTCTCCAGAGCTTCCAGAAGGAGTGCAACCCTGCTGATGCATTTTGGATTTTGCTCTCCAGAACTGTAAGATTTCCGTGTTTGTTGGTTGGTTTTCTTTCTTTCTTTTTTTTCTCTTGAGACGGAGTCTCACTCTGTCACCCAGGCTGGAGTGCAGGGGCTGAATCTTGGGTCACTGCAACCTCCACCTCCCGAGTTCAAGCAATTCTCCTGACTCAGCCTCCTGAGTAGCTGGGACTACAGGTGCCTACCACTATGCCCGGCTACTTTTTGTATTTTTAGTAGAGACAGGGTTTCACCATGTTGGCCAGGCTCATCTTGAACTCCTGACCTCAGGTGATCCACCTGCCTTGGCCTCCCAAAGTGCTGGGATTACAGGTGTGAGCCACCTCATCTGGCTGATTTCTGTTTTGTTTTGTTTTGTTTTCCCACTAATTTTGTGGTAATTTGTTACAGCATCAATAGAAAAACCAATTCAGATTTTATACTGAAAGTGGGGTGCTGTTGTAACAAATTCCTAAAAATATAGAAATGGCTTTGGGATTGGAGGTTAGGTAGAGGCTAGTCAAATTTTGAGAAGCAGGATAGAAAAAGCTTAGCTTGCTTTGAAAAGACCGTGAGTACAAATATGGATGTTAATAGGGACTCAGGAGGAAATGAGGAGCATGGTAGAGAAAAACTATATTGTCTTAGAGAGTACTTTAAATGATCATAAAGAGACTGTTGGTAAAAATGTGGATGTAAAGGCACTTTTGGTAAGTTTTCAGAAGGAACTGAGGAATATGTAATTGAAAACTGGAGGAAAGGGCGATTCTCACTATGCAGTGTCAGAAAACTTAGCTGAATTGCATCTTACATTTCTGTAGAAAACAGTACATAAGTGATAAAACTGCATATTTAGCTGAGGAGATTTCCTAGCCAAGTGTTGAAGGTGCAACTTGATTTCTTCTTGCAGCTTCCTGTAAAATGTGAGAGGAAATAAACAGACGAAGGAAAGAACTGTTAAGAAAAAAAATGAGAACTTACTGATTTGGGAAATTCTCAGCTTATCCAGATGCTAAAAGATGTTATCAAAAGATGCTAAAACTAGGAGATTTGCTGTCAGAAAAACATGCTCTGAAGAGAAAGACAAGGGCGTGTCCAACCTTTTGCTAGTGCCTCAGAAGGATAAAAAGTCAGAGTATTCAGTCACACAGAGAGTTCTTAGAAAAGATTAAGTGTATGATTCTCCTCAGCCATTGCAGAAGAAGCCAGAACTAAAGATGAAGTTATCCAAGAAAGATCTGTGGAGGGGCCTCTTATCTAATGAAGTGAATTCCCATGGCATACACAAGAGACCCACAAGGTTCTTGAGAATTTTATATCAGCAGAAACACTGCCAGTTTGGACCGGCAATCCAAGGATTAAATGAAAGATGGCTGTCAGGCTCCCAAAATTCAGCAGACAGGAAACAGGCTGATAAAAATACTCAGTGCCAAACATTTGCTAGCCTTCAAGAAAAAAGAATGATTTATAGGGCAGAATATAAGAGCAGAGGGTAGAGCCATGAACTAATGGAATTATTCCCAGTCCTTAAAACGTAATGTTTTCCTAACTGGATTTTAAAAATTGTCAAAATCGGTAATTCCTTCTTTTCTTTTATCTTCTCCCTTTTTGAACAGGAATGACTATAATGATATCCTACGCTTGTTTCATCACAGCATTTTGGAAGCAGATAACTTGTTTTCTAGTTCCATAGGCCCAAAGATGGAGAGGAATTTTGCCTCAGGATGGATTATGCTCACAGTCTCACCCCTACCTGATTTAGATGGACAGATTTGAGACTTTTGAACTGATGAGATTTTTGAACTTTGAGTTGATGCTGTAATAGGTTGAAACACTTGATGATGTTGGGATGAGTTGAATGCATGTGGGATGGGGGTTAATCTTTGAGGGTTGTAGGATGGACAAATACAGTGACGTCTACTAGCAGCACTCCAGGTACTGCTAATGCTGCTCTCCATTGCTGCACACACTCTTGATCAAAGAAAATACTAAATTTCAGTTAGGAGTTTGTGAAAATAATGATGTCATTTTTTCACCAACCAACCTCAGAAACGCTGATGTTAAGAATTCCTAACTGGGAGAAAGAAGTCCCTGGGTGGTACCAGGATCTTTGCACCTCTCTGTTACTGAATCCTGGGTATGTGGGCAAGGTTTTCTCTCATGCCATAAAATGGTTGCCACAACCCCAAACATTACATTCTTTTTTTTTTCTTTTCTTCTCTTTCTTTTTTCTTTCTTTTTTTTTTTTTTGAGATGGAATCTCACTCTGTTGCTAGGCTGGAGTGGAGTGGTATGATCTCAGCTCACTGCAACCTCCGTCACCCGGGTTCAAGTGATTCTTCTGCCTCAGCCTCCTGAGTAGCTGGGACTACAGGTGTGCGCCACCACACCCAGCTAATTTTTGTATCTTTAGTAGAGACGGGGTTTCACCATGTTGGCCAGGATGATCTTGATCTCCTGATCTTGTGATCCACCATCCTTGGCCTCATAAAGTGCTGGGATTACAGGAGTGAGCCACCACGCGCGGCCCCCAAACATCACATTCTTATATACCAGCTTCCCAAGCTGAAATAAAAGAAGGAAGGAGGAAATAAAATGAAAGGTCTTTTTCTGTAATCTGCTCTTACTTTTTGTCAGGGGTGAAATCTTCCCTGGAAGTCCCTAGCAAGCCTCTTTTGTCCCATTCACATGGTCACTCAGGCACATGACCACTGGAAAGGGGGAATTAAGGTACCATGATTGGCTTGGACCAGGAGTCAGCAAACTTTTTCTGTTAAGGGCCAGATAGCGAATATTTTAGGTTTTGTGGGCCATACTGTCTGTGTCACAACTATTTGACTCTGCCGCAGTCACAGAAAAGCAGCCATCGCTAATACATAACAAACAGGTGTGGATAGGGCTGCCATTTGTCAGGTCTAAATGCAGAATGCTCCAGTTATATTTAAATTCCAGATCAGGCCTGGCACAATGGCTTACGCCTGTAATCCCAACAATTTGGAAGGCCAAGGTGGGAGGATCACTTAAGGCTGAGAGGTTAGTAGGTGTGGTGGTGCACACCTATAGTCCCAGCTACTTGGAAGACTGAGGTAGGAGGATCACTGGAGCCCGGAGATAGAGGCTATCGTGAGCCGTGATCGTGCCACTGCACTTCAGCATGGGCAACAGAGAGAGACCCTGTCTCAAAAACAAAACCAAAAACAATAACAAAAAACTTCTGCTCAAAAACAAATGGTTTTTTTAGTGTATGTCCCATGCAATATTCAAGATATGTTTAAGTATTCACTGTTCATCTGAAATTCAAATTTTCATCTTGTTGAAATCAATAAAATTTCATCTTGTCGTTTACATGGCAACTATAGGGGTGACTATCATGATGACCAACTCTTGGTTTGCTGGAGAGATTCCCAGTTTTAGCACCAAAAGTCCTGAATTCAAGGGATCCTCTCAATTCTCCAGCAAACTAGGACAATTGGTTACCATACCAATAAAACTTGTGAACAAAGAAATTTGAATTTCATGTAATTTTCATGTTTGTTTCACAATGACTCATCTTTTGATTTTTTTCAACCATTTCAAAACACAGTAGTTTTCCCTTATCCATGAGCGATTATGTTCTAAGACCCCCACGGGATGCCTGAAACTGCAGATAGTACAGAACCCTATATCTACTATGATTTTGGGATCTAATAACCAAGATGGCTACTAAGTGACTAACAGGTAGGTGGCATAGAAGGTGCGGATATGCTGGACAATGGGGTGATTCACGTCCCAGGTGGGATGGAGTGGGTCGGTGCAAGATTTCATCATGCGATTCTGAAAGGCATGCAATTAAAAATTATGAATTATTTCTGAAATTTTTCATTTAATATTTTTGGACCGTGATTGGCCACAGGTAACTAACTGAAACTACAGAGAGTGAAATTGCAAATAAGCAGGGACAACTGTCTTGAGAAAAACATTTTTAGCTCTCAGGCTGTACAGAAAACAGGTAGTGGGTCAAATTTGGCCCATAGACAGTTGTTTGCTGACCCCTGGCTTAAACCATCCATGATTCATCCCCTGAGGATGGGCATATTGTTACTCAAACAAAATTAGCATTCTGTTAACCAGAAAGACAGGGAATGACTGTCGGGAGGCAACTGAGGGTGCCTGCCAAAGATTGGACATCTCTGTCTCTGAATACCTTGTGTGTTTAATTCTGTGAGGCTGCCGCGGGTGCCGGATTACTCAATCTTTACCTTGCAGGCATCTCTGTTGCCTCTCAAGCTTGTGTTTCCCTTAAAAGTTTTTCAAACAAATTAGGGGTGTTCTAGGCCTGGAGAAAAACATCTGCCTCTTTTCTTCTCCTGAGTAAACTGTGATCTTCAGCAAATCTATTTCTCTCTCTGGGCCACAGCTGTCTGGGAGCCCCTGGCTCAGTGTGACCAAGAAAAGACCTCTTTGGTCTTTAAGGGCACTGGGGTTTCATGGTTCAACTCATACACTTTTATGAAGGTGACCTAATTTGAATTGCAGGAGGACTCTGTGATAGGACATTATTTTCTGTTTTCTACGGGAGGACATAGAACTCCAGCAAGTTCTCCTTCCTCCTGCGTCCCCACTGCTCCTTTTCATGTCTGATCTCCATCCTGGAAGACCAACAGGGAGGAAAGTCACATATTCCAAAATAGTGTAGGTTCTACTGTCCCTGCTCATAAATTTTCAACATATATAACTTCAGAGGTGCCTGTTTATTCGTGGTTCTAACCCAATTAGGACAAATTTTCATTTCTTTGGTTTGATGTGTCTCCTGGCATCCTTAAACAGTCAACAAAAACCACACGGAGTTTGTATTGGTTCAGCTTTTCCATCACCAACTTTTATGATCTGGTTTAGAAACTGGTTGTAAAAACTGGCTTTAGACCCCAACTTGGCAATGCCAGACAATTTGCTTCTCTCCTGTCCAAAATTTAGAAGAATTCTCCCCTAGGCTGCCTAAAGAGGGAAAGAGAGTGAGTGAGATGCTAAATGTCTTGCCTCTTAAAGGGCCTTACTCTTCTGAATCAGTGTGTAGTCTTTCCACTGGTAGCAAGAGGAGGGGATAAATGAATAGAAAAAAAACACGCAGCAGCCCTCACCAACGAATCTTTCTGTCTTTTTGGGTTTTAAGTGAGCAGTCCCACATGCGTGGAGTCAAAATCCTGAGAAGAAAGCTCTTGGGTCACTAGCCCATAAGGAGAATCGGTTAGTGAAACAAATGGTCACACTGAGCAAAATTGGGCATTTATCATTTATCATGCCTTCTGGAGCCACAAGTTCCTACCAGCTGCAGGTGGGCTTCGAGGAGGCACCACCAGTGGAGACACCGTGGCACTTCCCCTGCCTCCCGGCATATGGCTGCCCAAATCTCTCATGTCCAATGATCTCGTTGCCTTTTTCTTCCCCCACTGGCTCACGGTCAGGGAAGCAGTCTGGATGAATACAAGGAACACGCTGGCGTCCACCCTACCTAAAGTTTCTGAGCATTCAGGGGCCACTGAGTTCAGCCTGCCGACCCATCGTTCCTTCCCAGGGAGTACTTCAAGGGAAACAAAAGGAGTCCTGGAGGTGTCAAGCTGCTACTTGTTCTTTCCCCAAAGAGAACCTTCTCCACCAACAATTACCACATCATCATAAACACTCAGGAGAGACATGATGTAAAAATGAAATTACTGAAAAGATTTTTGGACTAACACTCGGCTTTATATAAACTCACAGACAATCCTATAAGGCACTCAAGCAGATTATGGGTTTGAGCAAAGCTGGAAAATTGCTGCCATTATATTGTTATTATTAACACCTTGTAATTAGCCCTAAGGAATCCCAAAGTTCTCTTTCTTGATTTGGCTTTAATGAAGGAAAATTGCTACCTTTGCAAGTTGGATGGCGCCCGTCCTGATTAACCTTAAGTATACAGGACTATTATTTTGAAAATGTTTGCTGTCATGTGAATATTAGGGTTACATACAACTGGGAAGGAGGTGGGGGCAGGGAGGGTGGAGAGGAGGAGGCCCTCACTACTCTTTTTTCCCCAAAGGAAGATGAATCATGGGCTTACTTCAGCTGTGGTCATTGCTTGAAAGATCAAGAATGAAAGTCCCTTGAAGGCCATGACCACGATGCCTTTAGCAAGCTCTGTGGGCAAGGCTGTTGGCTGCCAGTTTCTCTACCTGTTGACTGCACAGGCTGGAGGAGTAATTGTATGGGGTGGTTTTATCATTATCTTGAGAGTGACCTGTGGAGACGAGATCACACAGGAGTTAGCACCTAGTGCAATAAAGCACATTTTATTTGCATGTCCCAGAACTCTCCAGAGGCCCCTCTGCAGCCTTCACAGGCACCGTGTCTCCAATGAAACGCCGTCAACATTCATAAAAGATCCCTCTACGTATCCTTGAACTCCCCTCCCACTGGCCGTGCACTATTTTCATTACCTTCTCTGGGAAAACCATACATTAAAGAGAATTCGTTTGATCTTATCTATAATTAATTTGTATTTTGATAATATAGAGGAGGAATTCTTACATGTGATGACTTAGCTGCTCATTATTTTTCTCTTTTGAACTCCTGTGACCGCTTAATAACTCAAGCCAATGCATGGCAGATTAGGACATTTTCCCCACCCACCTTTCAGGAAGGGGAAGGTGTTGCCTCTCACACAGAGACAAATTGCTTTAAATAATGACTTTGTGCAAAATTAGTCATACATAATTGAAAAATTCTATAGATGAATACTGAAGTAACTTGAGATGATCAGTTTACATAGAGCTTGGAGCTTGTCCTCCTGATGGAAGCTGTTCAAACTCACCCAGGACCTTGGCAGTTGGTCAATTGGTTTTTTAAATTTGTTTTTAGAGTCTTTTCGCCTTCTCTCCCATTTCTTCATGAGAAGGTGAAAAAGCTTATTTACAGAGAGGGATGGTACAAGAATACTCATGTAGCAGCTTAGTAATAATAGCAAAAATAATACCCTTAAGGCAGCTGACACCTCCTCACTTTGGGTAGAAGAGATTGCACTCTGGAGCTGGACACTTTAGACATTTCATTACTCTCATCGTCCTCAAAGTTCACTGCGTACCAAAGGCAAACCTTTCACGCGTTACTAGGTGCCAAAGTCTGAAAACCCCCTGGAAAGCTGACATTTTGTACACCTTCCCAAGTGACCATTCTCAATGTGCAATACATTGTGGTAAATGTGGCCTCTGTGTGTGTGTGTGTATGTGTGTGTGTGTGTGTGTGTGTGTGTAAGAGCTGACTCCTACACAGCAGGCTGAGCCTATGCTATCTAGCACTGCAGACAGACTGGGGTCGACTGTCACCCTTGCCTCTGACTAGCTGGGGCAACTTTGGGCAAATCTCTTAAATTGCCCAGCTGGGAGGGTTTCTGTGCATCTAACTGGGGTTCAAGAAAGATTAAAAATTGAATAATGTAGCCAGGCGCAGTGGCTCACACCTGTAATCCGAGCACTTTGGGATGCTGAGGCGAGCAGATCACCTGAGGTCAGGAATTCGAGACCAGCCTGACCAACATGGCGAAACCCCGTCTCTACAAAAATACAAAAAAAATTAGCCAGACATGGTGGCACATGTTTGTAATCCCAGCTACTCAGGAGGCTGAGGCAGGAAAATCACTTGAACCCAGGAGGCAGAGGTTATGGTGAGCCGAGATCGTGCCGTTGGACTCCAGCCTGGGCAACACGAGCGAAACTCTGTCTCAAAAAGAAAAAAAAAAAGAGAAAATTGAATAATGCAAACCAATGGCTGTCATGGAGTAGGTGCTTCCTACGTTTCAGCGCCTTCCCTGCCACCTGTTGGTAATGGGCTTCGCAGAAGTCTGGGTAAAGCCTTTGTTCTTGCCACTCCTTGGTGCAGGTCTGCAGAGAGGCGTTTAATCTCCCTGTCTCAGTTTCTCTCCTGTATAATGGGATAATAAGACATGACAGCTGCACATCACTCAGGATAAGAAGAGGATTAATGAGTTAATGTTTATAAAGGGCTTTGAGATCTCCCTCTGAAAGTCTCTTCAGATGTATTTTATTGGCATAGTAAGACTTCTATCATCTGTGGGAAAAAAGTCCAAACAGGAAAACATAATCATAATTCAAAGGAGCTAATGAGGATATTATAAGTGTAAATTCACCACCTCGATTGCTTGTTTATGAAGTCGTTTCAGATGGCAAGGAGCACGTCTGTGCTGGTCCTGAGTTTGCCTTGAACTCCATTCAACTGTCATTACGTTCTCTAGGAGCGTGGCTGTCTCTGGTTGTGTTTAAAAGCCCATGGGCCCGTGAAGCAGGAAAATAAAACAGAGCTGCCCCACCTGGTGTAAATTTGTTGAGGGAAGGGATGACTCCGTTTATATCTTCTGAGTGTTGTCTCACACAGACTTGCTCAATCCTCCATCCTGAAGTAATGAGAAAAGTTATGCATTGCTTACCTCAGTCAGTAATTTGCCTCTTCTGGACTGGCAGTTGGAGGCTAGAAGTCACGGGTGAGTAGGAAATAATAGAATGGATCTAGTCTGAGTGGACTTTTAACACTTTTGTAACATAATGTTTATTATCATCCCCCTAGGGAGGCACTTTTAGAGGATTTTTTTCCCCTAATCTTCAATCTTCCTCACCTTATGAAATTTTAATATCATAGATCTACTGTCTGTTTTATGTACTGTGTGTATATGTGCTTTATACATGAAAAGAGTAAGTTTTTTTACCCTCCAAAAACCAATATTCACTCCCCGTGGGGAGATATCCAACCCTTTGAGCAGGCATGCTTTAGCATGAAGGGGGATGACAAACATCTCATTGTTAACAAGAGCCCCAGTCCTGACTTTGCTTCCACTTTGTTCTCATGCCCGTCTCTCAAAATAAGCATAATTTATAATAGGGAAAACTTGGAAAGAATCTCAATATTCAAAATCAGGGGCTGGTTAAATAAATTATGGTGTATTCATAAAATGGAACATTCTACTGCCAATGCATGTGATATCTACATACACATGTTGGTTTACATAGGGAGCTGCTCAGAGGACAATTATTAAGGGAAAACAGCAGGTTACCAAGTGGTATATATATTAGGCAGAGACATTTAGAATTAGGCCTGGAGTGGTACCTGCCATATTATTGCTGGGTTGCAGAATTTGAAGGACTTCTTCCTCCTTTCCCCTCCTTCCCTTCTTTCCCTCTTTTCCTCCCTCCCTCCCTCCCTCCCTTCCTTCCCTGTCTATTTCTCCCTCTTTTAATTTACCTATATTTTCTAGTCTTTCTATAAGGAACATGTAAAATTGCATATTGTAAATGGGGAAATTAAAAGGCATGGAAACAGCCCCCACAACGTAGATTTCTCAGAGGCAAGTCAGTCTTCTGGTGGTCCAGGCCATCCATCTGGTGAGGACTGAGTAGCCTCTTAGGTACTCGCTGGAGGACGATAACCACCTGCCCATTCTCCCAGTTGTTAAGTCATCAGGATCCTCCTTGAAGCAGCAGCTCAGGATCCCCTGACTACACTGCTTGGTTTAAGAAGATGATCTCCAGCCACGTGCTGTTCAGGCTCTGTGAAAAGTCTGACTGAGGCAAGGGCAATGAATGTGGAGAAGCATGGGCTGCAGCGCCTGGGTCCTTCATCACGACTTTCAAGGATCTCTGCTTAGACCCACTGAGGACTGGAAGGCTCGGAACTGAGCACAGCTCAGCCTAACCCCCTGACGAATAGTGTCCATGGAAGCCTTCTTTATCATTGCTTCCTCATACTGGGTTCAGCTGTTACACAAGTTGATGTTAAATTACTGTTGACTGTGGTTCTCCACTGCATTTGTTTAGCACCGAGGGCAGCATCAGATGCACAATAAACTTGAATGCTTTCCAAATAAACAAATACATTATTGGGCCTGGAGTTGATCCCTATCTCTGTAGAAGGTTCAACAGGGCTTAGCCCCGGTGCCTGCCGCAGAGTTAGCTCTAAAGATAAAGCAATTTCTTGAAGAATTTAACAAGCACAAGTTTCTCTTAAAGAGATGTTATTCTTTCTACCATCAGGGATTAAGAATTCTAGAATTCTTATTCCAATTCTTAATCTCATTCCATTTCCCTTCTTGGCTTTGATTTCTTTCTACTTGGGCTTTTGCACTTGCTGTAGATTGTACCCAGAAGCTAAGTCCCCCAAAATTATTTTCGGCTCTAACTCACCCCTGCCTCCAATGTCATTTTCCTAGGGCCCTCCTGATGCTCTCCATTAGGTCAGGTTCCCTGTTTGCTATTCTCAGAACTCACTATACTTCCCTCCTTCTCCCTTAGTCCTTATCAAAGTTGTAATTATATAGTTATATGTGCAATTATCTAATGATATTAATAACCAGCACTTAATGAGTACTTACCAGACTCCTAGCACTGTGCTGAATGCTTTAATTCTGAGGTCATCATCATTTAATCATCATGACAATATGATAAAATTCATTATTATTGTCATTTTACAGAAGAGGAAATGGAGGCCCAGTTAGTCTAAAGTTGCCTAACCAGTTAGTGGTAGAGTCAAGATTAGTATCCAAGCTGCTTGCCCCCAAAACCCTACACAGGGAGTTTTTGTAACAGGGGCCTGCACAGTGTGTCCAGCGGGGGCAAATCTAGACATTAAGAGGTTAGGAACTTCCATATGAATATAGAGATGTCCAGTTTCTCTTGAAAAATTGAAAAAAGTGGCAACACTGGATCCCGTTCCTTCATGCCGACAACTGCTATATGACTGCTTCCCCATTTGATGGAACAACCTAGCTCCCTCCAGCTTGCTGGCTCCTACCCAGCCCTCTTCTGCTATAGGCATTGGAGTTTGCAGTCCTGGCACACGCTGTGTTGCTTCCATCATTTCATTAATATTTATTCTCCCTGGGCTAGAATCCAAGCCATGCTGAAGGAGTTCACAGTTTAGTGGGGGAGGCAGATCTTTAAAGTCAATTACAGGGCAGTGAGATAAATTCAATAATGCCAATGGTATGACTGTGCTGTGGAAGTCCATAACTCAACCTGGGGGCATGGTGGGTTTGGGGAACGATGTCAGACTTCTCAGATTAGGACTTCTTGAGGAGTAGAATCTTGAGAATTAGGGAAGAGTTTTCTGGAGAATTAAGGGACAACTCCCTTGGCAGACAAAATAGCACATGCAGAGACATGGAGGTAATATACATAGGAAGCCTTAGAACTTCCAGTAGTGTAGTGTGGCTGAGGCCAGGGAAAGGGAGAGAGGACTGACAAGGAGGATGCAGGCAGGGGCAGAGTCAGATGACAAAGGGCCTTGTGTGCTAGGGTTATGTCTTGGTCCATTTGTGCAGCTATAACAAAATACTGCAGACTGGGTCACTTATAGATAATATAAATTTATTCCCCACAGTTCTGGAGGCTGGGAAGTCTAAGATCAAGGCGTCAGCATTTGGTGTCTGGTGAGGACCTTCTTGCTGTGTCCTCACATGGCAGAAGGCGGAAGGGCAAAAAGTGCTTAAGCTGTTTCCTCACAGCCCTTTCGTTAGGCACTAATCTATTCATGATGGCAGAGCCTTCATGACTTAATCACTTCCCCAAAGGCCCCACTTCTAATGCCACCACAATGGTGATTAAGTTTCAACACATAAATCTTAGGAAACATTCACACCATTGCAGATCATCATTAGGATGTTCACAGACATGCAATTCTTTTCCTCCTTCCAGGCTCATGGTAGGATTTTTCTTCTCTGCCCGCTTCCACATTGGAGGGGTCATGTGACTCTCCTGGCTGACGAAATGTGAATGTGAGAGACACATGTTGCTCCTGAGTGACAGCAACTCAGTGCATTCTGCTCTCCTGCCTTGTGTGATTTTGGCACATGTGGAGATGGGGGTTTTTGTCTGCCTGAGCCCTTGAATGACTCTGATTAGAAGAGCCTGTCCGTCAAGCTACAGTGGCCACATAGTATGTGCAAGAGTAAACATGCTATATTCACTGAGGTTTGGAAGATGTTTGTTATCACAGCATAGCAGGGCCCTTCCTGATGGATCCATCTGCCAATTGAAAGAACTTAGAATTTACTCTGCAGTCCAAGGGATCAAAATGTCAAATTTCCTAGAGGGACCATGCAGGTAACACAAATGCCTAAGGAGGCAGCGTAGGATGTTATGAGCACAAGAGCAGTGCTCTAGCCATTCAGCGTCTCCCCACTGATTCCAGGTATGTTGGGCTTTCTGGTCCTCCAAAATGTCACGTTCTGTTCTATCTCCCCACCTTTGCTCATGCCACTGCCTTGTCCCTTTGACTCCACCTGGAAAATTCCATGCCTTCTTTTCTTCTTTTTCTTTAACCAGAACTTAAAGTTCTTATTTATTTATTTATTATATATATATATATTTTTTGGTGGAAGTGGTGTGAAGAAAGGATCTCCTTTTGTAGCCCGGGCTGGAATGAAGTGGTGGGAACATGGCTTACTGCAGCCTTGACCTTCTGGTGCAGCCTTGACCTTCTGGACTCAAGCGATCCTCCTGCCTCAGCCTCCTGAGTAGCTGGGACCACAGGTAGGTGCCACCACGTCCAGTTAATTTTTGTATTTTTTGTGGAGATGGGGTCTCACTTTGTTGCCCAGGCTGGTCTTGAACTCCTAGGCTCAAGCAGTCCTCTAGCCTTGACCTTCCAAAGTGTTGAGATTACAGGCATGTGCCACCACACCCAGGCTATTTTTTTCATTTTTAATGTTTTGTGGGTACATAGTTGATATATATATTTATGGGGTACATGAGATGTTTTGACACAAGCACAAAATAATCACATCATGGAGAATGGGGTTTCCATCTGCTCAAGCATTTGTTCTTTGTGTTGCAAACAATCCAATGACACTCTTTCAGTTATTTTTAAACGTACTGTTATTATTGACTATAGTCGCTTTGTTGTGCTATCAAATACTAGGTCTTATTAATGCTTTCTAATTATTTTTTTGTATCCACTAACCATCCCTAACTCCCTATAACCCCCTACTACCCTTCCCAGCCTCTGGTAACCATCCTTCTGCTCTCTATGTCCATGAGTTCAATTGTTTTGATTTTTAGATTCCACAAATAAGTGAGAACATGCAATGCTTGTCTTTCTGTGCCTAGCTTACTTCACTAAACATAATGGTGTCCAGTTTCATCCACGTTGTTGCAAATGACAGGATCTTATTCTTTTTATGGCTGAATAGTACTCCATTGTGTGTAAGTAGCACATTTTCTTTATCTGTTCATCTGTTGATGTCTGTCTGTTTGGACAGACAAAATTTGCTTCCAAATTTTGGCTATTGTTAACAGTGCTGCAACAAACATGTGAGTGCAGATATCTCGTCCATACACTGGTTTCCTTTCTTTTGGGTATATACCCAGCAGTGGAATTGCTAGATCATATGTTAGCTCTATTTTTAGTTTTTTTTGAGAAACCTCCAAAATGTTCTCTATACTGATTGTACTAATTTACATTCCCACCAACAGTGTACAAGGGTTTCCTTTTCTCCACATCCTCACCAGCATTGGTTATTGCCTGTCTTTTGGATATAAGCCATCTTAACGGGTGAGATATCTCATGGTAGTTTTGATTTGCATTTCTCTGATGATCAATGATGTTGAGCACCTTTTCCTATGCCTGTTTGCCATTTGTATGTCTTCTTTTGGAAAATGTCTATTTAAGTCTTTTGCTCACTTTTTATCGGATTATTAGCTTTTTTGCCGTAGAGTTGTTCGAGCTCCTTATATATTCTGGTTATTACTCCCTTGTCAGATGGACAGTTTGCAAATATTTTCTCCCATTCTGTGGGTTGTCTCTTCACTTTGTTGATTGTTGCCTTTGCTGTGCAGAAGATTTTTAACTTGATGTGATCCCATTTGTTCATTTTCGCTTTAGTTGCCTTTGCTTGGCGGGTATTTCTCGATGAATTTTTGCCCAGACCAATGTCCTGGAGAGTTTCTCCAGTGTTTTCTTGTAGTAGTTTCATAGTTTGAGGTCTTAGATTTAAGTATTTAATCCATTTTGATTTGATTTTTGTATATGTTGAGAGACAGGGGTCTAGTCCATGCCTTTTTTTGGATGCAACTTAAATTTCAGCCTCGGATATAAATAATCCCCCAAATGTACATCACTGCCACTAAGCACCAAGACGTTTTGTTATCACGGCTACCACAACTGTCAAGAGGGATGGCAGGCTGAAATGCCTCTCGGGCTTAGTAGGTAGGAAGAGAGTTGGGTGGGAGGGTGAATGCAGCTGTAATTGGAGAGCACAGCTCCCAGCTTCACCAAGTAGACACATGGCTCTGCTCCAGTAATGGCAGCCCTGTGGGAATACAGGCCCTGTCTTATTCCATCTTCCGATTTTTTACAAGAATTGGGAAGTATGCAATTGCCTGGGAAATCTCCAGATCTGAAAATGTTGGAAACTATTTTAGATTTCAAAGAGATGTGAAAACCTAATGTATTTTTTTCCCAGTCTGGCCCTCAGGTAATTAGCGAGTCTACTTGGTTGTGGGGGTGGGGGACTATGAATACATTTGTGAGCAGAGGCAGGGCTGGTCCAGACCAGAGTAGAGACCCTTCAGAGACCTCTCCAGGGAGAGCAGTGAGGAATGAAAGGAGGAGGTGGACATTGAAGGTAGTTGGGTACCACCAGGACTTGGTACCATCAGGACTTGGTACCTGCATGAGGGCGGGGAGTCCAGTCACAGGCAGTTGGCAGGTTCTGAGGGTGATGAAACTATCAGCTTTAGTCAGTGGTAGACGTCTAGGTGCTTCCTGAGGCTGCCTCTAACTCTGCATTTTGGTCAGTGCTTGAGCCTGTTTTGCAGGGCAGGTACTGGGCTAGAATTGGAGGGTACAAGGTGGTTAATATAAGGGCCCTACCTTCAGGGCTTTTGACACAAGACTAATTAACAGGTATAATTAGGTTAAGCTGCAGATACCAGAAAACCCAAAATAACAGTAGCTTAAACAAGATGGAGGTTTATTTTTCTTGCATAAGGGGAGTCTGGAGGTAGACAAGAAGGCAGTCCAGACTGCTTGGAAAACTCCAGGGTTAGTGGGGCCCAGACCCCAGTTCTCTTGCTTCTTTGCCATCTTCATGATGCGGCTTTCACCTCATGCTCCAAGACGGCCTCTAGAGATACTGCCATCATGCCTGCATTCCAGACAGCAGGAAAGAAAAAGGAGAAAGGGAAGAGCACCTCTGTTTTTGTGCTATTAGCCCTAACTTAGCCACCTGATCACACTCAACTGCCGGGAAAGCTGAGAAATTTCTTTATTCCACGTGCCCAGCTACAATCAGAGGTTCTGGTACCAAAGAGGAAGATGAGAGAAAGTACTTCAAGGGCCGAGTGCGGTGGCTCACACCTGTTATCACAGCACTTCGGGAGGCCGAGGTGGGTGGATTGCTTGAGGTCAGGAGAGGTGGGTGGATTGCTTGAGGTCAGGAGTTCGAGACCAGCCTGGCCAACATGGTGAAACCTGTCTCTACTAAAAATACAAAAATTAGCCAGGCATGGTGGTGGGCGCCTGTAATCTCAGCTACAGGGGGAGGCTGAGGCACAAGAAGTGCTTGAACCTAAGAGGTGGAGGTTGCAATGAGCTGAGATCATGCTGCTACACTCTAGCCTGGGTGACAGAGTGAGACTCTGTCAAAAAAAAAAAAAAAAAGAAAGAAAAAGAAAATAAAAGAAAGTACTTCAGGGCAGCTAGCAGTCTTGGCCACAGATAGGGGCGGAATGTAGTTCTGTTGGCTGAGGGCATTTGGGAAGACTGAGTGTCCCTCGTAGCCCCAGGTTCCTTATTCCAAATGACAGGCTACATTATAGACGTATATTGCAGCAAATATAGCAGGTAATGTCTTGATTACAATGAGCTCACTGAAGGGTGGAGCGGAGTGTGTATGATGTCCCGGCAGCTCTGGCTGTAGAAGTCAATCTCAGCAGCAGGCTACTGGGAAACAGCCTGCAGAGAAGATGACATAAAGGCACATGTACTAGCCAGGTGCGGTGGCTCACGCCTGTCATCCGAGCACTTTGGGAGGCTGAGGTGGGTGGATCACGAGGTCAAGAGTTTGAGACCATCCTGGCCAACATGGTGAAACCCCGTCTCTACTAAGAATTACAAAAATTAGCTGGGTGTGGTGGCACACACATGTAGTTCCAGCTACTCAGGAGACTGAGGCAGGAGAATCACTTGAACCCGGGAGGTGGAGGTTGCAGTGAGCCGAGATTGTGCCACTGCACTCCACCCTGGCAAAAGAGCAAGACTCTGTCTCAAAAAAAAAAAAAAAAAGACACACACACACACACACACACACACACACACACACACACACACTCCCCACCAGCCCTGACAAGCCGGTGGTGGGGTCAGATGGACCACTTGTGGCTTTATGCCACCAACTTGCTGTGTGACCTTGGTCAAGTCACTTCACCTCTCAGAGACTCACTTTCATCATCCATAAAATGAAGCAAAGCACAACCCCATTGCCAGCCCTGGTGTCAAATAAATGAGAAAACACATGAAAAGCAGGTAGCACAACTCACGGGGGCTGGCGCTGGCAGAATTGTTGGTTTTCTTCTTTCCCTTCACATTAGTTTAACAAAAACATAATAGCCTGTGGGTTTTCCAGGGAAGATGAAGCTTTGGTTGCGGCCTAGGTACTGGAATTGATCAATGAAGTGACTGGAAACCCAGACAACATAGGGCCTGTTAGTTTCATAACAGGAGCATACGCTCGACAACTTTGGCAATAAGGGTTATTCATTTCAACTGATATTTATTGTCCAGGGCTGGGCTATGTCTGAGAAACACTCAGCAGAGGCACCACGAAATGGCTGGCTAAATTTGGAGTTTGAAAACCGATCACACAGCTATCATCATTTCTACAAGGAAAGACACGTACGTCATTTATTACCAAAGGGAGAAATCCTACAAATGTTATTAAGAAAAGTGAAACCACTGGCCTCCTTATGTTCTTAGCTGTCTCTTACTTACAGCCGCCTGCAGAAAAGCCTAGGTGAAGAGCCCAGGAGGGGTACCCTCGCTTTTAGGTCTTGCTCCCAGATTTTGTCCACAAAGCCAAAGGTTTGCATGGGCCAGCTAGGGAGCTGTGAATTTTATCTGGAGCTAAGTTATGGATGTGTTTACAACTGGGAGGGGTGGGCTTGGTAGAGGCCCTGCTCTGTAATCTGTTCCATGGATCTATGTATTTATACTTTCAGGAATACCAAACTGTCTTGATTAATGTAGCTTTATAATATGTCTTAAAAGCATCTGGGTCATAATGAGTCACAGGAGGCAGCCTGGGTGGCTGTCATCTTGTCATTAACTTGTAAAACTTCTTCTGTAAGGGAGACTGTTGAGACTCCTAGGTCAGAGTGAGAGGTGAAGCCAGCTGGACTTCTGGGTCGGGTGGGGACTTGAAGAACTTTTCTGTCTTACAAGAGGTTTGTAAAATGCACCAATCAGTGCTCTGTAAAAACGCACCAATCAGCGCTCTGTGTCTAGCTAGAGGTTTGTAAAATGCACCAATCAGTGCACTGCAAAAATGCACCAATCAGGGCTCTGTGGCTAGGCAGAGGTTTGTAAAATGGACCAATCAGCACTCTGTAAAATGGAACAATCACCACTCTGTAAAATGGACCAATCAGCAGGACATGGGTGGGGACAAATAAAGGAATAAAAGCTGGCCACCACAGCCACATAGGCAACCTGCTCGGTTACCCTTCCATGGTTGTGGAAGGGTTCTTCTTTTGATCTTCACTGTAAATCTTGCTGCTGCTCACCCTTTGGGTCCATTCCATTTTTAAGAGGTGTAACACTCACCATGAAGGTCTGTGGCTCCATTCTTGAAGTCAGCGAGACCACGAACCCACTGGAAGGAACAGCCTCTGGACACAAGAGGGTCTGCTCTGGTACCCCAAAGAGTTCCTGAGTCCTTGGAGCTCTTTCCTTTGGGCCACACAGACAGGCTCTTCTATGGGCTGCCCCTTTTTTCTGCAGAACAAAGAGACCATTCTCTCAGAAAGATAGCCAACTCGGAAGAAGGGCAACATTTCAAACATCTCCAAAAGCACAGCCTGCATTTCTCTTTCCTCTCCTCCCTTGGAACATCACTCATTCTCCCTGACCTGGCTCTCAGTGACAGGCCCCACCATCCACTCCACTGCACAAGATTTATCAGCCCCACAGCAGTCAGCCTCCACACTACAGCCTGCGGCTCCTCTCTGCCACTTAGTATGGGCTGCATGTGGACTTGCTTCTGTCTGGAAACCTCTTCTACTTTCTTCTATAGTTCCTGGGCACTCCCCTGGGCCTTTCCCTTGCCCTGGGCTGTTGGGGGCCTCCTGACCAGTGACCGGCCTCCCTGCCTCTCGCCTCAGCCACAAGGGTCAGTCAACGTTTCACGTATGCTGTGTGGGACCTTCTCAAAAGAACAACTGGAAACTGTGCTACCTTGTTGCCCTTTTTTTTTTTTTTTGAGTCAGAGTCTCCCTCTGTCACCCAGGCTGGAGTGTAGTGGTGCCCTTCATCCTTGGAAGAACCTGGGTCCTTCCATCAGCCCTTCAATCTCACCTTCTCTCTCTTTTTTTTTTTGAGATGGAGTCTCGCTCATGTCGTGCAGGCTGGAGTGCAGTGGCGCGATCTTGGTTCACTGTAACTTCCATCTCCCAGATTCAAGCGATTGTCCTACCTCAGCCTCCCGAGTAGCTGGGATTACAGGCGTGAGCCACAACGCCTGGCTAATTTTTGTATTTTTAGTAGAGACAGGGTTTCACCATGTTGGCCAGGATGGTCTCAAACTCCTGACGTCAAGTGATCCACCCGCCTCGGCCTCCCAAAGTGCAGGGATTACAGGCATGAGCCGCCGCGCCCGGCCTGCCCTTTGTTTTTATTGAAATTGTTTTTTAAGGCCATCTGTTTCTCTTATATTTATGTATAAAAACGTCAAAATCCCAGCCGTGAATAGGGTCAAGAGTTATTCCTTTCAATTCCTTTTCTGCATCCATTCTCCTAGATTCGCTATCATTCATTTTTATGTATTCTTAAGACCTTTTTCTCTCTGTCTATATTTACCTAGATTCATACAGTTTGGGGTTTTTTAAGAAAAACAAATGGAGAGGCCGGGCGTGGTGGCTCACACCTGTAATCCCAGCACACTGGGAGGCCAAGGCAGGTGGACCACCTGGGGTCAGGAGTTCAAGACCAGCCTGGCCAACATGTTGAAACCCTGTCTCTTATACTAAAAATACAAAAATTAGCGGGCCGAGATTGTGCCACTGCACTCCAGCCTGGGCAACAGAGTGAGACTTTGTCTCAAAAAAAAATATATATATATATAAATGGAATCATACTATGCATTTTTGTTCAATAGCTTACTGTTTTCCCCAAGCAACATCCCCCTCATGTCAGTATACAGGGCTCCTCTTCATTTAAAAAAAAATGGGTTAATATCCTATAGTTTGGCATTTATTGAACCAGTGCGTGCTGAAGGATATTCAGGTTGCATAGAAATTTAGCTGTTGAAGCAGTGCGCTAGTGAACATCCTCAAATACCTTATCTGTGTGGCTGTGCATGTTTGCAGGGGCAATTCCGTTGGGTAAGAGGGTGAATTGGTTCTGTGAGGTGGAACTGTGAGCACACTATTTGCTCAGAACATTCTATGGCTCTGCACAGCTCTCAGTCCCATCTCTTGATGCAGGTCTGGTTTGGCCTCATGCTCCTACTTGCCCCCGGCCCTGGTCCCCCAGTGCCTCAACCCAGACAGACTTGCCTCTGTTATCTCATTCCTTCTTGCTCTTCTAGGCCAGACTGAGATGTCCTCCTGCTCTTCTTCAGCCTGCCTGGCCCCTGCTTATCAATTAACCACTGTCACATTTCATGGTCTCTGAATCATCTTTCATCTGACTGTTCACAGTGCTTTGTTCACCAACCTTTGCTCTGGCACAGGGCACATCACATGGGAGTTTTTTACTTGGCTGTCACCGCACCCCTTCACACACACTAGGCCCTGAGCAACTCAAGGGCAAAGCTTGGCCTTATTTAGATCTATATCCCTGGTGCCCCAAACTGAGCCTGGTCAAGTAAACATAGCGCAGATGGTTGCTGAGAGAAGGGATGGAGGAATGAGTCCGCTTACATTCCTGGAGGTTTTTCGGCATAGGAGAGGTTTATGTCCTGGTCTAGCTTCCGGGAGAGAAGTGCCTCATTCTATCCCCCATGTCCATGACATACAGTATGGCAGGCTGAATAATGCCCCCTTCCAAGGGAGAGTCAAGTCCTAATCTCCAGAACCTGGAAATGTCACCTTACATGGCAAAAGGAACTTTGCAGATGTGATTAAGTTATATATCCTGAGATGGGGAGGTCATTCTGGGTTATCTGGGTGGACCCTACATGCCATCACAAGGGTCCTTGTAAGAGAGAGGTAGAGGGAGAGTTGACACAGAAGAACAGAATGTGACCAGGAAGGCAGAGACTGAAGTGATGCAGCCACAAGCCAAGGAATGCTGGCAGCCACTGGGAGCTGGAAGAGCCTGGATAAGCAGCGTGGCCCGGCTGACTTCCTGATTCCAGCCTATTGCTACTGATTTCAGACTTGTGGCCTCTCGAACTGTGAGAAATTACATTTCTGTCTTAAGCCACCAACTTGGAGGTAATCTGTTACAGTGGCCACACGAACTACCACATGTAAGTGTTCCTGGTGCCTGATAGGATGCCAGAGTTGTGGGAACGCTTCACCAGGTAGCGACATAGCTCTTTCCTTGTAGCTTGCAGCATTGCATTAAGAAGATAAGTTCAACCAGTGGGAGACAATCTGAGCAGTATAGCGCATAAACTAGGATCTTTAGCCTTAGTTTAAAACCTAAACCGTAAACATGAAATGCCTTAGAAGGTGAGGAAGGGAGAGACCTCATTCAGGGGGCAAGCTTTAGCTGTGGGAAATATGGTGAGAATTAGGAATGCATTAAGGCCAACCTGTAAGTGGTGTTTTGTGGTTGTCCATACACGGCTAGCCACACTGTGTGACTCTCTGACTCTTCTATATTTGGGCTTGTTGGGCCACATTGTCTTAATGCTTCAGTTATGTCTTGGGAGTTAACTTGGTAAATTTGGAAGCAGCATTAACTTACTGGCCTTTTTTTATACTACTATTATTGTTATTTTAACATTCAATGGTCCCACAGTGGTAATTTAAAGAGTTAATGGAGCTCTCCAGAAGTTCTTAATGTATTTTTAGCACTGGAGGAATTTGGCCTGATACAATCACAGAGCTATCATTTTTATGAGTGTGATGTTTTTCCTTCCTTGCACAAATATTGCATCAACTGTAACATAAAAAATTAGCCTCAATCCCACCACCCAAACAACCTGTTTTCATTTTTTTTTTTTTTTTTTGGTCCATGTTCCTTTCTTTTCTCTGTCCATTTGCAGATACACATTTTCATCATCTCAATCATAGCTTACATGCCATTTGGTAGACTGCTCTTTTCTCTTAATGTTCTAGCAAAAACATTTTCCATCATGCTACATAGTGTTGAGAATTAAAATTTTAAATGACCGTCAAAGTCTTCTAAATAGATGCCCCATGACTAATGAACGCAACAATTACTGTACTGTTGGGCATTTTGATGGTTTCTGATTTTTGTTTTGTTTTCTTTGTTATTATCATAGAGAAGGCTGCAGCACGGCTTTGCCTTCATTTTGCATTATTTACTTAGATTCATTTCCAAGCTTGGCATTACAGTTGAGGCATATGAAAATGTGGTTAACATTTGAAATATGCTGCCAAATTATTTTTCAACCAGGCAGAACCAATTAAACCTGCCTAACAGCTCTGCTGCTGTGTTTTAGTTTCTACTCATCTTTCCTAGCATTAGGTGTTATCATTATTTTCCACGGAATTTATTTGATGTTAAATAGCAAATTCTTGTTTTCATTTACATTTCTTTGAATGTTCTCAAAGGTCAAATTGGTTTTTAATTGCACACATCATGCTGTTCTCTGCTCACATATGTTAGGTTCTGGATTATTTTATGATCAAATGGAATGTACTTTTTATATCCAAGTAGGTGTTGATTTTGTCTAACACATTTACTGTAATTTGTTTTTTTTTCCGAGACTGAATCTTGCTCTGTCACCCAGGCTGGAGTGCGGTGGCACGATCTCGGCTCACTGCAACCTCTGCCTCCTGGGTTCAAGCAATTCTCTGCCTCAGCCTCCCGAGTAGCTGGGATTATGGGCGCCCACCACCATGCCAGGCTAATTTTTGTATTTTTAGTAGAGACGAGGTTTCACCATCTTGGTCAGGCTGGTCTTGAACTCCTGACCTTGTGATCCGCCCTCCTCGGCCTCCCAAAGTGCTGGGATTACGGGCGTGAGCCACTGCGCCAGGCCTACTGTAATTTTTTTTAACTTTTCGAGTCTCCTTTTCTTCTAATTACAGAATAGTTTAGGGCTCAATAGCTCATGCTTTGAAGAACAGCTATGGATTGGAAACCAACTCAGCTGCTGCTTGATCTTGGGCAAGTTACTTAATATTCCAGAGCCTCGGTTTTCTTATCTGCAAAATGGGGACAATGGTTTCTCCTCTCCGTAGGTTCGGCTTTCATTTCCAGTCTGCTTCTTTTCTTTTTCTTTCTTTCTTTCTTTCTTTCTTTCTTTTTTTTTTTGAGACAGGGTCTTGCTCTGTCACCCAGGCTGGAGTGCAGCGGTGCCATCTCAGCTCACTGCAGCCTCGACCTTCTGGGTTCAAGCTATCATCTTGCCTCAACCCCCCTGAGTAACTGGGACTAAAGGCACATGCCATCATGCCCAGCTAGTTTTTGTATTTTTTTGTAGAGATGGGATTTTGCCATGTTGGTCAGCCTGGTCGCGAACTCCAGGACTCAAGTGATCTGCCTGCCTCAGCCTTCTAAAGTGCGGGAATTACAAGCGTGAGCCACCAGGCCCGGCCTTCTTTGCTTTTTATATCAGTTGCTTTTCTCCCCTCATCTCCCTCACACAGAAGTATTTTTTACATGTTTACTTAGCTGACTCTGTCTTCTTGGTTTTTCTTTAAAGTTCCCAGTGAACTGTCTCTGGTGCATGTTCTCAGGATCACAAATGATTATGACCCTTGGTGCCCAAATGTGTTCCAGATGGGCCATGCTCACTTGGTGGCATCGGTTCCAGGGCCAGCCTCTCAGCATGTAGGCTCCTACTGTCATTCCAAGCAACGGGTGTCTAGACTCAGAAGGTGGAGATTTTCCAGTACAGAAGGAAAAATGGAAGGAGTTACTCAACTCCTGAAGGAACTGCCCATCAATGCTCCCAAACGAAAGTTAATATTGGTCTAGTCATGGGCAAGAATGCCAAGAATGCTTTGTAAAGTTTTATCTCTTTGCAACTCTCCATTTTAATTACTGTCAGGAGGTGACCTACATACCTGCCAGGGAACTGTCACCCCCTACGTGGGTGAGTGCTGTGACCCACTAGGGATGGGGGAGGCAAGCCCCTGCTCCCCACTTCCTTGTCATTTTCTCTACTGTCTGAGATGCAGAGAGCTGGTCTTTGGTGTTAGATGCACCAGAATCTGAGTTCTATCTCCACCACCATCTAGTGATGGTAAAGTCATTTGCTTCCTCAGAGCCCTAGTTTGATAATATAAAAATGGAAGTAATAATACCTGCCTGGGTTGATTGGTCATGGTGTTTCAGTGAGATCATAGAAATACAATGTGCTGCCTGGCTATTGGCTGAAATGAGGGTGACTATCATCTTTCTGCCCAGTTCATTGTAAATCTGACCATGCCACTTATTCAAAACCCTTTAGTGACTCTCCAGGTTTATAGGTTCCAATTCAAATTGGTTTTTTTTTTGAGACTTTTCATGATCTGAACTACATTCCTTCTCCACTTGCATTTCCAGCTCTGCTGCTTACTAGCTGTGTGACCCTGTGCTCAGGGTCAAGCTACTTAATCTTGCTGTGCCTCATTTTTCCTGTCTATAAAATGGACTGACACATACTGCACAGGGTTGTTGTGAAAATTAAATCAGTTGCCACATGTGAAGCACTCAGGAGAGTATGTGGCATCTAGTAGGTGCTCAATAAACATCACTTGTTATGGTTATGATAACTTAACCCTCATTCTCCCCAGTGCACCCTGGGCCTTCTTGCCCATAGCTTTGCAGGCAATAGTTTCCATGCCTGTGAACTCAATTTTTCCCTCTTTGCTGCCTGCTTCATTCCTGGGCATCCTTCCAGACTCAGGCCGTCTGTACCTCCCCAAGGAAATCTGTCCAGGTTGAACAAGGAGGATCCATTATACTAGCTCTGCCTCTTGGCAACTTCACTATCTTGGGCAAGTTATTTAACATCTTCGCCTTGGTGTTCTCATATGTGAAATGGATGCAACAGAAAGTAAACCTCATATGATAAAATGAGAAGATGTAGGTAATGGGTTTAGAACGGTGCCTGGCACATGATAAGCATACAATACAAGAAACTATTGTTTTGGCATAACTTATTACACTGTACTATAATTATCTGTATACTTTTCTCCTGCTCTCTCTCCAATACTGCAAGTACCTTCATGGCAGAAATTGTGTCTTACTTGTTTTTATCCCCAGTATCTGGCACATAACAGGTACTTAATACTATTATTATTATTATTATTATTATTATTTTTTGAGACAGAGTCTTGCTCTGTCGCCCAGGCTGGAGTGCAGTGGTGTGATCTCCGCTCGCTGCAGCCTACACCTCCTGGGTTCAAGTGATTCTCGTGCCTCAGCCTCCCGAGTAGCTGAGACAACAGGTGTGTACCCCTAGACCCAGCTAATTTTTGTATTTTTAGTAGAGATGGAGTTTTGCCATGTTACCCAAGCTGGTCTTGAACTCCTGGTCTCAAGTGATCCTCCTGCCTCAGCCTCCCAAAGTACTGGGATTACAGGCATGAACCACTGCACCCGGCCATCACAGGTACTTAATACTTGTTTGCTAAATGTAAGTATCCCAAAATGTCTTTATTTTTTTTAATTTACTGAGCTTTCTGCTGAGTGAAGCATTTGAACTGCAAGAACAAAGTAGTGGGCTTGCATCTCAGACATATTCAAATGTGTGGCTTTAGGCAGGCTGGTGAGTTCTCAGAGCCTCAGTTTACTCATTTGTAAGATGGAGATAATTATACCAACTTCATGGAGTTTTGTGAGTATTAGAAATAATGTATCTGAGGCCTGGCGCGGTGGCTCATGACTGTAATCCCAGCACTTTGGGAGGCCGAGGTGGGTGGATCACGAGGTCAGGAGATCGAGACCATCCTGGCTAACACAGTGAAACCCCATCTCTACTAAAAATACAAAAAATTAGCTGGATGTGGTGGCGGGCGCCTGTAGTCCCAGCTACTCGGGAGGCTGAGGCAGGAGAACGGTATGAACCCAGGAGGCGGAGCTTGCAGTGAGCCGAGACTGCGCCACTGCACTCCAGCCTGGGCGACAGAGTGAGACTCCGTCTCAAAAAAAAAAAAAAAAAGGTCATTTAGAAATAATGTATTTGAGTGACGTATCATGGCAATTCTTTCAAACTAATTCTGTCCAAATCACAATAGAATTTTTCTTAGAACACAACAAATGGATTCTAAGTTTACTTGGAAGAATAGTAAAAGACGATTTTGTAAAAGAATGAGTGAGCATTCTTATCAGATGTTATATATGCATTAGTAAGTTACAGTAATGAAAATGGTATAGAATTTGAACAGGAATGGACAAATTGGTTATTGGAATAGAATAGACCTTCTGAAACCAATTCCTGGGCATTTGAAACCCACTTTATGATAAGGAAGTACAACAGTGGGTAAGACATGAATTTAATCAATAAAAGGCGTTGGGGAAACTGAGTATTTGAGGGAAAAAAGACAGATCATCACTTCATACCAGACTTCAAAATAAATTCCAGATGGATTATACAGTTAAACCTAACAAACAATATACATATAAGCTTTTTGAAAAAAACTAGAAGAAAAATACCTATGCTTTTTTTTTTTTTTTTTTTTTTTTTTTTTTTTTTGAGACAGAGTTTCGCTCTGTCACCCAGGCTGTAGTGCAGTGGCGTGATCTCGGGTCAATGCAAGCTCCGTCTCCTGGATTTACGCCATTCTCCTGCCTCAGCCTGCCGAGTAGCTGGGACTACAGGCGCCCGCCACCACGCCCGGCTAATTTTTTGTATTTTTAGTAGAGACAGGGTTTCACCATGTTAGCCAGGATGTCCTCGATTTCCTGACCTCCTAATCCGCCCACCTCAGCCTCCCAAAGTGCTGGGATTACAGGCGTGAGCCACCGCAGCCAGCCACATTTTTTTTTTTTAATTTAACTCTACTATCCATCTGGAATCTCTCCTCAGAAGAGAAAGTTACTTTCTTAAGACAAAAATACTGAAAGAATCTACACTTAAAAACATAACAACATATTTGTATGAAATTCAAACTGGTTTTTACTTTAAAAATCATAAAATCTTTAAAAAGGGAAATGAGGAACATTATAAAAATTGGAAGAAATTAAAACCCTTCTATGTTCAAAGTTATTACAAATAAAAAAAAGTAAAACAAGAAATACAAACAGCAAACATGGAAAAACAGTCCAACCTCCCCAGTAATCAAATAAAAGCAAAATTAAATCATCAGTCATGTAACTCCCCTGGTCAAAATCTTTCAATGACTTCTCATTGTCTTTGGGATAGTATCCAAAATCAGTAACCAACATCCACAGCCTCTTACGTTTTGGGGCCTGGTTGCCTCTCTCTTCCCAGTCACTCCCTGGAACATCTGAGGCCTCAGTTACACATGAATCTCTCCATTTTTCTTTTTTTCTTTTTTGAGACGGAGTTTCACTCTTGTTGCCCAGGCTGGCGTGCAATGGCGTGATCTCGGCTCACCGCAACCTCCGCCTCCCAGGTTAAAGCAATTCTCCTGCCTCAGCCTCCGGAATAGCTGAGATTACAGACATGAGCCACCACGCCCGGCTAATTTTGTATTTTTAGTAGAGACGGGGTTTCTCCATGTTGGTCAGGCTGGTCTCAAACTCCCGATCTCAGGTGATCCACCCACCTCGGCCTCCTAAAGTGTTGGGATTACAGGCGTGAGCCACTGTGCCCGGTGAATCTCTCCATTTTTCTGCACACGACACCTCCTTGCAAAGTTCTGAGGTTCTGCACATGCTGTTCCCTTTGAACTGGCCTTTCTGATCGTCTCCTTGATGAAGCTCCATCTTTAATTTCTAGACTCCAATTCTTGTCTGGTCTGTGCTCTTGGGAAAGAAGTGTTGGAAAGTGCCTAGCAGTTCCTGGATTTATTACTCCTCTCACAAGGAAGGGAGAAGAGAAAAGGTTAACTTCTCTCAAACTGTTCCACTTGCATTTTCTCTGGGAGGCAGGTGTGAATCCTGAATTGACCCTCAGAGCTGGGATAAGGAGGGGGTTAACAGTGAAGGTTAAACTTCTGACAGCCTTGAATAAAGATTTGCAGAGTCTCCCTGGTTCATTCTGCCCCCTTCCTATCCAAGCTTGACCGATGCTCTGCCCCCAGCCAAACTTGGTGGTCAGCTGAAAGGAGGGTTATCAGATTTAAAAAAATCAAATGCTGTTTACCCCTAGATAATCCATCCTAATACTGAAAATGTATTTTTTTAAATTTGAAATTCAAACTTAACTAGGCATCCTGCACTTTTATTTGCTAAATTTGAACACACTACCCCAGAAGGAAAGTGAAGGGCAACTGCCTAATTGTAAAGATTTTGGGAGGGACCCCTGATGGGGATGTAACTCGGAGGGGCAAGTGCCTCACTGCTTGAACCATGAGTGGTAATGACAATCAGAGCTGGCAGGGCTGCTCTATATATGGTGGCTGCTACATTCCCTGAGTGAATGGCGTCTCGAAGACTCACATGCACACCACCTGTGGGCTGTCAGGAACATACAGTGGCAAGTGCAAGGCCTTTTGAGTTAAACGGATTTGGGTCCAATCCCAGCTTGTTAGCGTGTAACCTTGGGAAAGCTCTGGAACCTCTCTGAGCCACTGTTTTATCATCTGCAGAGCAGGGATCATGACCACTTCCCAAAGCCCATTAAATAACAAAAGATGTGAGTGCACAGAGCGTGGTACTTGGCATTACAGTAGCCACAGGTGTTTTGCTTTGGAATATTTATAGAAAACAGAGTAGCAAAAGTGTTCTACCTTATCATAGTCAAAGGGAGCATGGGCTCATTTTGTTTTCTTATAATAAGATGTATGCTGGCTGGGCGTGGTGGCTCATGCCTGTAATCTCAACACTTTGGGAGGCCGAGATGAGCGGATCACTTGAGGTCAGGAGTTCGAGACCAGCCTGGTCAACACGGCGAAACCCCCGTCTTTACTAAAAATACAAAAATTAGCCGGATGTGTTGGTGCGCTCCTGTAGTCCCAGCTACTCGGGAGGCTGAGGCATGAGAATCACTTGAACCCAGGAGGCAGAATGAGTGGGGATTGTGCCACTGCACTCCAGCCTGGGTGAGAGAGTGAGACTGTCTCAAAAAAATAAAATAAAATAAAATAAAGATGTATGCTGTGCCATATGTTTATCGTTTAATGTTACAAACATTCTCTTCTTAAATATTCTATGTAAAGCTTGTTACGTAGATCTTATTATCACCATTTTAGAGTTCAGGAAATGGAAGTGTGAAGTGGTCAAGATCATGCAGTGGACAAAATGAAACATCAACCACAGCGTGGCAGCAGCCGTGGGAGCAGGGCCCTTCCTATGGGAATTCCTTACACTGACGTCTTTACAGATCTGGTCTCAATGGACCTCGCAACAGCCCTCTGAGGGTTGTTCTGCTCACTCCGCCTCCTGGGCTCAAGCGATTCTCTTGCCTCAGCCTCCCGAGTAACTGGGATTACAGGATCATTTTTCCTGTTAAGAGAAGAAGAACTGAAGCTCAGAGGGGAAATGGATATTTTCACAGAGCAGGGAATGTTGGGAGCAGGATTCAAACCCAGATCTCTTTGGGTACAGATCCTCAGGTCTTACCTTTGTGGTTTTTTTTGTGTTTTTTTTTTTTGAGACAGAGTCTCACTCTGTCACCCAGGCTGCAGGGCAGTGGTGCACCCGGCCTTCTGGTGGAATTTAATTGCAGGCTGTTTGATTTGTGTAACTAGATATTGTGTGTTCAGCCAGTGCTCTGTGCAGCACCATTCTAAACACTTCTCATACATTTAGTTCTCGGCCCACTGCAACCTCCGCCTCCCAGGTTCAAGCGATTCTCCTGCCTCAGCCTCCTGAATAGCTGGGATTGCAGGCATACGCCACCATGCTGGACTGATTTTTTGTATTTTTAGTAGAGACGGGGTTTCGCCATATTTTTAGTAGAGATGGGATCTTGAATTCCTGACCTTAGGCAATCCACCCACCTTGGCATCCCAAAGTGTTGGGATTACAGGCGTGAGCCACCTTGCCCGGCCCTTACCACGTATAATTGCCCCACAACACCTGAATTGTAGAGGTGACAGGTTTCAGGGGCTTTAGGGGTTGCTATGCCAGCACAGGCACCATTTCTTCTTCCAGCTGCAGACTACTCTCACTTCTTGGCATGTAGTAAGTGCTCAATAAATCTGCATTGGCGAAATGAGTGGATGCATCAGTGGAGATGTAGGGAAATGGCTTCCATGTGCAAAGCAAGAATTTTCTGAGTCTTCAGCCATCTCGAGAAGAAAATTAATGTAGGAGAAACAGGTCTATGTCACCCAAGGTGCAGTTTTAAATGTTTGGCAACAAAATGGAGACCCCTAGGCATTGACTCTTAGAGACTTGCGCTATGGCATACGTGCAGCCCAAATCCAGCTTTCCTGGAGAGTGGGATGTCAGGCTGGTAGCTTCATCTGTTCCCCGGGCATTCTGGCCCACATTGACAAGATGATTGAGTTAATTCAGAATGCCCTAACAAGCATTCTTCAGGCACGTTCAGGACTCAGAGCGGGGGCCTGTAGCCAGATACCTTTGCAAGGTGCAGGATTTAGGGCCAGAGTGGCTGGTTGAGGTAGAGGTGTTGTGAAACCTCAGAACAGTCTGTTCCAGCAAAAAAAAAAACCACGTGTAGCCAGTCAGTCAGGATTCCTCTGCATCCTGCAGAGGACAAACAAAACTGAGAAAGCCCAGCTGAGCTACACAGACGGGAGGGTGGCAGGGCCGCCTAGCTGATCCTCCTCTTCCTATGTGAGCCCAGGAGTGGCTTCTTGTCCTGGCCTTGACTGTGTGGCCCTAATGTGGCACCACCCATCATGGGCCAAGGTCGGGCCATCTTTAGAAGATATTCTGGAGCAATTGCTTCCTAATATATCTAGCTCAGACGTGGTAACCCAACTGAAAAGCCCTCAAAGGAGGAGGGAGTGGACATTTAATCAGTGCCAGCTGTGTGCCAGGTGGTGTAACCAGCAACCCTCTGGTTGTCCTAACTGGCTTTTAAGTAACCACTGCCCTCAGCTTTGGACCACCTGCACTGGGGAAAGTCAGTGCCAGCTGTGTGCCAGGTGGTGTAACCAGCAACCCTCTGGTTGTCCTAACTGGCTTTTAAGTAGCCACTGCCCTCAGCTTTGGACCACCTGCACTGGGGAAAGTCAGAGAGAGGAGTAGATTCGCCTTCCCAGAAGCAATGCAGGAGCCAGACACACTAACGCTCCCTAGGACCTACCTGGCCCTTGACCTTCTCTATTTTTCAGATGATGAAATTGAGGTGCACAGAGGGGCCGGAGCAAAGCTCGGCCCTACCCACTGTAGGCTGGAGTAAGGCCTCAGCCCAGCACACAAGGCCCCCAGTGACCCGCGTTCTGCACGGTGACCATACCCACTCCCCTCCACCTGTTTTGGACGGGGATCCTTGAACTGCGCTCACCATGGCTATATGGTACGCAGCCTGCTGCCCTCTGCCATTGCACCCGCTGTGCCCTCTGCTCGGCCTGCCTTTCCTCTCTCCCTATCACTCCAGTCACTGAGTTCCAATTCACACAGCCTGACCCAGCTCAAAAGCGCTGGTCACTGCTGTGGAGAAATTCTCCATGATGCCCGGCTCCCTTGCCCCTAACCTTGCAGAGACCGTCACCCTCTCATGGATGACCTCACAGTTCCTAAAGTAAGACTTTTTTCCTTTATGACATTTAAAAGATTGTTTTTGTTATCATCAAAAGAAATGATAAATTATACAATTCTCATGAAACTCCAGTATCCTCAGGGATAAATCTCAGCGTCCAGCAAGCATGTCATACTGCAGTTGTTGTTTGCAGCTTGTCCCTGTTCTAGACCTCAGGCTCCTTGTGGGCAGGGCCATGTGGGGTGCCCCTGGCATCTCAGCATTCCTCCTGCCCAACGTAGAACTGGATCCAGGGGCTGCACCCAGCACGTGCTTGTGCAATAAACCAAGAAACAAGTGAGCAAGAAACTCGATAAAACCCATGTGAAATGACTTGCGTCGGGGCTGGAGCTCAGGTGTCCTGACTCCGGGCCCAGCACAGGTTGCACTCCATGGCCCTGCCTGGCCTCTGTGGTGTACTCCCTATCTAGGGGTGCATTCCGCCAGGCTGCTGGTCTTCCCAGATTTCCAATTTACATCTGAGCTAATTTTCCTGGGGGGCAATGAATGGTTCTGGTGCAAAGCAGTCCTTGAGAGTTCTTTTTTTGTTCCTTGCTCCTTTTATTAATATTTAATTTTTTATCATTTCCCATGACAGTTCATATTATAAACCAAGATTAAATGCACGTAAATGAAAACGTACTCTATATAGCACCACAGCATTACTATAAAGACCTTTTTTTTTTTTTGATATGGTCATTTACTTTTTTTTTTTTTTTGAGATGGAGTCTCACTCTGTCACCCAGGCTGCAGTGCAGTGGCACGATCATGGCTCACTGCAACTTCCACCTCCCGGGTTCAAGCAGTTTTCCTGCCTCAGCCTCCTGAGTAGCTGGGACTACAAGCGCCTGCTACCACACCTGGCTAATTTTTGTATTTTTACTAGAGACAGGGTTTCACCATGTTGGCCAGGCTGGCCTTGAACTCCTGAACTCAGGTTATCCACCCACCTTGGCCTCCCAAAGTGTTGGGATTACAGGCATGAGCCACCACACCCGGCAGGTTATTTACTTTAATAACAACACGTATACCATATTATCACCATGGAAGGTAAATTCAGTTAGACAAGAGAATTTCACAAGTGAAATAGCGTTCTGTAGTATATAAAAGTTTGGGTATAGGCCGGGCGTGGTGGCTCACGCCTGTAATCCCAGCACTTTGGGAGGCCGAGGCGGGCGGATCACAAGGTCAAGAGATAGAGACCATCCTGGCTAACACGGTGAAACCCCGTGTCTATTAAAAATACAAAAAATTAGCCGGGCGTGGTGGCGGGCGCCTGTAGTCCCAGCTACTCCGGAGGCTGAGGCAGGAGAATGGCGTGAACCCGGGAGGCGGAGCTTGCAGTGAGCCGAGATGGCGCCACTGCAGTCCAGCCTGGGCGATAGAGCGAGACTCTGTCTCAAAAAAAAAAAAAAAAAAAAAATTTATTCTAATATAACATCAGCAGAAAAACTAGAATGCATAAGTTATTCTCATGTTTACAACTGTGATTCTTTAATGAATACTGCTATTATGCAGCTCTATTGTAAGCTTTCTAGATCTGGTTTAAACATACACGTATATATTGTCAGTTGTGGGAAGGTTTACAAATTATATTCCATGCACTTTGTGGACAGAGTTCTAAAAGAGCCAGCCAGTCCACAAAACAGGCAGAAAAAAGTTAAATTAACTGGGGCAAATAGGACTCTTACGTAACATCCAAAATATGTGAGATTCTGCAGCAAACTGGGAGTACTACAGGGTTGGCTTGTTATCTTCTTTAGAACGAAGTTCATCTTGACAATTTAAGAAGGTGGACATTTCAACAGCATCAAGTGCATTTAGGTGACATACTTCTTTTAAGTTAACTTGACTTCCTTGAAGGACCTAGTTAGTAAACTAATCAGTAGTCATTTGGTCACCAGGCAAATCAAGCTTTCAAGAAAGGAAGCCAATATTCAAAATGCTGTGTTACCATCTAAACCCACACAAATTAGTTTATTTTCAACAATACATAACTTGAGTAATGAGACGTCTAACTAAAGCAAGCTCCTCCAACAAGACCAAGACAGCATCTCTTCTTTAAGGCTTAGGTTTTGCCCAGAATTCCTGATACATGGAATAGCCCATAACAACAGTCATTGCTCCTGCAACACAGCCTTGGGCTGCCACACGCATGTGGATCGGATGAAGGGACATTTTAGCATTTCCCCTGCTCTTCAATTTGTATAATCCATATGCAACAATTGCTGCAACACCTGCCATTCCAATGGGTACGAATGGGCCTCTTTGGCTCTTCAAATAAGTTTGGATCCCTGATCTTCATTATATGAAGAAAGGGAAACATCTGTGTCTGTTGATATAGTGATTGCTTGAAGACTCTCCCTAGAGCGAGAAAACCTCTCACGACAACTGGCTTCTGATCCCCACCCGCGCGCCCAGTCCTGCCGGCTTCTCCTATAAAGACCTTTTTAATATAGACAAATTAGTTGCTAAATTCAGAAACCGAAGTTACATTTCTGGATATCTCTTGTAGCCGAAGAATAAAAGGTTTTTAGAATCAGTAAAGATTTTATTATAAGCCTGTTATTAGCTTTCCCTTACTAGCAATTAAGGTTCGCAGGAGAGGGAGAGGTCAGGGACAATGGCAAGGACCCAGATGCAGGCATCCAGGATGGTCTGGGCTCAAACTCAAGCCTCTGCCACTTCCCAGCCAGGTGACTTTGGGTTAAGATCTCTTCCCCATGACTCTCTGAGTCCATTTCCATCAGATGGGAAAGGCCACCAGGACCTTGCTCAGCTATTACGGGGAGGATTCATTAGACTAAGGTTTGTACTAGGGCTAGTGCACATATATTCAAAGCTAACTAAATACTGGTCATTTTTAATTAATGCTTATATGAGTTAGCCAAAAAAACTACTTGACCAAAGTGAATTCGAACAAACATGCAATTTGGAAGAAAGCTAAGAACAACTTAGCCAAAACAAAAATACCATTGAAAAGCAATATCCCCAGTAGTAAGCATTTGAAACACTGCAAATTTGTCTTCCTCTATGCAAAGCATTTCTGTATTTTTCCCAAAGATTTTCTATTGTCTTTCAATTGTATTTCTTTTCTTTTTTTTTTTTTAGACAGAGTCTCGCTCTGTCGCCCAGGCTGGAGTGCAGTGGCACAATATCAGCTCACTGAAAGCTCTGCCTTCCAGGATCACGCCATTCTCCTGCCTCAGCCTCCCAAGTAGCTGGGACTACAGGTGCCTGCCAACACGCCCGGCTAATTTTTTGTATTTTTAGTACAGACAAGGTTTCACCCTGTTAGCCAGGATGGTCTTGATCTCCTGACCTCGTGATATGCTCACCTTGGCCTCCCAAAGTGCTGGGATTACAGGTGTGAGCCACTGCGCCTGGCCTGAATTTATTTTCAATAATTTTTTTCTTGCTCTTCATTGTAATGGGAAAACTTAGGACACAATAACTGTTCATTAATAAGAAAACAACTTAAATGGCCAAGAAAAGAGAAAATGCTTGAGACAATCTCTCCTACTAAGGTGATTTAAGTGAATTATGGAATCTCACAGAATAGTATATATAGCACAAGCTCGTTTTTTAAATTTTATTTATTTTTTTTATTTTTTTGAGACAGAGTCTTGCCTTGTCACCCAGGCTGGAGTACAATGGCATGATTTCAGCTCACTGCAATCTCTGCCTCCCAGGTTCAAGCGATTCTCCTGCCTTAGCCTCCCAAGTAGCTGAGACTACAGGCGCCCACCACCATGACTGGCTAATTTTTGTATTTTTAGTAGAGATGGGGTTTCACTATGTTGGCCAGGCTGGTCTCGAACTCCTGACCTTGGGATCCACCCACCTTGGCCTGCCAAAGTGCTGGGATTACAGGCATGAGCCACCGCACCTGGCCAGCATGAACTCATTTTTGAAAAACACTGTGTCTACAATAAAAGGGCACGGCAACATCCTGGCCAGGCACAGTGGCTCACTCCTGTAATCCCAGCACTTTGGGAGGCTGAGGCGGGCGGATCACTTGAGGTCAGGAGTTTGAGATCAGCCTGGGCAACACGGCGAAACCCTGTCTCTACTAAAAATACAAAATTAGCCGGGCATGGTGGCACATGCCTGTAATCCCAGCTACACGGGAGGCTGAGGCAGGAGAATCGCTTGAACCTGGGAGGTGGAGGATGCAGTGAGCCGAGATCGTGCCACTGCACTCCACCCTGGCAAAAGAGCAAGACTCTGGCAACAAGAGTAAATCTCTGTCTCACCAAAAAAAAAAAAAGGCACACACGGCGACATCCACATCAAAGGACTGCGAGTGGGTGGATAACGGGGTGGGACTATGGGGGCTCCTTTTGCTTATTTTGCTTTCTTTCTATTTTACTATTTCTGAGATGAGAGTGCATTACATTTGCTTTAGGAAATAGAGTAAAAGACAAAGCTCAAAAATTTTTTCAGGCCGGGCGTGGTGGCTCACGCCCGTAATCCCAGAACTTTGGGAAGCTGAGGTGGAAGAATCGCTTGAGCCCAGGAGTTCAAGACCAGCCTGGGCAACATAGTGAGACCTTGTCTCTAAAAAAATTTAGTCTTTCGATTAATTTTTTTAACATTAAAATATCTCATTTGTTTCAATCCAATTCTACTTTTTCTGCCTTTTTGATATTTTAAAATGTTTTCAAACAGGGATAAAAAAAATTAAAGTTGTTCCCCAGTCTGTGAAATGGGAATAATTATATCTACCTTGAATGGTGATTACAAAAGTTAAGTGAGATGTTTTCTTTACAATTTCTTGCATAGTCCCAGGCACATAATAGGTCCTCAGTAAGCAGTGACCAATGATTCTTCTCTTGTGGACATTGGACGTGTCCTTTTTTTTTTTTTTTTTTTTTTTTTAAGACAGAGTTTCACTCTTTTTGCCCAGGCTGGAGTGCAGTGCTGCGATCTCGGCTCACTGCAACCTCCACCTCCTGGGTTCAAGTGATTCCCCTGCCTCAGCCTCCCGAGTAGCTGGGATTACAGGTGCATGCCACCACACCAGACTAATTTTGTATTTTTAGTAGAGATGAGGTTTTGCCATGTTGGCCAAGCTGGTCTCAAACTCCTGCCCTCAGGTGATCCACCCGCCTCGGCCTCCCTAAGTGCTGGGATTGCGGGCATGAGCCACCGCGCCCGACCAACACTGGATGTGTTCTAACAGGTCTTTGTGGTTGGACATTCATTTTGCCTCTTCTTTGGCCTGCAGGTTGTTTTGGTGAATTCTCCTGGGTGGACATTAGGGGGTTCTCTCATCACTTTTACTTGGAGACCTGTGATATATTTCTTTTCTTTTCTTTTCTTTTCTTTTCTTTTCTTTTCTTTTCTTTTCTTTTCTTTTCTTTTCTTTTCCTTTCCTTTCCTTTCCTTTCCTTTCCTTTCCTTTCCTTTCCTTTCCTTTCTTTTCTTTTCTTTTCTTTTCTTTTCTATCTTTTTTGAGACGGAGTCTCGCTCTTTTGCCCAGGCAGGACTGCAGTGGCGCTATCTCGGCTCACTGCAAGCTCCACCTCCCGGGTTCATGCCATTCTCCTGCCTCAGCCTCCCGAGTAGCTGGGACTACAGGCGCCCGCCACCACGCCCGGCTAATTTTTTTGTATTTTTAGTAGAGACGGGGTTTCACCGTGTTAGCCAGGATGGTCTCGATCTCCTGACTTCGTGATCCGCCCGCCTCGGCCTCCCAAAGTGCTGGGATTACAGGCGTGAGCTACCGTGCCCGGCGCCTGTGATATATTTCTAAGCGATCACTGTCCTTCCACTCCCAGCCCACTTCCCATTCCAGGCTATTCTTCACACAACAGCCAGAACTGCTCCTTTTGGAATTTGAATGGGATCGTGTTGGTTTGCAATCCTCCAAAGGCTTTCTAACATTTTTGAGACTGTGGTCTGCAAGCCCCTGTGCTCAGGCCCTGGCTGCTTCCTCAGGCTCACGTCCTGCCTTGGTTCTCCCTTGTTCCCTGTGGACCACCTGCTCTGATCTAACTGCTCTCCAACACACCAAGGCTGCTCTACCTCAGGGTCTTTGCATGTCTCGTCCCCTGTGAGGAACATCCCAGCAGTGCATGAAAGCATCTGCTCAATTTCCCCTCCCCTAATCTAGGCCTTCCTTGACTGCCCTCTCTGAGGTCATACCCCTTTTCCCTCTATCTCTTTGCCTCTCTTCCTGGCATTTACTACATGATATTAAATATTTATGTATCTATTTGATGCTCTCTTTCTCTCACCAAAATGTGAGCTTCCCAAGGAGATAGACTTTGTCCGCTTTGTTCACACCTGTTTGTCCATCCGGGACTTAGAAGGACACCTATCACCAGACTTTCGGTAAGCATTTGTTGAATGAATGAATAAAATAAGTGAATGAAGTATGTCCTTAATCTCGGCTACAAATAGTTAAGTAGGAATACTCTCCTGAAAATTGGTTAGAAATAAACAACTTTGGCCGGGTGCGGTGGCTCACGCCTGTAATCCCAGCACTTCGGGAGGCCGAGGCGGGCAGATCACAAGGTCAGGAGATGGAGACCAGGGTGAAACCCTGTCTCTACTAAAAATACAAAAAATTAGCCAGGCGTGGTGGCGGGTGCCTGTAGTCCCAGCTACTCGGGAGGCTGAGGCAGGAGAATGGCGTGAACCCGGGAGGCAGAGCTTGCAGTGAACTGAGATCTCACCACTGCACTCCAGCCTGGGCAATAGAGCGAGACTCCGTCTCAAAAAAAAAAAAAAAAAAAAGAAATAAACAACTTTAACCTCCCAAAGAGGAAACAACCCCTGAAACATGGTTGAGATTCTTAAAGAATTCCAACCACTTGCCATACCACCCACTGATGCATGGAAGTGAGTAATAGTTGGCCAGGCACGGTGGCTCACACCTGTAATCCCAACACTTTGAGAGGCCAAGGTGGGTGGATCACCTAAGGTGGATCACCTAAGGTCAGGAGTTTGAGACCAGCCTGGTCAACATAGTGAAACCCCATCTCTACTAATAATACAAAAATTAGCTGGGCATGGTGGTGCACGCCTGTAATCTCAGCTACTTGGGAGGCTGAGGCAGGAGAATCGCTTGAACCCAGGAGGCAGAGATTGCAGTGAGCCGAGATTGCACCACTGCACTCCAACCTCGGCAACAGAGCGAGACTCCATCTCAATAAATAAATAAATAAATAAATAAATAAATAAATAAAATAAAATAAAATTAGTGGTAGTTGACAAATAGGAAACAAGGATATTCATTTCCAACCAATCATCATTTTGACCAATTATCAGGTCGACCAACTTGCTTGTGGCCAGGCTCTCTTTCAGCCATGTCCCCTGGGATCAGTGTGAAGGTGTGGCCCCAGAAATGACTCAAGCTTGGGAGCCCTTGGAGAGCGTCTAATGCTGCTCACCCCACTCCAGGAGGGCAAAGTCCAGATTCTCCAGATCTGGGGGTCAGGCTGTATTTCTGTGGGAAAACCGCCCTTTCCGTCCCACTTCAGCTCCACCTGGCGTGTCCCAGTTCAGAATGACCCCTTGTCTCCCAGAGGTGTATAGGGTACCCATACCTTCATTCCCAGAAAGGTGTGAAGAGTCAGTTTTGAGAATGGCAAGGGAAATTTTCTGTGGGAAGAAGAAAGGCTAGGGTGAGGTGGAAGAGCGTCATGGAAAGGGATAGGTGGAGAAGCTGGGAGGATTCTTTGGTCCAGTTTCCATTGTATATTTTGGAAGTGATTGTGAGTGTGTGTGCGTGACAGAGAGGGAGTGAGAGCCCACCTGTGTGCTTCTGTATAAATGTGGGTGTGTTTTTGTGTCTGGGTCTGTTGAGTGTTCCTCTGGGCATCTTATGGTCATCTGCTTGTTACGTGCATGTCTCTGTGTGTGTGATTGTGTCTGTGGGTTTGTGTCTGTCTGTCTGCTTACTCACGTGTCCTTTTGGTTAGCTCTCTCTCAGTGCGTGCAGGTGTATAAGACTTGAAGCTGGTGTTGGGGTGAGGGGCGGGGAATCACTTCTACAGACAAACCAATGTGAGTCCAGCCTTCGCCTCTGCTTGCTGGAACTCTTCAGAAAGTTTGTGCCTGATTTGGAAGAAGCTGGGGAGATGGACAAGACACGGCGTTACATCGAGCCATAAGGGAGTGACAGGCTGGGTCTGGGAGTTGCAGCTGGAAAAACAGCATGAAATGAAGTGTCCGAACCCTTCTCCGTGTCCAACCAGAGACTCTCATGTAGGTCTCCAGACTCCTGAGCATGATCCACAGGGGCCGCCTGATGGGTCACTGATGAGCTCTTACTACCCTGCCCTGTGCTTTCCACAGCTTCCCAAATACCCTCTGCTCTTCCAGACTTAGATCTTTGCTGCAGACATGGCTTTGTCCTTCAGAACTTTGCTTACACAGCCTCTCCTTCCTACTTCCCCAACACTCAGCCTCCCTTGCCTGTATCCCCATAGGCCTGGCCACCCTTGCATCTGTGCACTTCCATCCTTGCTGCTCCACTCTCACCCCAGCAGGCCTGGGAGCTCCTTGAACACAGGGTCCTGGCTTATCTGATTTTGTATAATCAGAGCCCAGCACTTGGCTTAATGTAAGTAGAATATGTCAACTCGGCACAGGGAGGGAGTGGGCTGAGCCTAGCAGACTTGGGTTCCAGCCCTGTTCTGTCACGAGCTGACATGGTCCATGTCTTGCACTTGTTGGGCCTCATTTCATCCCCTGGGAGGAAGAAGAGGAGGTGGAGAGCACACGAACCACTCGCACACATGGCCCTCAGCAAATGGCTCTCGTGATTGTACAGGCTTACATAGAACACTGTTTTTCTTCTATCCTCAAAATTACCCCCTAGAAAAAAGGGAGTTGTCTTTTGTCTTGAGCTCTTGCAAAGTGCTTCGTTTTTACGAAGAACCCTCTCAATTGCTTTATTTTGAACAGCAAAGAAATGTTTGGGGAATGTACATTAGCCTAAAACCACCTCAAACAACATGGGCTTAGAATTCTTAAAGAGATAATCTGACAGAATCTGTAAGAAAAGGAGTCAGAAACATTTTACACAGATTTAGCAATTCTTCCTCGGGGTATGACCTCAAATTACAAGTGCTGGATGTCATGGCAAATAAGCCTTTTAAAGCTCGGCTTGAAAAAGCAATGCTGAGTGGTTCTTTTGTGGAGAGCACGAATATACACACACCCACAGAATGAATACAAATCCCGACTGTGCTCATGTCATGCAAATGGGATGGAGACCTTGTTTCCAGCGACAGCCTCAGATGTGGAAGCAAAAAGTGCTGGATCTCAGGGCAGTCAGATGGAAGAGAGGAGAAAGGTCTGAAAAACGAAACTGCACAATGCAAAATGTGGCTCTGTGGAGCAGACGCTTTAAAAATTTCCAAAATTTTTTTATTATTTTATTTTATTTTTTAGAGATGAGGTGTCACCCTGTCGCCCAGGCTGAAGTGTAGTGGTGCAATCATATCTCACTGCAGCCTTGAATTCCTGGCCTCATGCCATCTTCCCTCCTCGGCCTCCTTATGTGTGGCAAAGAATGGAGTAAAGCTGTTTCATGCAACACGTATATGGAGAAAAGTGATGTTTCTAAATGAATATTATTGTAAAATTATAAGTAATTTTCTGTTTATTTCTACGTTGCACAACTGAGCTAATAAATTGAATAACCAGGACTTTGCCTAGTTTATTGCCATCCCCAAAAGTTTATATATTCAACCAGGTCCAACCACATGTTTTTTTTTTTTTTTTGGTTCTTTGAATTAGGAATGGAAGGGATTGCTTTATCTTTGGGCATATGCAGGAGACTGAGCTTTTAAACCCTAATGAGAATTGACAAGAAGCTGAGTATCTGCGACCCAGTTTGAAGATTTTTTTTTTCCTCTTAGATTTGTCTTTGTGTTTGGAGAAAGATAAAGAGGAACATTGAGAAAATGCTCTCCTAAGGAAGAAAGGAGAGAATTCCAGAGGAGTTGCACAAACACTGTCATGACATGGGAGAATCAGCTGCTTTCTAAGATGAGAAAGACAACTACGGCTCCATCTATTGGATACTCACCACGAAACTAGCATCATTCCGAGCACGTTTCCTAAATTACTGTTTCCCCTAATCCTACTTATAAAGTAGGCATTATTATTATTTGCGCTTTACAGATAAAGAAACTGAGGTTTTTAGAACTTGCCCAAGTCCCACAGATAGGACTTGCTGAAGCTAGAATTAAGAACCAGGCCTGACCTCTTAATCACCGCCTTGTAGCAGCTCTTCTGAACATTTCCTACTGTTTGCGCAAAGTGATTACATCAGAAAGGCAGGAAAGTGTTCTAGGGAGGAACTGTAACTCAATTCCTCTGGTCACTCCTCGTTTGCTGGGCTTTGTGGATCTTCCCACATATTTCATCACTAGAGAGCTGGGGCCTCAAAGCCGAATGCATAGGGAGGCCATGAATGCAATGGAGAGGAGTGAAGGGGCCGGGGCAAGCAATCGGGAGAGGTGGGGGCTGTGGAAAAACAGAGTGCCCATCCCTCTCTCAAGGTGGGCAGAGATACTGCTCCAGCCCATTGTTGTCATTCAAATCATGGTCCCACTATGACCAGGTCTTCAAATATTTTCAGATAGACAGCCAGATTTTTGAGTGAAGGGTTATATTTAAGAGTTGATCGCTAGCTCAGGTGAGTTTTTCCAAACCCATGTAGAACGGACAAAACACATGCAGTGCTGGAGCTGCCACTTGAGCTGCTGCATTGCCACCTCTGTGTCTGGACACTGCTCTACCATGAGGCAGGTGGGATAGTGCTGGCGTCAGCATCCTAAACCATAGATTCACATCCCACCACTGCCCCTATGTACCTGGGTAGCCTTCCCGAGCTTCAGTTTTCCTGTCTGTAAAATGGGAAACACTGATCGTCCTTACTTTATGGTTTGTTGAGAAGAGCAAGAACACACTCGAGTGTCTGACTGACATGGCAAACCTACTGTGTTTCTGGCTAATTCTCGTTTCCCTGCCTCCTGTCACCTGTACTGCCTCCACAGTCTCCCTGATTGGAGCACCATTATCTTCTTTCTGCCCCGTCTGGCAGAAGTGCAGACATCTTCTTTGAGCCCTGTTTTTGTTTTTTGATTTTGTTTTGTTTTTAAAAGACTCTGCTTTCAGAGCTTTCCATTGGCTGGCTCCTTCTTGCTCACATGCCACCTCTTCGGAGGGCGGGGGCAGTCTACCTTTTTTGATGTTGCCACCTGTCTCCCATGGCACATCATCGTCACGCTGCTACCACATTGCTTTTTCAGTAGCCTCATCATGATCGTGTTTATTTACTTGTTTCAGAGTTTATTGCCTGTTTTCCCAAGTAGAGCAAGAACCTCACGGGTCTTTGTTCACTGTTGATTGCCAGCACCCAGAAGACTTGGCACATAATAGGCCCTCAATGGATGTCCGCTGAATAAGTGAATGTGTGCCGAGTGCTGTGTAAATATGAGATACAATATGATACCATGGCCATTAGGAGCTGTTTCGTTAGACAGCAGAAAGGAGAGAGGCTACTTAGAGAGGGCTCTGGGGCTTGCCTGGAATCTTGCTTTAAATCAGCATCAGGTCATGCCTATTCCTTGCTCTTTTACCCAGTAAAATGTTTTTGCTTGAGAAGCTATTACAGAGATAGAGATAATGCCTCCTGGAACACAGATAGAATCAGAAATACAGAATTACACTTTAAGCCGGCTGAAGAGCTCACAAAATCAGGCAAGCCAGCCTGGGGAAGGTGGGGAGGCTGGAATCAGGGAAGGATGAAAGAGGAAGGGGACATCTTAGGGATGTCCAGGGCCCTGCTATCTGAGGAGGGAGCAACTGGCACTTTAACCCATTCCCTTCCTTCTCTTTTCCAACATTGGGGTCTCAGATTTTAGATTGTTTGAAAGACCCCTCGCTATCTTCTGGCCTCTTGCAGTTTGGGGATGTGACTAACACCCCTTCTCAATGTTCTGTTAGTCTTTCTGAGTACCTAAAAAGAAAGTTTGGATTGTTGCTACTTTGTCCTTAATACTGCCTCTGAAATTTGCTGACCTAGCTTTTGACCAGATTCTGCTGGGGCAGGAGTGTCTAGTGAGACTTAAAAGTTGTTTACTTTGACAATTTGTCTCTGCCTATGACAGGTGCCACTTCCATTTCCATTAGTGAGCAAAAGTTTCCTTTTATTTATTTATTTATTTATTTTTTGAGACAGAGTCTTGCTTTGTTGCCCAGGCTGGACTGCAGTGGTGTGATCTCAGCTCACTGCAACCTCTGCCTCCCGGGTTCAAGCAATTCTTCTGCCTCAGCCTCCCGAGTAGGTGGGACTACAGGCACGTGCCACCACACCCGGCTAATTTTTGTATTTTTAGTAGAGACGGGGTTTTGCCATGTTGGTCAGGCTGGTCTCGAACTCCTGACCTCATGATCCACCAGCCTAGGCCTCCCAAAGTGCTGGGATTACAGGCGTGAGCCACCATGCCTGGCCAAAAGTTTCCTTTTAGAATAAATGCTCTTATGCTTAAAAAAGAGGGAGGGTAGATTTATCTTAGAGGAGGATATAAAGTAAGGAATTGCGCACATGGCATGTGGATGTGATACTCCTGCTGTTGGGGTGGAAGCGCGAGTGGCTGGTGTTAAATGCAGCCTCATGGGACATGTTCTCAAACAACTCCAAGATGTGGCCCCGGTGCAACTTGCAAACTTTGTTGCCTTTTATTCCCCTTCATTTAGGATATTTGCCCCAAGCTTAACTCCTCCCTGCTTTTCCATGCCCCTGCCTCTGGGCTTTACTCACTCTGTTCCCCCTCCTGGCCTGCCCTTCTTTCACATACCATGGCCTACAAGATGCAACTCAGATTCAGCTTAGCTACCGGCCTTCCTTAACTCTTTGCGCCGCCTTTACAATAATAACAGCTACTGTGTAAGTACTTCTTATTGGCCAGGCACTATAGGAACATGCGTATTGAAGGCTGCAGCAATCTGAGAGGTTTGTCCTTATTAAGGGCTGTGGTCAGGACCTGAGCTGAAAGCAACAGGTGCTTAACCTCCTCACTCTTGGTCACCCTTGCCTTTTCTGTGCAGACTCAGAGTCACCTGGGTTTGTCTTCTGCTCTGAGATGGGGAAGTCCTTTTTTTTTCTTTTTTTTCTGTTTGTTGTTGTTGTTGTTGTTGTTGAGACACAGTCTCACTCTGTTGCCCAGGCTGGAGTGCAGCGGTGTGATTTTGGCTCACTGCAACCTCTGCCTCCCCGGTTCAAGCAGTTCTCCTGCCTCAGCCTCCCAAGTGGTTGGAATTACAGGTGCATGCCACCACGCCTGCCTAATTTTTGTATTCTTAGTAGAGACGGAGTTTCATCATGTTGGCCAGGCTGGTCTCAAACTCCTGACCTCAGGTGATCCTCCCGCCTCGGCTTGCTGGGATTACAGGTGTGAGCCACTGTGCCCGGCCTGGGAAAGTCCTTAAAGACACATTTGTGAATCACTCTCCAACCGTGGAGGGGCTGGCATCTTTCGTGGATTCTGTGAGCCTTGAACCAGATTTTGTTGCCATTCTCCTGATATTCAAGCTGGGTGGGGCTGCAAACCTTTAGTGGGAATATGTAACAAAAAAGTAAGTATACTAATTATTTCAGGAGATAAGTCCTCACCTACCTTCGAATCCTTGTAAAAGTGGGGTTCCCACTGGGGGTGGTGTCCCAGAGTAGTGGAACAGCCGGAGCTTGAGTTTTCTCTCCACAGGACCCTGGGCAACAACTTTCTCCAGCTCTTTGAGCCTCAGTTTCTTCATCTGTAAAACAGGGCTGCTGGGAGGCTGAAGTGCAATCAAGAAAATAAAATGTCTGACCCTGGGCCTGCACGTAGTAGGTCCTTCATTCATCCCAGCTGGCTTTCTGCCCACCTCTTCTCATCCTTCCTGCCCTTGGCTTGCGTGGCACGTTCCCATGTGCACAGGTCATTCAGACTGTTTGGATAGACGACTGTTTCACTAGCAGGAGACCTTTGAGCAATTGACTGCTGAAACCTCACTTTCCTAATCTGTGAAATGGCGATGATAATCTATTTACCCCCAAGGCTTGTTGTGAGCATTAATAAGATAATGTGGGATTCATAAATAGTACCTGGCACATAGAAAATTATCTCTTACAAGACATGCCTCTAAACCATCTCATTCATCAACCAAATCTGAACCATCCAATCCCCTTTAACTTCTTGTATTTTTCCCGCCTTTCTTGCTTACAGCCACAGAAAGATTTCAAATTCCACGGTAAGTACCAGGTATGAAGAGGCAGAGATAGGAAGGAAATATATGTACAAAGTTGAGGGCTCCTAACAGCTTGAATTACTGAACATGGGACAAAGACATGGAAAATCTGACTTAAATGTGTAATTCACCTGAAGTTCTCTTCAAAGTCCAGTTTTTTTCACTTTGTTCCAAACGTTATCAAGACAAACAGATGCTCCTAAACTGGGAAAATCCAGGTTATGGTGAAGTGAAAAAAATGTTCAGTTCAAGGCCTCATGTACCTATTTTACATCCACTGAGGGCCTTTGGACCCAAAGTTGAAAGATCATCCTGGTGTGTCCAGTCTTAACGGCGAACACAGACATGGGAGGAAGTGCTCCTGGAGGAGCTCCCTGGTGCTGAGAGAGGGGGTGCTGCAGGATGGAAAGAGGAGAGGTCAGAGCAGTTCCAAAAAGGCAATAGCCAAGACACTGATGAGGCAGAATGAACATTTCTGGTGAGGCTCCAATAGCTGGCCTTGGAAACCATGTCCTGGGGCATCATTTAGGATTTATCATTTGCAAGCACAGAAACAGACATTCACTGACTAAGGGGAGAAGGGGCATACTGGAGGGAGGTTGAGCAGCCATAAAGTGGACAGAAAGCCACACTCGGAAAAGGACAGAAACTGGAGTTCTCTGGGGCTTCTGAGGGCCAGAACCGCTGGACAGCCTCATCGGTGATGGGATGTGATGGGCTCCAAGGGCTTGTGTTTTTTCTTTCTCTGCATCACTTGGTTTACAATTCCAAGCCCAGGGAGAGAGACCTCGACTGTTTTAGCTGAGATCACATACCCACCCAAGACTACAGGGTGAGTGGCGGGCACTTCAGGTGATAGCGACCCCATAACCGCACCTAGAAAAGGAGGGGTACTTCTCCAGCTAGAAATGAGAGTGATACAACGATGCGGGACTACTATATCCAGTACAATGTCTAGCACGGTGAGTGGGCCAGCTCCTGGAGAGTGACAGAGAATGATGGTTCACTGCCTTTTGATCCTGTATTTATTAGCCTTCAGTCTAAGCCAGGCCCTGTGTTAGGTGCTAGGAAAAAAGATGAATGAATAAAGGAGTCCAAGGCTGTGAACCCGTTCCTTGACGCCAATTCCCTGCCTTCTAGGAGTGAATTTTCTAGAGCTAGGGAGGTATGAAATCGAGACAGCTAGAGGATGGGAGTGGGCCCCAGGGGCTGCCCATGATAGGTCCTTAATGATGTTTGCTGAGGGAGTGGATGTCAGAACAGCAAGGACAGAAAGAGCCTTGCTTAGGGGAAACTGCAAGAAGTGGCTTCCCCAGGCCACTTTTACTCCCACACCAATGGAGTCTCAAGACTTGCTTGGCTGAAACATCTTCACAAGATTATCAAAGCCTAAAATTTTTGGCAAACACTGGGACAAATCAGGCATAGGGAGGCACAGCCCAAAAGCCTCATTTGAGGAGGTCGACCCTGGAGGAGGTGGTCTCACATATCCCTCCCCAGCAGTCATCTGTCAGGAGCCCCATGTCCTGATGGCAGGGTGACAGGGCACACAGTAGGCTCAGGATGTGGTCATGGAAGGAAGGAAGAGACAGGAGGAAGACAGGAAGGGACAGAAGAAATGCATAAGCAAGAAGGGAAGGAACTTCAAAATGAACAAGCAATGGGAATATGAAAAACTGAATACATAAATGAATTATGAGAGGAAAGCAGGCAGGCAGGGGGAAATGGAAGAATAAATGTATGCAGGTTTAAGAGAATCCAGACCCTACCATTTACTAGCTGTGTGATCCCAGGCTCATCCTATTACTTAGCCTCTGGGGCTTCATTTTCCTCATCTGTAAAATGGGCCTAATTCTGGCACCTCTCCCAGAAGGTCATGGTGAAGACCACATGAGGGGATGGATGCTAAGCACTTGGCTTGGCGGGAGAGCTCAGAGCGTGTCAGATATTGTAACTAACAGGCTGAAAGATGCAAGTGAATGAATGAATTAATAAAAGAAACCAGGAGGAGGGAGAGAGGATCAGGAGAAGACAGTGAAGGGCCTTCATCTGGTTCTCTCTGTATCTTTTGTGGCCAGCCAGGGCTAGAGACTGTCAGCCTCACAGACAGGGTACCTCTCCCACCCTGCCCAGGCCCAGCCTGTTTGATTTCAGGAGGAAGATAAGATGCCTGCACTGCTTTTTCATCTCCTGCGTCTCCAGCCCTTCCCCCATTTCACCACCCCCTTGGCAATTGGGGCCTTCAAAGTCCTTGCTGGCTCCAGATCTGTAGATAATCGTTTACTGTAATCCTACCCAGGAAAGGAGCTGATAAAGTCCAGATGGAGTGTGAGGTCTTCAAACTCACTTTCTCTGCCCAGATAACGCTGCTGGGGCCTCTCAGGAGTCCCCTTCTCTCCTAGGGGGAGAGACAAAGCGGGCAGTGGTTGTGTAGCACATGCATTGTAGCACATGACTTGTTTATTAGGAAAATCTCTCGATCTCCTGGGCATGGTTCAGGGAGGGTGGGTGGATGGAGAAGGAGCACTAGATTTGAAGTCAGAACAGATTGGGTTCCAATTAAAATGGCAGCATGAATCCCCATTTTCCAGAGTACTGGGAGCATTCAGGAATGCACTGGACATGGAAAGACCTGGGCCAGGGGGAAGGCTGAGGCCTTACCTTTGTTCTGTGAGGATCTGGCACGTCAGTCAGACTTCCCCAGGTGGCCCAGGGAGGCTCTCCTCGCACCTGAGCCACAGGACGGAAACCAGCTGGGTCCCGGACCTACCCACCGGAGGCAGCCGTAAGACCCTGCCTTGCAGTCAGACAGGCCTGGTTTGATTTCAGCCCTTTCCTTCACTGGCTGTGTGACCTTGGGCAGGTTGCCAAAGCTCCCTGGGCTTCAGTTTCCTCATCTGCAAAGGGCGTGCTAATAATCCCCACCTCAGCGGCTGGTTGAAAAAAGTCAAATGAAATAGCAGACAAGAAAGCACGCTGTGATTAGGAAAACATGCAAAAGCAAGAGGCTACTCTTCTCGCCACTATCAAAGTGGAGAGGCCATGTGGTTAGACGTGGTCAGGGGATGAGGGAAAGTTCCACCCACATACTCAAGACCCAGTGCTCCTGGCCACAGTAACACCCATCGGCCCATCTGATCCCTGAGCTCCCCTGAGGAGGTCCACGACTTTCCAGGTTAAGGTGTGGTCCTGGGCTGTGGGGTGGAGGCCCAGGGCAGTGGCAGCTCTGGACATGCCCTGCAAAGGGTGAGGGATCAGGGATGGGCTAGGGGCCCCCGAGGGGGAGGGCTTTGACTTCGCATCATTCCCCCGCCTCACCCCCTTGCTTTGACTTTCTATCCCTTTCATAGACCCATTACGTAAATCCATCCAGATTGAAGATCTGACCCTACCTACTTCTAAGAGGATTTAGAGTATTTTAAGATTAAAACCCAGAGCAAAATAAGTCTTTTAAAGACATTGTCTGCTGCTCAATCTCATAATGAGAAAAATGCAACCGAAACTACAAGAGATGCCCTTTGTACTTACCAGGTTGGCAGAGATGAGAAGCCTGATAATGCTCTGAGCTGGTGAGTTTGTAGGGGAGCAGGCATGCTCACCACTGTTTGAGACAGGGAAACATGTGTACAGCCTCTTTGGAAGGCAACTGGGTTATAGTTGTTAAAATTAAAATGTGCTTTTTTTTGGACCCTGCAATTCTAGCATTTTATCTCCCAGTTATACTTGCAAACATGGGCAAAGGCATGAATACAAGGATTTTCGCTGTGGCTAATGCCTGTAATCCCAACACTTTGGGAAGCCAAGAGAGGCGGATCACTCGAGGTCAGGAGTTTGAGACCAGCCTGGCCAACATGGTGAAACCCTGTCTCTACTAAAAAATACAAAAAAATTAACCAGGCATGGTGGTGGGCGACTGTAATCCCAGCTACTCGGAAGCCTGAGGCACGAGAATTGTTTGAACATGGGAGGCGGAGGTTGCAGTGAGCTGACATCACGCCACTGCACTCCAGCCTGGGCAACAGAGCGAGACTCTTAATAAAAAACCAAAAAACCAAAAAAAAACCCAAGAATTTTAATGGTACAATTACACATTGAGAAAAACATGAAAAGTACCTAAATGCCTATTATTAGGGAACTGGATTAATAAATTACATCGTAGCCATTCAAAGAAACATAACACAGTCTAGAGCATGTATAGTATGCTCTTCTGGGTGTGTGTAGAGGATATACACAGAGACTTGTATGTGCACAAACAAGCTTTGAACTGACTACAATAATTGCGTCTAGGGAGGGGAGCTGAATGCCTGGGGCTCACAAGTGAGGGGAGATTTACACATCACTATATTTTAAAACTATCTGAACTTTTTACTATATGTATGTATGAATTATAAAATAAATAAATATCTAAAGATGCTCCTGTCAAAAAAAATCAAGAAAACGTCAACAATCAAAACCAGAAAACACCACACACACACACACATACACACACACACACACACAGACAACACATCTGAAATTCCCCATAGGACGGCATAGCAGTTTACCTACCCAGACACTCAATAAATATTAAAAACAAAGTTTTGAATTACCTCATGAAGGAAGCAGAGTAAATGTTCTCTGGCACTTGAACTGAACAGATTTATAATACTTGTGCAATATATTTTGCTGTCAGTTTGCGGATACAAAGAAAAAATGGCAAACAGGTTACACTACATAGTTTGCATTTTCTGACATCAGAAAGTCCATACGTTAGTCTACTGAGATAACATTTCTCTTGAACCAACAAGCAATTAGCAGCTTCCCCCTTGCTCTCTGGACCCTCCCCAGAAACCTGAAATACTGATGGGTTGGTGTCACTCTGTGAGTCTCAGTTCCCTGATCAGCAAAACAGGCAAAATAACCTCTCCATAGTGTTGTGAGGAATAATTGGAAACATGTGGGTACCAGCACATTGCAGAAGCTTTGAAGGCACTCAATAGGCATTAGTTTCTCTCCCTTCCTTTAAGCACTGGAAAAGACTAATTACTCTGGGCCAATGACATTTACCTTCATGTCTCACTTGATACAGCAAATTTCAGTGCAGTTACAATGACTGTTTTACCTCTGGATTAGTGGAAAATGGTCATCCTCATTCAGAAATGAGGGTGCCATCTTCCTGGAAACAATTGGCCAAGCCTGATTACATGTAGCAACTATGAATTACACATTATAGAGTACTGACATTACTTTTCAGTTCTTGGCTAGAACTGACATTATTTTACAGTTCTTCATATTCAATGGAAACTTGGCTAAGTTAACTATTCCTCATTGATATAATTAAGAGTTTCTATTCAGGTGCTCTGGGTTCCAGGTTTTTCTCTAGGAGAGTCATGTTATATTCAGATGCATTTAGACTGGGTGTGGTGGATCTTGCCAGTAATTCCAGCACTTTGGGAGGCTGAGGCGGGTGGATCACCTAAGGTCCAGAAGTTAAAGACCAGCCTGGGCAACATGGCGAAACCCCTTCTCTACCAAAAATACAAAAATAAGCCGGGCGTGGTGGCTCACGCCTGTAATCCTAGCTACGTGGGAGGCTGAGGCACAAGAATCACTTGAACCTGGGAGGTGGAGGTTGCAGTGAGTTGAGATCGCGCCACTGCACTCCAACCTGGGTGATAGAGTAAGACTCCTTCTCAAAAAAAAAAAAAAAAAAAAAAAAAAAGAAGATGCGTTTAGCTGCAAGCAACGGCAACCCTAACTCAAGGTAAAACAGATAGAGTGAGCTTTAGGTACAATTGATTCAGCAACCAAATGATGACATTGGAAAGCCAGGTTTCTTCCATCTTTCCGGCCTGCTATTCTTACGGCTGGCTTCACCCTCAAGTTGGTAGCAAGATGGTTGCTGCAGATCCAGGGTTCCAACTAAACACTAAAACATCCTGAGGAAGAAAAGAAACCATCATTTTTCCTAGTTCCGTCTTAGGAGCAAGGAAACTAAGAAGTTACTCAGTACACTTCTCACATCATAGGCTGGAGATGGGTCACATGCTCATTCCCAAACCAATCATGGAAAAGAGCATGGTTACCTTTGGACCAATCAGGCTTTCCCCTGGAGCTAGGGGGTGGGCTGGCTGCCGGGGAGCCAATTGTACCTGCTGCATTGTCATATGCAGACAAATTTTAAAATGGCTTCCCATGATCCTTAACTCTCACACCTTTGTGTAATTCTCTCCCTTTAAGTGTGGGTGGGACCTCTGGTTTCTAACCAAGAAAATATGACAAAGGTGATGAAATGTAACTCCTATGATTACCTTACATTGTGAAAGTTTCTGTCTTGTTAACTGACTCACTCTAGAGACTCTCTTTGTTGGCTTAAGGAGGTGAACAGCCATGTTGGAAAGCCTATATGGCAAGGAGAAGCTGCCTCTGGGAGCTGAGAGCACCCTCTAGCCCACAGCCAACAAGATGCTGAGGGCTTGCCTCTTCCAACCACAAGGAAATGAATTCTGCCAACAGCCCAAGCTAGTTTGGAAGTGAACTCTTCCCTGTCAAACCTCCAGATGAGAACACAGCCCTGTCAACACCTTGACTGCAGCCTTGAGAAGATCTTAAACAGAAAACCCGACTAAGTGGTGCCTGGATTCCTGACCTACAGAAACAGTGAGAAAATGCATGTGTGTTTTAAACTACTAAATAGGTAGTAAGTTGTTATGCAGCAATAGAAAATTAATACAGTCAGTATCTTTTTGTTTTAATCAGTGACAATGATTTAATTTTTAAAAATGTTTTGTGCCAGTGAGGAAGAAAATAGCTTTGCCTGGAGAAATATGTTGAAAAGAGCTTTGGAGGAAGGGGTCTTTCCTCAGGGTCTGGGTGGCAGCAGGTGGCAAATTCTCAGAGGATGTGGGAAACTGCTCTGTAAAAAAAAAAAAAAAAAAAAAAAAAAAAAAAAAAATGGAGAAAGCTCAGAAGGAATTTGAGCTTCCAGGAGCTTTGGGAACAGAGAGGGTAAAGGAGGAGAGTCTGAGTCTTCAGGGATTATGGAGAGTGTGCACTTCAGGACTGGCCTTGACTTGCATCCTTCTCAAACCTTTAGTAAGTTCACATAAGCTTCATATGAGTGCCCAGTGGTGGGTCAGGCAAAGAGGAGCGCAGTTTCACTTCTGGGTTGAGCAGGTATAGAAAAAGGCAGAGCTCTGGAGGCGGGTCCTGGAGGACCAAAGCTCCCATAACACCATCTCCTCAGTAGGGGCAGAGTGTATTCATTCGCTAGGGCTCCCGTAACGAAATACCACAAACTGTAAGACAGTGGCTTCAGCAACACGATTTATGGTCTTACAGTTCTGGAGACTGGAAGTCTGAGATCAAGGTGTTGGTAGGGTTGGTTCCTTCTGAGGGTTCTGAGGAAGGAACTGTTCTATGCTTCCTGCCTAGCTTCTGGGGGCTGCTGGCAGTCCTTCACATTCCTTGGCCTGTAGAAGCACCATCCCAATCTCTGCCTTCATCTTCCCATGGCATTCTCCGTGTTTGTGTGGGTTCGAGGGGTGGGGCAATCTCCAAATTTCTTTTTCTAATAAGGATGGCAGTTATATTGGATTAGGGGTTCACCCTACTTGGATGTGGCTGTACTTTAGCTAATTAAGTCTACAGCAACCTATTTCCAAATAAGGGCACATTCCAAGGTACTGGGGGCTGGGACTTCAACATATAAATTTGGTTGCCAATCTCCATGACATGGAGGTTGGCAGGAATCTGGGGTAGCACTAGATTTCTACCAGCTATGGAGTTGGGTTAGAAGAGGTAATTTTGGCTTCATTTGAAGAGGTTGATAGGGCCTAACTGATATCACCATGTGAAGAAACTTTCCAAGATTTGTCTGAAATTGCTCAAACATAACAGTATTCTTAGGAGCAGTTGCTTCCTCAAAACATTCTGCAAAATGCCCAATAACCATTTCCCTGAGAACAGTGTGTCCTGCTGTCCCACAGCCCTGCCATGCCATTCTTTTAACTATGATTTGTGTCTCATCTCTCCAGTGGCAAGGAGAAAGTGCTTGAACTTTGCTCCTCTTAGTGGGGAAAAAGTCCTGCAGATGAGATCAGGGATGAAGAGGCCAGCCTCCCTGGAGACAGGGTTGGATGCTCCAACACTTCCTGGATGCCACTGTCAAATGGCACAGCTCAGCGTTTCCTTGCCAGAGATGAGTAACCTTTGGGCGTTTCCCATTCTTCTCCTATCTGGAGACCCAGCCACCAAGACAACAGGTCTAATTGACTGCAATTAACTATCTACATGTCCTTTTTAAAGAGCACTCTTGCTTGAATTCTCTAATTGACTCATTTTCTTCTGTGACAACACAGGCTAAAAAGTGGTATTTCAAGGGAGAATGAGGCAGAGCTTATTACATTATCAACAGTTCAACTCAGCATGTGCTGAGGAGATAGAGGCAGTGTCCTTGGAGGCAGAAAAGACACTCATTCTTGTCTCTATGAAAGACAGCTTTCACAGATTGATTTCTCCCTCCCTTCACCTCTCCCTTCCTTTCTTTCTCTCTCCTTCCACTTAGTGTATGCCAGGCACTAAATTCACAGAATGTTAGAACTATAATGATCTTAGAAACTATCTAACAAGGGCCGGGCACGGTGGCTCACGCCTGTAATCCCAGCACTTTGGGAGGCCGAGGCGGGCGGATCACGAGGTCAGGAGTTCGAGACCATCCTGGCTAACACAGTGAAACCCCGTCTCTACTAAAAAACACAAAAAATTAGCCAGGCGTGGTGGTGGGTGCCTGTAGTCCCAGCTACTTGGGAGGCTGAGGCAGGAGAATGGCGTGAACCCAGGAGGTGGAGCTTGCAGTGAGCCGAGATGTGCCACTGCACTCTAGCCTGGGCTACAGAGCAAGACTCCGTCTGAAAAAAAAAAAAAAAAAAAAAGAAATGATCTAACAAGATTTCCAGATAGGGGAACGGAGGCTCAGAGAAGGGAAGCAACCTGTTCAAAGTTACACAGCTTTGTGAATACCAAACTTAACTCAATTCCAGGCTCAGGGGTTACTTCATGACCATCATGAATATTTTGGGAAGAGATAAACCATACTGGATTTTCCTGTAAAGGAGAGCTATGAAAAGTTGTTCTCTATTCACCACCATGGCCCTCCCCGACCCCTTCGGCCCCCCCGCCCCCGATAATGATCTGGTCGATAGATTGATTTCCGAATTCGCTTTTTAAGACTCTAGCTTTCTTTATTTGTTTTCTCATTGGAACCAAGATGTTTTTCTAAAGGACAACAATTCTGGAGATGTGCCTGGTACAAACCTAGAATAAAGGCAGAGAAAGAGCCAATGGCAAGAAGATTCATTACACAGCAACAGAACAAGCAAACAAAGCAGCAGCAGCAACAACAACAACAAAACCATGGAGTTTGTTGGCAAAAGCTGATGTGGCTCAGGTTCTGAGGTTCTCAGGTTCTGAAATCAGGTTCTGATTTCAGGTTCTCTGGAACAGTGGCCCAACCTTTGTGAATCTGGAGGGAAGCCACTCAAAGCCAGCCACTAAAATCACCTTACAAACGGCCTTCGCCAAAACTTACTGTCACATGACACTGAGCAATAAGCCCAGAGCCGTGAGTCCCTGGAGTGCTGCAGAAGACAGCCTTCGTGGAGACGATGATCCGGGATTCCAATGAGACATGGGTTCTCCACTTCGTCTCGCCATGCCATGGCACAGATTGACCTGTTACAGGTCAGTGCTAGTGCATCTTTCCTCCCTGGTTTGCTTTCAATCAGAATTCCCTCCTTGGTCTCAGCTGAAGAAGGGCAAGTGTAGCAGCTGTATTCTTACGCAAGAACTTTGGAGGCAGTCCCAGGTCGGAATTCCAGCTCTGCCACTACTGGTTGCGTGATCTAACACACATTACTCAAGCTCCTCATGCTTCAGTTTCCCCACCTGTTTCACGGTGGTAATAACAGTACCTGGTTTATTGCGAGGATGAAATGAAATGAGGTATGGAAAGGACTTAGCACAGTGCCTGGAAGATGGGGGTGGCTCAGTAAGCCCTGATTCCTTCCCCGCTCAAGGCCTGAGAGAGTGTACTAGACTCATGGACTCACAGCTGCAAGTCACCGTGGATGATCCTTTCCACCACGGCTGCAAGAGCTTTCATGTGGCTAAGGTCATCCTCCAGGGAGCTTGCTAAAAATGGAGATTTCCAGATTCCACCCCCGGAAGATCTGATTTAGCAGATTTGGGTTGGGGCCCAGGCATTTCTCTGCATCTTAACCAGATTCTGAGGGACCCATGAGGCACACTTTGAGAGACCTCTGCATATAGTCAACCTGTGACTGCAAGAGGGGAAGGGTCGTGTCACCTCTGTCTGCTTCACTGTTTCTCCCCAGGGGAGTGCATGACACATGATAGGGGCTCATGGGCCAAATCTCTTAAAACAAAATGAAATCAGCCAGGCTCAGTGGCTCACACCTGTAATCCCAGTATTTTGGGAGGCCGAGGTGGGTGGATCACCTTAGGCCAGGAGTTCAAGACCAGCCCGGCCAACATGGTGAAACCCCATCTCTGCAAAAAACTAAAACATTAGCCGGGTGTGGTGATGGGTGCCTGTAATCCCAGCTACTTGGGAGGCTGAGGCAGGAGAATCACTTGAACCTGGGAGGCGGAGATTGCAGTGAGCCGAGATCGCACCATTGCGCTCCAGCCTGGGCAACAAGAGTGAAACTCCATCTCCAAAAAAAAGAAAAAAGAAATCTCTAGTTCAGAGGCCCCAAACTCAAGTGGTCACAAAATCAGCAGGCTGGGAGGAACTGTTGACAACTGGGACTTAGGTTTCCTGAAGAAGTGGCAGCTGCTACCCAGCTCCTGCCCACATCTGCCCTCTTGGACAGCAGGCCCAGCATTGTCAGATTTCCCAGATTTTTGCAAAAGAATAAAAAAATGTAGAAAGTAGTGTTGAATCTCCTAATTTTTACAAGTTGGAAATAATTGACAACTAATTAAAAAAACAGCTGGGCACGGTGACTCACGCCTGTAATCCCAGCACTTTGGGAGGCTGAGGCTGGCAGATCACGAGGTCAGGAGATCGAGACCATCCTGGCCAACATGGTGAAACTCTGTCTCTACTAAAAATACAAAAATTAGCTGGGCATCGTGGCATGCGCCTGTAGTCCCAGCTACTCGGGAAGCTGAGGCAGGAGAATCACTTGAACCCGGGAGGTGGAGGTTGCAGTGAGCCGAGATCACGCTGCTGCACTCCAGCCTGGCGACAGAGCAAGACTCTATCTCAAACAAACAAACAAACAAACAAAAACTCACTTGTGGGCCAAACAAGACATGTCTGTGGGCCTGACGTGGCCCGTGGGCTGCCAGTTGGTCATTTGGGGTCTGATCCCACATTCTCATGTGACAGATGAAGAAACTGGGGACCCAAGAGGGGATGGGAGTTACCAAAGCTTTGCAGTCAGGGGCGCTTTGGAGCCAGGATTGGACTCTGCTTCTGCTCTGCAGTGGTCGGTGCCTTTACCAGGCACAGAGCAGCAGGGAAGTGTCCGCCTCCAGAAGCATCCACAGGGCTTCCCCCAAGCCAGGTCTCCAGGCTCTCTGGGTCGTCTCCCTAGTCCTGCTCAGCCACCACTGGGAGATGAGGAGAAGGCTTCTGGGGCCGAGGCCAAGCCTGCAGCGGAGCTTACTCATCGCCCTGCTGCCACCTTCGCCTTTGATGTCTCGATGTTCCAGTTCTGGCACCCGGGAGGCCGCGGCACCAGGCTGCCTGCCCCTGCAGCATCCTCACACCAGAACGGCTTTTGGCAGGGTTTTCCGGGGACTTCAAAGGTGGAAAATTGCCCTGGGATAACTTCTTGAAGGCGCCGTACTGGTGTGAACAGCAGCAAGGGGAACAGTGAGATCAAAGTGGTCCCCAGCCCCCGGTTACAGGAAGATGAGGCCCAAGCCCACTCTCTGCTGAGCGCGGGGCATGAGCTGGGGCCTTCGTGGCAGTGCAGAGTTACGTGGTCAGATTCAGAATCCACCTTCTCACCCGCTCCCCTCTTGGTATTACCGGAAGCCCTGGTGTGATTGGCAGGGATTATGCTGACTAAGTGTTTCTCACCCTGTCTTCTGAGCCCGTGGCCTATTCTTTGGCTTTCTTGGGCCTCCCCAGGCACAGCCCTGTGTCTGAGGAGGAGGGGCCACTCGGTGTGACCTACTGGGAGCCCGCGACTGTGCGAGCACAGGGCAGCCAGCCAAGTGCTGATAAATTTCTTCCTCTTGGGAAGTGCCAGGCAGCGCCCCAAAAGGGAAGTGATCCGTGGGCCAATCTGCTAATGATTTATTGCTTGGTCTTCAGGCCTGGTACCTGTGGCTCCAGCTGCAGTCGGGCTGTCTGGAGAACCCTTCCAGCAGGCATCAGGGAGCTTGAGGTAGGAAATCAAGCTGCCAGCCACCAGCCACCAGCCACTGCCACCACCGCGGCCCTTGCTACCCAGAAAGGGCTGCTTCTGTTTGTTCTGTTTTGTCTTTTTTTTTTTTTTTTTTTGAGACGGAGTTTTTGCTCTGTTGCCCAGGCTGGAGTGCGATGGTATGATCTCGGCTCACTGCAACCACTGCCTCTTGGGTTCAAGTGATTCTCCTGCCTCAGCCTCCCGAGTAGTTGGGATTACAGGTGCCCACCACCACGCCCAGCTAATTTTTGTATTTTTAGTAGAAACAGGGTTTTACCATGTTGGCCAGGCTGGTCTCGAACTCTTGATCTCAGGTGATCCACCTGCCTCGGCCTCCCAAAGTGCTAGGATTATAGCCACAGAACAGGAGCAGGGCTCTAATGACCAGCACAGGGCACTCTGTAGAGTGACGTGTTGGCACTCAGCTCTGGGGCTTGCTTGGCGCTGTCAAAATTACCCGGAGACTCGATGCTAACAAGCAGCTGGAGCGAGAGGAGGAGTCCTGCCCTGCGCGGCTCAGCAACTGCTCACCACCATGTTTTAAACATGAAAGAATTCCTTGTTTACAAAAGCAGTAAGTGCCCATGGTAAAAAATTTCAAACAGGCTTAAAATGAAACATATCTCCCCTTTTCCAGTCTCACCCCCAAGAAATAAACAATGTCAGAAGTTTCTGGTTTGAGAAAACATGTATCTTTTTCTATTTTTTTTTTTTTTTTGAGATGGAGTCTCGCTCTATTGCCCAGGCTGGAGTGCAGTGGCGCGATCTCAGCTCACTGCAGGCTCCGCCTCCGGGGTTCAAGCAGTTCTCTGCCTCAGCCTCCCGAGTAGCTGGGATTACAGGTGCCCGCCACCATGCCCACTAATTTTTTTGTATTTTTAGTAGAGACAGAGTTTCACCATCTTGGCTGGGCTGGTCTCAAACTCCTGACCTCGTGATCCACCCGCCTCAGCCTCCCAAAGTTCTGGGATTATAGGCGTGAGCCACCGTGGCCTGCCGAAAACATGTATTTTGTCAAATGCTCTTCAAAAATCAGCTCTCACTAGAGACAATCTTCTTCAATTTTATTTCCCTGTAATATGTCTTTCCATCATGAGGAGATACATTTTGTAAGCACCTCCACGGTGCTCTGTTGTATGAGTGTGGTTTATTAACCGGGTGTCTGTGGCTGATCTTCTCAGTTGCTTCTAGTTTTCCGCTTTTACAATCAAGTGACAATGGACATTTGTAGGTTCTATGCAGTGGTATACTTGTTTGAGTATATTTCTGGCTTTCATGAACACATGAAAACTTTTCTCAATAACACTTTGAGGGAAGGATGATGGCAGGCATTTTCCAGATGAGGAAAATAAAGCTCAAAGAAGTCAAGTGATTTGCCCTGGCTCACCTATCTGGGGTTTATAACAGCAAGGGTTTACTCATTCAACAGGGGTTATAGACGTGCATGAACGTGACTGCTGTCATTTCCAGCCACAGCACTGGACACAGGATCAACAAAACAGCTAAAGTTCTTCCTTCTTGGTGCATACAATCTCGTGGGGGAGGTTGAACTTGTACAAATTGTGCTAAGTGCTTTGAAGGAAAAGCCAGCTGGTATGAAAGATAATATCAAGTAGACTGAGTTTAGATTGTGCAGTCAAGGAAGACTTCCTGGAGAAAGCCACATTTAAACTGAGTTGTAACTATCGAAGAATGCAAGAAATGAGAAGCTTCCAGACAGAGGGAGAAGCATGCACAAAGGCCCAGACTGGGAAAGTTCCTGCTAGTGGTGTTTAAGGACGAGATGGAACATGGTTGTGGCTGGTGAGTGGTGGATCCAGAGGGAGAGTGGAGAGAGAGGAGGTCAGTGAGACAGGCAGAGGCAGGACCACACAGAGCCCTAAGGACAACGGAAAGGGATTCTGGATTTGATCAGAATTCCGTGAAAAGAAACTGGGGCTGGAGGAGGGAACCTTTAGCTGTTTTGTTTTAGCTGTTTTATGGGGAAGCTTTAGGACATTGTGGTGGAGCCCGGAATAAAACAAACCCAGCGGCTAGCAGGGTTTTCACCTTTTGAGTGATAATAATAAAAGCTAAATGTATGGCATGTGTACTATGTGCCAGCCGCTGTGCTTAGTGCTTTTCTTGTTACCTACTTGAATCCTGACAACAGCCTTTGGAGGTAAGTGCTATTGCTGTCGTCCGGCTTTTATATGTGAGTAAATTGAGACCAGAGAGATTAAGTAACTTGTCTAAACACATCCAGCTAGTTAAGTACCCATGGTACATATGTCAAGATAGACCATATCCTGGGCCATAAAACAAGTCCTAATAAATTTGCAAGGACTGCAATCACACAAAATGTGTTTTCTGACTGCAGTGGAATTAAATTAGGAATTAATAATAAAAATATATCTAGGAAAACCCCAAATGTGTGGAAATTAAATAACACATTTTGAAGTAATTTATAGACCAAAACCAAAATTATACAAGGAAGATTATAGCATATTTTTGTTTTTTGGGTTTTTTTGTTTGTTTATTTTTGAGAAGGAGTCTTGCTCTGTCACCCAGGCTGGAGGGCAGTGGCACGATCTCGGCTCACTGAAACCTCCACCTCCCGTGTTCAAGCGATTCTCCTGCTCAGCCTCCCGAGTAGCTGGGATTACAGGAGTGCATCCACTCGGCTAACTAATTTTTGTATTTTTAGTAGAGACGTGGTTTCGCGTTGTTGGTCAGGCTGGTCTCGAACTCCTGACCTCAGGTGATCCACCTCAGCCTCCTAAGTGTTGGAATTATAGGTGTGAGCCACCGCGCCCGGCCTAGATTATAACATATTTTGCACTGAAAGATAAATACAAATGCAATACATCAAAATAATGTCAGATGCAGCTAAAGTAGTGTTTAAGGGGAAAGTTACAGCTTTAAATGCTGACATTAGAAAAGAAAAAAATGTCTAAAGTCAATGACCTAAGTTTCTACCTTAAGAAAATAGGAAAAAAAAAACAAAGTCAATCAAAAGTAAATATAAGGAAAGAAATGATCATGATAAGGACAAAAACTTATGAAACAAAACAGACAATAGAGAAAATTAGGAAGTCCAAATCTTTTTCTCTAAAAATAATTAACAAAACTGAAAAGTCCCTAACTAGACTAAGTCATGAAAAAATCAATCATCCATATCAGAAATTTAAAATGGACGATTACCACAGGTCCTAAAAACATTGAAAAATATAATAAAATACTATGAACACCTTTATGCCAATAAATCTAATAAATTAGATGGAATGAGCAAATGTCTTGAAAAATAGAACTCATCAAAATTGACATGAGAAACATAAACTCTAGCCCTAACCTATTTAAAAAATTGAATTTGTTACTTAAAAATTTTTCCTTCCAAAATACTCCAGGACCACATGGTTTCACTGGTAAATTCTGTCAAATATTTCAGGAAGAAATAACACCAATATTTCATAAATATTTTTAAAATTAGAGAAGGCAGAATCATTCCCAATTGTATAAGTCTGGTATACCTTAAGCACCAAAATCTGGCAGATATTTTTTAAAAAATTATAAACTTAATATTTTTATAAGCATACACCAAAAATTAGCAAAAAAATAGAAAATTGAATCCAACAATATATACAAATGATAATAAATCATGACTAAGTAGGATTTATTACCCAAAATGAAAGCCTAGTTTAATATTTGAAAATCAAGCTATCAGCCGGACGTGGTGGCTCATGCTTGTAACCCCAGCACTTTGGGAGGCCGAGGCGGGTGGAACACGAGGTCAGGAGTTCAAGACCAGCCTGGCCAACACAGTGAAACCCCATCTTTACTAAAAATACAAAAAGTCCTGGGCATGGTCGTGGGCACCTATAATCCCGGCTACTTGGGAGGCTGAGGCAGGAGAATTGCTTGAACCCGGGAGGCGGAGGTTGCAGTGATCCAGGATCATACTACTGTACTCCAGCTTGGGTGACAGAGCTAGACTCTGCCTCAAAAATAAAATAAAATAAAATAAGTCTATCAATGTAATACCAAAAGCAACAGAATAAAGGTGAAGAAACCATAGGATGATTTCAATAGATTGTGGAAAAGCATTTGAAAGAAGAAATTCCACCCATTCAAAATAAAAACTTATAGCAACCTAGGAATAGTAGGGAATATCCTCAAACTGCTAAAGATCATCTATTTTTAAACAAAAATCTATAGCGAACATCATTCTTTTTTTTTTTTTTGAGACAGTCTCGCTCTGTCACCCACACTGGAGTGCAGTGGCAGAATCTCGGCTCACTGTAAGCTCCGCCTCCCGGGTTCACACCATTCTCCTGCCTCAGCCTCCCGAGTAGCTGGGACCACAGGCGCCCACCACCATGCCCGCCTAATTTTTTGTACTTTTAGTGGAGATGGGGTTTCACCGTTTAGCCAGGATGGTCTCGATCTCCTGACCTTGTGATCCGCCCGCCTCGGCCTCCCAAAGTGCTGGGATTACAGGTGTGAGCCACCGTGCCCAGCCCCATCATTCTTAATGATGAAAGGTTGAATTGTTTCCCCTGAAATCCAGAAAAAGGCAAGGATGCCTGCTCTCACAACTTGTATTCAACATTATTCTAGGGAATCTAGCCAATGCAACAAAGCAAGAAAAAGAAACAAAAGGCATAACATTTGGGGAGGAAGAAATAACTCTACCCCTGCTTTCAGGTGCTATAATAATTTATGCAGAAAATTCAAGGGAGTCTAAAAAGTAACTACTGGAACTAGTAAATGAATTTAGCAATGCTGCAGAAGACAAGGTTAATATACAAAATTAATTATAACCCTTATGTTGGAACATCAAACAACTGATAACATTAAGCAAACAATTCTGTGTATGGTAGTACCAAAACATTAAATACCTAGGAAAAAATCTAATATAAAATACCTAGGAAAAAAATCTAACATAAGACATGCAAGAGTTGTGGTGGCTCACGCCTGTAAGCCCAGCACTTTGGGAGGCTGAGGCAGGCGGATCACGAGGTCAGGAGATGGAGACCATCCTGGTCAACATGGTGAAACCCCGTCTCTACCAAAAATTCAAAAATTAGCTGGGTGTGGTGGCACGTGCCTATAATCCCAGCTACTTGGGATGCTGAGGCAGGAAAATCACTTGAACCAGGGAGTCGGAGATTGCAGTGAGCCGAGATTGCGCCACTGCATTCCAGCCTGGGCAACAGAGCAAGACTTCATCAAAAAAAAAAAAAAAAAAAAAAAAAAAAAAAAAAGACATGCAAGACTTCTACACTGATAATTACAAAGCAATGCTGGGGAAATTAAGAAGGACCTAAATAAATGAAAAAATATGTCCTGTTTGGTTTGGAAGACTCAATATCGTTAAGATGGTGCTTTTCTCCAAATTAAGCTACAGATTCAATGCAATCCCAATAGAAATTTTAGAAAGTATTCTAGTGGAAATTGACAAACTCGATTTCCACGAGAAAGTGGGTATAGAATAACAAAAACAAAGGGTGTAGAATAACAAAAGCAATTTTAAAAAAAGTTGGATAATCTACCCTATTTGCTTTTAAGACTTACTATAAAGCTACAGTAATCAAGACAGTTCAGTATTAGTGAAAATGTAAACATATAGCTCAGTGGAACAGATTAGAGAGTCCATAAATTGACACACATGTATTGGTCAGTTGTTTTGATACAGGAGCCAAGGCAATTCTGTGAGAAAAGACGACTTTTCAACAAATGGTGCTAGATAAATATGCAAGAAAAAAGTGAATATTGACACAAAACCCACACCATGCATAAAAATTGAATCAAAATGAATTACAGATTCAAATGCAAAACTTAAAACCACAAAACTTTTAAAAAGAAACTATAGGAGAGGCCAGGCACGGTGGCTCACACCTGCAATCCCAGCACTTTGGGAGGCCGAGGCGGGCGGATCACGAGGTCAGGAGATCGAGACCATCCTGGCTCACACGGTGAAACCCCGTCTCTACTAAAAATACAAAAAATTAGCTGGGTGTGGTGGCGAGCACCTATAGTCCCAGCTACTCAGGAGGCTGAGGGAGGAGAATGGCATGAACCCAGGAGGCGGAGCTTGCAGTGAGCCGAGATCCTGCCACTGCACTCTAGCCTGGGTGACAGAGTGAAACTCTGTCTCAAAAAAAAAAGAAAGAAAAAAGAAACCATAGGAAAATATTTTTGCATCCCATTTCTTACATAGAACACAACAATCACAAATCATAAAGAAAAAATGATAAATTATACTTCAATTAAAATAAGACACCTTTGTGCTTTGAAAGACACCATTAAGAAAGTGAAAAGGGTCTGCAACCCAGTGAGAAAATAGGCAAAGATTTCAACAGATACTTCTCAAAAGAAGAGATGAGAATGACCCATAAGCACATGAAAAGCTGCTCAACACCATTAGTCATCAGGGAAATGTAAATTGAATGACAATGAAATACCACTACATACCCACTAGAATGGCTGCAATCAATGGTGTGTTGGTAAATGATTAACAGCTGTTCTGGGTGGAGTAGAGGTGAAGGAAGTCTGATTAGTAGCATTTGCCAGTTTCTATGGAGTAAATATTTCCACCATGGTTGATTTCAAGGTACCAACAAGAAGTCGCTGAACCCAGAATTGGGAAAAGATGCAGAGTTGGCTCCCACAAGCTGGTGCAAGCTGGGTCCAGCACACCACTGGCTAAAATTTTTAAAACTGTACCAAGTGTTGGCAAAGATGTGGGATAGCCAGAACTCTCATGCACTGCTGTAAGGGACATAAGAAGGTAAAACCACTTGGCAAAAATGGTTTTGCAGTTTATAAAAAAAGTTAAACATCATCTGCCATGCAGCTCAGTCATTCAACTCCCAAGTGTACCCAACTACCCATGGCTGTTCACAGCAGCTTTATTTGTCCTAGCCAAAATTGGAAACAACCCAAATGTCCATCAGCAGATGATTGGACACTGTGGCGTTCATACGCTGGAGTATTAATCAGCAATAAAGAGGAATGAAATGTTGATACATGAACTATGTGGACGAATCTCAAAATCATGGTGTTGAGTGACACAAGCCAGACAACAAAAAGAGTTCATGAGATATGATTCAATATATAAAGTTTTTGTTTTTTGTTTTTTTCTTTTTGTTTTTTTTCTGAGACAGAGTCTCGCTCTGTCACCAGGCTGGAGTGCAGTGTTTTTGTTTTTTTTAAAGTATGCACGAATAGAGTGACAAAGCATATCAGTGGTTGTCGGGTAAAGTGATGGAAGGAAGGCTGGATTACAAAGGGTACAAAAGCCATCTTTGGTGGTCAAGGAAATTTTTTTTTTAAGATGAAGTCTTGCTCTTGTCTCCCAGGCTGGGGTGCAATGGCATGATCTTGGCTCACTGCAGCCTCTGCCTCCCGGGTTCAAGCGCTTCTCCTGCCTCAGCCTCCAGAGTAGCTGGGATTACAGGCACCTGCCACCATGCCCGGCTAATTTTTGTATTTTTAGTAGAGACGGGGTTTACCATGCTGGACAGGCTGGTCTCGAACTCCTGACCTCAGGTGATCTGCCCGCCTCAGCCTCCCAAAATGCTGGGATTACAGGCATGAGCCACTGCACCCGGCTAGTCAAGGAAATATTTATAATCTTGATTGTGAAGATGGATTCATGGAGGTATACATGTGTCAAAACTGATCACATTGTGCACTTTCAATATATGCCATTTAGTGTACTTCAATTGTATGTCAGTAAAGTTGAAAAATATTTTAAAATACAAACTCCAGGGTTTGACCCCAGAAGTGGGAAATGGGAGAACTGAGAAAGATTCTGGGTTTTCAGTTTAACAGACTCATCAGCTGGCTTCTGTAAAGTGTGAGACCTACTAAAGAAGAAACCTCCAAATTAGATCCGGTGGGACAAGTTTAACTCTTAACGTTGATAAAGGAAGATGTGTTTATACTTCCAAGTGGGGTTTGAGGAGTTTTAACACTCAAGCAGTAGTATTTGCTTATTCTAAGTGTCTGCAGTTGTGCTAGGTGCTCTCACCTGCGGGGAGATTTGCCTGACGTTTCCCAGCTGTGATGTGGCAAAGCTGGATTATTTGATGCAACGCAGCTGAAAGCTACAGGACTCGCTTCCCCTCCACCACTTTGTAGCTGGGTCTCTCTGTATCGTTTATCTTAAAACAACCACCATCATTTGTTTTGCTCATGATTTTGTAATTTGGGCAGGGCTTGATGGGAATGGTGAGTCTCTGCTCCACGCAGGGTCAGCTGGGGTTCTCCGCTGGAGGCTGAAGGAGCCTCTTTCAAGCCACCTGCTTTCCACCTGGGAGCTCCGGCACAGTTGTAGGGATCTCCGTAGAGATCTTGCCATGGGCTGCCTTAGAGGGCTTCCTTGCGGCACAGTGGCTGCCTTCCAGGAGAGGGTGTTAAGGAGCACCCGACTGAAGTTGCAGTCCTTTTAGTGATCTGGCAGGAGTACAAAGTGTTACTTTGACCACCTGATCAACTTCCTCCTTTAACACCCTCCCTCTTGTTCACCCTCCTCCAGCCATCCTGTTCTTTCTTTTTCTCTCAAACTCCAGGTGTGCTCCTGTTTCAGTGTGTCTGCACCTTTTGTCCCCTCTGCCTGAAACACATCTTCCTGCTCCACAGAACTGCCTCCTTCCCACCCTGCAAGTCTCAGCCAGACGTCTTCATCTCAGAGAGGCTTCCCTGTCTCCTCTTTCCTTCCCACTCCTGCAACTCTCACCAGCACCGTGCAACAAACAGAACTTTCTGCAGCGATTGAAATATTCTTTATCTGTAACATTCAATGCAGTGGCTACTATCCAGGAGACTACTGAGCCTCAGAAGGTGGCAAGTGTGACTACAGAACTGTATGTTTTTATTTAATTTTAACGAATTGAAAATTAAAAATAAGTAGCTAAAGAAATGTAGCTAGTTGCTATCATATTTGGAGAGATCAGCTCTATCCTGTTACTCCATCATATTTTTTATTTTTGGTTTTTAAGTTTTTATTTTTAATTCTCGTGGGTACATAGTAGGTGTATATATTTTGGAGCACATGAGACATTTTCATACAAGCATCCAATGGGTGATAATCACATCAGAAAAAATGGGGTATCCATCACCCCAAGCATTTATCCTTTGTGTTTCAAATAATCCAATTATACTCTGTTAGTTATTTAAAAATGTACACTTCCTGGCCTGGAGCGGTGGCTCATGCCTGTAATCCCAGAACTTTGGGAGGCTGAGGCAGGCAGATCACGAGGTCAGGAGATTGAGACCATCCTGGCTAACACGGTGAAACCCTATCTCTACTAAAAATACAAAAATTAGCTGGGCGTGGTGGCACACACCTGTAGTCCCAGCTACTCAAAAGGCTGAGGCAAGAGAATCGCTTGAACCCAGGAGGCCGAAGTTGCAGTGAGCTGAGATTGTGCCACTGCACTCTAGCCTGGGCAACAGAGCGAGACTCCATCTCCCCCGCCTAAAAAAAAAAAAAAAAAAAAAATGTATGATTACATCTTGTCTTCTTCGTAACAGTTGTCAGTATTCACAATTATCTTGTCTATATAGTTTTAAAATTCTGGTAAGAACATTTAACATGAGATCTACCCTTTTTACAGATTTTTAGGTATATACTATGGTATTGTTATCTATAGGTATTTAATTTATGTTTTTAACTAGTTATTATGACAAATGTAATTCTATAAAAAATGGCCAGACTGCTAGTATAAACCTGTGTCTATCCTTCATCTGGAATAATTTTTTTTTTTTTTTTTTGAGATGGAGTCTCACTCTGTCGCCTAGGCTGGAGGGTAATGGCGTGATCTTGGCTCATTGCAACCTCCACCTCCCCGGTTCAAGAGATTTTCCTGCCTCAGCCTCCAGAGTAGCTGGGATTACAGGCATGTGGCACCATGCCTGGCTAATTTTTTGTATTTTTTTAGTAAAGACAGGGTTTTACCTTGTTGGCCAGACTGGTCTCGAACTCCTGACCTCAGGTGATCCACCTGTCTCGGCCTCCCAGAGTGCTCGGATTACTGGCGTGAGCCACCATGCATGGCTCATTAGTTGTTAACCTTTTGTCAAATATGCTTTATTTTCAGTGAGAAGAAGGAAAAAGTTTAGGAGATCTATTGTACAACACGGTGATTATAGTTAATAACAATGTATTGTATACTTTAAAATTGCTAAGAAAGTAGATTTTAAATGTTCTTACAAAAGTATGTGAGTATTGCATGTGTTGATTAGTTTGATTTTTAGTCATTCCAAAATGTATGTATATACATAAAAAAATCATGTTGCATACTATAAATATATACAATTTCTGTCCATTAAAAAAGTATAAAGAAGATAAAGTATGCTTTATCTTCTATGTGGGCATATATAATCTTTTTGAAGTGCTGGCTGAGCAATTTGAGAGTCAGTTGCAGACATCATAGCACTTTACCCCTAAACACATCAGCGTTCCTAAGAATAAGGACATTCTCCTAAATAGCCACCATGCCATTATCACATTCAAGAAATTTAACACTCACACAGTCCTTCTATCTAATATTGATACATACCGTCGTTTGGTATGTAGTCCATATTCAACTTTCACAAATTGTCCAAGAATATCTTTCATGGCAGTTTCTTCTTCCAATCTGGGATGCAATCCAGAATCACTTGTTGTGTTTGCCTTGTCTCCTTACTGTCCTTGAATCTGAAACAGGTCTCAGCCTTTCTTTCTTTCATGAGTTTTGCAGTTTTGAATGGCAAGGAAACATCTTCGGTTTTGTTTTGTTTTTCTGTTTCCTCATGACTGAACTTAGGGGATGCATTTCTGAGCAAAAGTACTTAGTGATGCGGTGTTCTTTTCAGCTTGTTGTACCAGGAGGCACACGATGTCGGTTTGTCCTATTATTGAAAATGTTCACTTTGATCACTTGTCAAAGATGATACTCCCAGAGCACTCCATTGTGAAGGCACTATTTTACCCCTTGGCAAACTATAACAAATATGTAGGAAGATCCTTTGTGAATATGTGAATATTATTCTGCTCCTCATCAAGTTTTCATTCAATGGTTTAACATTCATGGATTTGTACCTGAGTCAGTTATTGCTGTGGACTTGCAAAATGTTTTTTTCTATTTGTTTCCTTCTAAATTTATTTATTTATATTTATTCATTTTTGAAACCGAATCTTGCTCTGTCATCCAGGCTGGAGTGCAGTGGCACGATATTAGCTCACTGCAACCTCCACCTCCCAGGTTCAAGCGATTCTCCTGCCTCAGCCTCCTGAGTAGCTGGGATTACAGGTGCCCGCTAAGCCCAGCTAATTTTTGTGTGTTTTTTTTTTTTAGTAGAGATGGGATTTCACCATGTTGGCCAAGTTGGTCTCAAACTCCTGACCTCAGGTGATCCGCCCATGTTGGCCTCCTGAAGTGCTGGGATTACAGGTGTGAGCCACCACACCCGGCCTATTTCCTTCTAAATTTATTAGTTGGCATTCCACTTTAAAGAAAAGCTTTCCCTCCTCCTTTTATATGAATGTATTTATTTGTTTGTTTGAATTAGAATGGACTCGAGATCTCATTCAGTGTGTTATCATCCATTACTGTGATAATTCACTTTGATCTTAAAATGTATCTAGATCAGGTTGGTGGGGGCCCTGTAAGCTGATGTCTTATGTTCTTTTGACCTGTCTTCATCAGTCTTTCAGGTCTTACCTTACTTTCTGGCACAGTAAGCTGCTCCAGGCTTACCTTATTTGTTTCCTTGTTAAAATACTTACTAGGTGTTAAATACTAACTGTCTGTCTCCTGCTAGAAGGTAAGCTCTTCCTTCTCTGCCACCATTCTGAGCACTTAAACCCTTAGGTACAAATTGACCAAGAGAAGCCCTAGAAATCCACTTCTAAAACCCCTAAAGATTATTCTGCATGAACAGCTAAGAAAGTTCAAATTCCATGCATTTCTTAGTTGTTTGATCATAACAGCAGAGTGTGGAGCCATAAGGCAGCCTAAGTGGTTAAGAACTTGGGCCATGGGGTCAGACCTTCCCAGCTTCCTCTCTGAACTGTATTACTTCTTAATTGTAGATCTGGACAAGTCACTTTTCTCTGAGTCTCAGTTTCATCTTCTTTAAAATGGGACACTACTAATGTACCTAGCCACGTGGTTGTCATAAGGACTAAGAGAATATACGTAAAGTGCTTAGCACAGTGCCTAGAATATGATAGACGACCAATAAATAGTAGCTATTATTGGCCAGGCGTGGTGGCTCATGCCTGTAATCCCAGCACTTTGGGAGGCTGAGGCAGGCGGATCACGAGGTCAGGAGTTCAAGGCCAGCTTGACCAAAATGGTGAAACCCCGTTTCTACTAAAATACCAAAAAAAAAAAAAAAAAAAAAAAAAAAAAAATTAGTGGGGCGTGGTGGCAGGCACATGGAATTCCAGCTACTTGGGAGGCTGAGGCAGGAGAATCGCTTGAACTAGGAGGCAGAGATTACAGTAAGCCAAGATTGTGCCACTGCAGTCCAGCCTGGGTGACACAGCAAGACTCTGGCTCAAAAAAAAAAAAAAAGTAGCTATTATTATAATGTACATTTTCTCATCTCATCTTCCCAGCAGCTCCATGAGGTAACACCATTTATAGAGGAAGAAACGTGAAGTTCAGAGTGGTTAAGTAAATGCCCATGGTCACACTGCTAGATGATGAGGAAGCACAGGTAGGAACAAAATGAGAGGTTTTTCCAGGTATAAAGAAGGGAGAATTAGGGCTGGGCACAGTGGCTCACGCCTGTAATCCCAGCACTTTGGGAGGCGGAGGTGAGCGGATCACGAGGTCAGGAGATTGAGACCATCCTGGCTAATATGGTGAAACCCTGTCTTTACTAAAAATACAAAAAATTAGCCGGGCATGGTGGCACGCACCTGTCGTCCCAGCTACTTGGGAGGCTGAGGCAGGAGAATCGCTTGAACCTGTGAGGCAGAGGTTGCAGTGAGCCAAGATCGCACCACTGCCCTCCAGCATGGGCAACAGAGGGAGACTCCATCTCAAAAAAAAAAAAAAAAGAAAAGAAAAAGAAAGAAAAGAGTGGAGAATTAGGAGTAAGCAGGGCCCTGGAAGGAGCTGGGATGGAGCAGAGCCCTTTCACCCAACTCTCTTGTACCTGTTTAGGCAGGGAGAGTAACTGTCCATTGTACAATGTTGGAAGTACTCAGTAAATTTTTACTCTCAGGGACTCATCTGTGACACCACAGACCATATGATGCTAGACTAAGAATAGTGGTTAATTAAGATCATGAACTTGAGTTTGATCTGGGTTTACATTTTGGGTGGGAAATCTTGGGTAAGTTACCTAACCTCTCGGTGTCTTATTTCCCTCATCTGTAACATTTCAGGGCGTTTGCACTGGCTGTTCCCTCTGCCTGTAATGCTGTTACCTCATTACCCGCATGGTTAACCCCTTTATCGCCCTCACATCTTTATGCAAGTCACTAAGGCCTACCTTGACCACCTTACTTAAAAATAAAATTCATCCTGGCCATTCTATTCCTTTTTAATTGCTCTATTGTTTCCATAGTATTTATCACTAACACTAAGTCACTTACTTATTTATTATTTGTGTTGCTTATTATCTTTCTCACCTCATTAGAAAGAATGTCATCTGCACTAGAACAGGGATTTTGGTCCATGGATCACTGCTGTATTTCCAGCACTGAGCAAAGTGCCTGTATGTAGTAGTGGCTCAGTGAGTATTCCTGTTGTTGTTACCGTAAACAAACCACATCAGGGGCTAAAATTTGAAGGAAAAGCTCAAAACAAGCAATGTTATCAAGTCATTCTGATGTTCATGTCCCTCTGGAATTTGATCACAATTTTAATGTCAAATTCCTATCATTTTTAGTTCTAGCCTGAGGCCTCCAAATATAGCCAGGGCGTCCTCCCTCTGTACCATGAGGGGTCCAGGAACCAGAGGCATTACAGAAACGCAGAATATCTTGGACCCCATCCCAGATTAACTGGGTCAGGATTTGCTTCGTTCTAAGATCCCTGGTGTGACCCGTGCATATTCAAGTTGGAGAAGTGCTAACTTAGATCACTTTCTTCTTTCCTGGAATCTTTCTCTTTCTAGCTCCCCAGGCCTTCATCCATCTCTTCTTTCCCTCGCTTCTAACTCAGTTAGAAGCTTCCTTTCTTTGCAAGTTTCATCTCTGCAAGCAAGCACTCCCTATTCCCTCTTAGCTCTGTGTCTCTGCAGCTCTGAGTGCATGGCCCACATTCCTCTGTCTACATATCTTATCTCCCTGGGTTCCTCTTCATTAAATGGCAAGCATGTTGAGGGCAGGGCCTTATCCCGTTTATCTCCTGATCCTAATTTCTTCATCTACCTTAACTTAATTAGGATCTGTCCGAGGAGCAAAGAGATCATTTTGTCTTTGTCTCCTTTGTTTATTCTAAGGATCTAAGATGTTTTATTGTTTTCATGCATTCTTAGGTCTTCTACTGCATGCTTCCTAAAAACAGGGTCATCCTGTCTCAGACCTTTCACTGAACTCAAACTGTGCTTCTCTTGCCAGTCTCCCGATGAAGGGCCTGCCAGGGAAATAAACTTGGTTGAGACAAAATTCTTGTAAATAAGCTCATAGAGGGGACAGACTCCTGCTCCATTCCTCCCACCCCTCACAAGGTCTTCCAAATTAGCGGAAAACAGTCTAAATGTCCATCCATGGGAATAAAACATTTATGGCACAATCATACTGTAACATTTTTAAACAGAATGATATAAATATGAAATTACCACCAGGGAAAGATCTCTAGGGCATGATGAATGAATAAAAAAACTTGTGAAATATGTGCCATTTGATATCAATTACACTTTAAATATAAACATAATTATATTTATCACATGCAAAAAGGTTTGAAAGTCCACAACAAATTAATGACAATGACCAAAGGAAACTTCAGCTTTGTCTGTAATGTGTGTTTGTTTTTACATGGAGAATATATGTGCGTGTTATTTGTGTAATTGTAGAATTCATAGTAATTGTAAAACATAACTATTAAATTGATTTAAAATTTAAAAGTAAAATGGGGCAAAAGCAATTAATGTTGGTAGAACTGGGAGGTGGGGAGATAGCAGGGGCTTTGGAAATGGCTCCACCACGCAGCCTGGCTCTGACTGTTCCCAGTTTATGGATGGCTTGACTGAGACTGGCAGAGGCTAAGTGACTTGCTTGGAGTTCCGTCATTACCCGGTAAGGTTGACTGGCACAAGTGCTTTGTACTAAATGTGGAGTGGTCCCTGAGTGGAGGATGAGACAGTGTCCCCTTACTTTCTCCAGGTTAGGTGTGGCTGTCCCCATCTGTACTGATTTGCCTAATCTGATCTGCATTAATTCTTTTCTTTTTTTTTTTTTTCTTGAGACGGAATCTCCCTCTGTCGCCCAGGCTGGAGTGCAGTGGCGTGATCTCGGCTCACTGCAACCTCTGCCTCCCAGGTTCAAGCAGTTCTTCTGCTTCAACCTCCCAAGTAGCTGGGACTACAGGTGTGCGCCACCACACCCAGCTAGTTTTTGTATTTTTAGTAGAGATGGGGTTTCACCATGTTGGCCAGGACAGGTCAATCTCTTGACCTTGTGATCCGCCCACCTCGGCCTCCCAAAGTGCTGGAATTACAGGTGTGAGCCACCATGCCCGGCCAAGTCTTTTTTTTAATGAAGGCTTTTGTGCCCTGCTGCAAGACTCTCTTCCCTGAGGTGATGAAGACATAGCAGTCCTCTCTTTCCCTGAAGACAACCACTTGCCAACTCTTGCTACCCACCCACCGTTTTTTTCTTTTTGTTTGTTTTTGTGACAGAGTTTCGCTCTTGTTGCCCAGGCTGGAGTGCAGTGGCACAATCTTGGCTCACTGTAACCTCTGCCTCCCGGGTTCAAGTGATTCTCCTGCCTCAGCCTCCCAAGTAGCTGGGATTACAGGCACCTGCCACCATACCCGTCTAATTTTTGTATTTTTAGTAGAGATGGGGTTTCATCATGTTGGCCAGGCTGGTCTTGAACTCCTGACCTTAGGTGATCCACCCGCCTCAGCCTCCCAATGTGCTGAGATTACAGGTGTGAGCCACCATGCCTGGCCTCTTGCTTCCTTTTGTCTGCTTTCCACAAACTTCTATCTTTGGCCCACTATCTAACTTTACAAAAGGAGCCATAAACTACCCCCACCCTCCAATATTAGGAGCCCTAGCCTAGAGATCTAGATTACCAGCCCCTTCTCCCACGTTTTCAGCTTCTCCATAAAGCCCAACCCACTCACCACACATGTAGGCAAGGCCAGTGTCCTCAGCACAGGTCTGATAAGGCATCACCTCTGGGGATATGGAGTCTCTAATTTTTATGACTCAGAAATTCCAAGGAAAGTGCAAAGAATAAATTCATCAGGAAGCCAAGCAGAGCACGTAAAATGAAATCACATTAGCAACGATGGCAACAAGAAAAATTGATTTCAGAAGTGTCCACATACTCATTTCAAAAAAATATAAAGCTGAAAATTGTCTCCTGGGCAATGAACATCTGGAAGTGATCAAGATGGGACAAGGTAGTTGCCCATGGAGCACCTTGCAGAGTGCTTAGTACATGGTGTGTTGGGGAAGGGGGCTTGAAACAAAGTATGGTCCTTGAAGGTGTCCCATGTATCTGGTGAAATGAACTGAGTAAAATTGGACAGAGAAGGCTTTAGTCTTTCTGAAAACAAGGCATCTAGCCCTGGAAGAAATGATGCAACATCACAATGTCATCAAAGGCCGAACGTGTAAATCAACTCTGCTTTGCATGTTTATTCCAAGAATGAGCACAGTAGACATAGCAGAACCAGATTTGGAAACGGCATCTCTAATTTTGTTTGGCCAAATTTGCCAAGCATAATAGATTATGAGCCCTTATGGGTGTTCCCAAGTAATTACACTTAATTGTTTGTGCAAATCAGAGGATCTATGAGCTACAAGCCCAATTAATTAAATGTAGACACACAAGTCGGATTGGAAAGAAAGAAGGAGGGCTGGGTTCCTTTCAGAACTAAGCCGGTGTTATTTTACTTTATTTTGAAAAGCCATAAGGGGAACACACCTAATAACAGTAGCTCGTATGGAACATTCCATCAAGGTATGGCAGGCACTATTTACAGCACTGGGACTTCGCGGGACCCCCGTCAGAGCCCCAAGACTCCCAATGCTGGGGAGGGAGGGAGAAAGGAGAGGAAGGCAGGAGCAGGGCTTGCTTCACCAACACAGCGGAGAGGAGAGAAGGCAGGTGGAGAATGGGCCAAGGCGATTGGAAAATCAAGTGAACTGAAGTTCAAGGCAGTCCTAACGTGGAGAATATAATACTATTTGGACTTGATCTAGGAGACCTCAAGGGAAATGGGTGATTTCTAAAGACAAGGTTTCCCACATTACCACCATTCATAGACTCCTACACAATTTTTGTAATATTCAAGTGTTGCTTGCTTTATCATTGACTTTACTTCTTTCTCTCTTTCTTTCTTTCTCTTTCTTTCTCTTTTTCTTTCTTTCTTTCTTCCTTCCTTTCTCTCTTTCTGTCTCTCTTTCTTTCTTTCTCTTTCTCTCTCTCTCTCTTCCCTCCCCTCCCCTCCCCTTCCCTTCCTTTCCTTTCTCTCTCTCTGTCTCTCTCTCTCTCTGAGACAGAGTTTTTTTCTCTCTCTTGTTGCCCAGGCTGGAGTGCAGTGGCACAATCACGGCTCACTGCAACCTCCGCCTCCCAGGTTCAAGCGATTCTCCTGCCTCAGCCTCCAGAGTAGCTGGAATTACAGGCATGCACCAGCACACCTGGCTGATTTTGTGTTTTTAGTAGAGACAGGGTTTCACTATGTTGGCCAGGCTGATCTCCAACTCCTGACCTCAAGTGATCCACCCACCTTGGCCTCCCAAAGTGTTGAGATTACAGCCATGAGCCACCGCACCCAGTCTACATTTTTTTTTTTAATTTATAAGGCAGTTTACAAAAGGCTCCTGCCCTTTTACACTGCTGCCACCATTTCATATCTGAGTATTTTCGTCACCTACACCAGCACCATCTACCAGACCCCACCTGCCCACTCACGCAGCAGGTGACTTCCTATTCTCTTGAACAAACCACAGAAGATGCAATGCCGTAATTTCTCATTTGCCACTTTTTAAATGCGCCCCCCCCCCCACCACCTTTCCCTTTCCAGCCTATGCATCCTAATTTTCTTTCTTTTTTTTTTGTTTTGAGATGGAGTCTCGCTCTGTCACCCAGGCTGGAGTGCAGTGGTGTGATCTCAGCTCACTGCAACCTCTGCCTCCTGGGTTCAAGCAATTCTCTTGCCTCAGCCTCTGGAGTAGCTGGGATTACAGGCGCCCACCACCACACCTGGCTAATTTTTTTTATTTTTAGTAAAGACTTGGTTTCACCATGTTGACCAGGCTGGTCTCGAACTCCTGACCTCAGGTGATCCACTTGCCTCAGCCTCCCAAAGTGCTGGGATTACAGGCGTGAGCCACCGTGCCCGGTTTATGCATCCTAATTTTCTTAATGCGATCCCAGAATTCGTGTTCACAAAGTCATTTGTTCTACAAGCATTTTCTTTTCCAGAGTATTTCTCACTCGTGGCTGAAAGTCAGCTGTCCTATCAGAGGCAGAAGAGAGGTTGCTCGCAGAAAAGCCGCCACAGGGATGGTGCATTCTTTGAAGTACTTTTGGACGCCTGGCAGGTTTCCAGGTAGGGTGATACAGGCTTTCTTGGTTAAGTCGGGTCAACTAGCCTTTGTTGTAAAGGCTCAGCCCTATAATTGCTTTCAGAGGCCGCCCTGATCGCCTCTCTGAGCTTCTCAGATTTAACTCTGCACTGCAGCAGGTATCCACCCTGCCTCAGAATTGGTGTTAAGGCGTCTGCTTCAGAGCCCTGCCTGTGGATTAGTGACGGACACGCCTGGAGTGCTCTGAGATCCGAAGCTGAAAGATGGAGATTTCTTAGAGACATTATCTCAATCTCTCCACAGACAGAACAAAGCCAGCCCAGGCAGAGCAGATGGCATGAGGGAGACCCTGAAATAGGTAGAAGCAGGAGGTGAAACATTGTTAAGGACCACACAGAGGCAGTATAAAGACCCCTCTGGCAACCATTTCCATCTGCCCTAACCCCTCCCAAACCTACAACTTCTTCTCCTAATCCTAGAATCATTTTGGGTCTAGAACCCATCCTCTGTCTCAGGAATCAAGCAAAGCGATGGCAGAGCTATGACCAAAATGTAAGGGATGAATTAAGCCATGGCACCAGATGGAAAGACAGCTTTATGATTCAAGCGCAAACGATGACACAGCAGGATCGGAGAGTCTTTGACACCTTGCTTGGCTGCTTATTTGTTTTCACAAGAGTTCCTTTCTAGAACCAGTGTCTCTTGCTCATCCTAGCTGGAATGGGCCTGAGGCACACAGCAGCTACTCTCTGCTCGAGATGGCAGCCGGTTACTGAGAGCCTAGAATGCGCCAGGCTGTATGCTGTCCATGAGCTCAGTTGGGTGTGAGCTTAACCTTGCCTAATGGTTTTTGGGTGTTTGTACTACATTCACCATCTTCTGCATTATGGAGACCTGAAGGTGATCAAGGACTTTATTTTACTTTAAATGTTGTTTATAGGGTCTCACTCTGTTGCCCAGGCTGGAGTGCAGTGGCACTATTATAGCTCACTATAGCCTTGAATTGCTGGGCTCAAGCAATCCTCCTGTCTCAGCCTCCTGAATAGCTAGTATTACAGGCCACCATGCCTGGCTAATTAAAAAACAATTTTTTTATTATTTTTTTAATTTTTTTTTTTTTTGGCCAGGAACCGTGGCTCATGCCTGTAATCCCAGCACTTTGAGAGGCTGATGTGGGTGGATCACTTGAGATCAGGAGTTCAAGACCAGCCTGGACAACATGGTGAAACACCATCTCTACCAAAAAATATATGCAAAAATTAGCCAGGCATGGTGGCGCACACATGTAGTCCCAGCTACTTGGGGGGACTGAAGCAGGAGGTTGTCTTGAGCCCAGGAGGCTGAGGCTGCAGTGAGCCATGTTCACACCACTGCACTCCAGCCTGGGCAACAAAGTGAGACCCTGTCTCCAAAAACAAAACAAAACTAACATATATATATATATATATATATATATATATATATATATATATTTTTTTTTTTTTTTTTTTTTTTGTAGGGACAGTTCCTTGCTATGTTGCTCAGGCTGGTCTCAAACTCCTGGCCTCAAGTAATCCTCCCACCTCGGCCTCCCAAAGTGTTGGGATTACAGCATGACCAACCATGCCTGGCTGAAGCTTTCTTTATAACTTTGCTTCTTTCAAGGCCTAGAGGTCAGACCTCTCTGTCTACATGCAAAAGATGATCCAGCCATGTATTGGTTGCTTCTAACCACAGGCACCGTAGAACCAACCACTAGCCTTAGGAGTTCCTGGTTATTAAATTCAGTGTGGCTAAACATGCATAGTGTAGAAGGTGGATAAAAAGAAGATTTGAGAGGAGAAAGTTCTCATTCTGAAATTCCACTTCTGCCATTAGTAATAATAGTAATACCATATTTATCAAATGTTTTGAGCATATACTATGCATGAGATGCTTTCTGTACATTATCTCAGTTTATCCTGACAATAATCTATAAAGTACATATTGTTATTAGCTCCAGTTTATACATGAGAAAACTGAGAACTAAGAACCCAAGGTGTCCCAGCACTTTGGGAGGCCGAGGGGGGTGGATCATGAGGTCAACAGATCAAGACCATCCTGGCCAACATGGTGAAACCTCGTCTCTACTAAAAATACAAAAATTAGCCAGGTGTGGTGGCAGGCACCTGTAGTCCCAGCTACTCAGAAGGCTGAGGCAGGAGAATTACTTGAACCTGGGAGGCGGAGGTTGCAGTGAGCCAAGATTGTGCCACTGCACTCCAGCCTGGCGATAGAGCGAGACTCTGTCTAAAAAAACAAAACAAAAAAGAACCCAAGGTGATATAGCTAGTAAGTAATAGAGCCAACATTACTTTCAACAGGGCCAATTATTTTTAGGGTGACCAACCATTCTGGTTTGCCTGGAACTTAGGGTTTCCTGAGACATGGAACTTTCAGTGCTAAAATGGAGAAAGTCTGGGGCAAACTGGAATAAGTCAGCCTAATTATTTTCTGAGCACATTTTATTAATACAACAAAGACTTGGTTAATTTATGAGTATTTTGTTCATATCAAGTTTTAGAAACCATAGCTTTAAGTATTCTTCATTGATTTAAATTCTGTTCCTCATTTTCTATGCCTCAAAAATACCTAATTTACATAGGTATTTTTCTAGTGGTGATATCATTTGAATTGGATTTTTTTTTTTTTTTTTTTTTGAGATGAAGTCTCGCTTGCCCAGGCTAGAGTGCAGTGGCATGATCTCGGCTCACCACAACCTCTGCCTCCAGAATTCAAGTGATTCTCCTGCCTCAGCCTCCTGAGTAGCTGGGACTACAAGCACGTGCCACCATGCCCAGCTAATTTTTATATTTTTAGTAGAGACGGGGTTTCACTGTGTTGGCCAGGCTGGTCTCGAACTCCTGACCTCATGATCCACCCGCCTTGGCCTCCCAAGGTGCTGGGATTACAGGCATGAGCCACCGAGCCCGACCTTGAATTGGATTTTTAAAAAATAATCTGTAATCATTTCTTGGCTAATGCATGATAAAGCCATATATAATTCTCATTAGTGATCCCAAAATTTTATTGTTTATCTCATTACTAATCTGATTCTTCCATAAACTTGTCATCACTTTGCCTACTAACTAGTCACATAATTGACCTGCAAAGAGCAAATATCACAGTGAAAACAGAATAATTAAACTCACCTGTGATTAAAATAGTACATCAAAATGGTGGGGATAGAGTCTAGCTGTAATTGCAACAAAAACAAATAAGTTGGGCCTAATTAAACTAGAGAGCTTCTGCATAGCAAAAGAAACTATCAACAGAGTAAACAATTTACAGAATGGGAGAAAATATTTGCAAAATTTGCATCTGACAAAGGTTTAATATCCAGAATCTATATGGAATTTAAAGAATTGAACAACCAGAAAACAAATAACCTTGTTAAAAAAAAATGGGCAAAAGACATGAACAGACACATTTCAAAAAACATACAAGTGGCCGACAAACATGAAAAAATGCTTTGTGACTAATCATCAGAGAAATGAAAATCGAAACCACAATGAGGGCTGGGTGTGGTAGCTCATGCTTGTACTCCCAGCACATGATCAAGGTCAGGAGTTTGAGATCAGTCTGGCCAACATAGTGAAATCCTGTCTCTATTAAAAATACAAAAAATTAGCTGGGCATGGTGGCGGGCACCTGTAATCCCAGCTACTCAGGAGGCTGAGACAGGAGAATTTCTTGAACCCGGGAGGTGGAGGTTGCAGTGAGCTGAGATCGCACCAGGCACTCCAGCCTGGGCAACAGTGCGAGACTCTGTCTCAAAAACAACAACAACAACAACAAAAGCACTACAGTGAGATACCATTTTATACCAGTAAGAATGGGTACTATTAAAAAAGCCAAAAAACAGCAGATACTGGTGAGGCTGCAGAGGAAAGGGAAGGCTTATACATTGCTGGTGGGAATGTAAATTAATTCAGCCCCTGTGGAAAGCAGTTCGAAGTTTCTTAAAAAAAAAACTTCATACAGAACTACCATTTGACCCAGTAATCACATTCCTAGATATATATCCAAAAGAAAACAGAACTTTTTACCAAAAAGATACATGCTCTCACATGTTCATCACAGTAGTATTCACAGTAGCAAAGACATAGAATCAACCTAGGGGCCCATCAACGGTGGATTGGATAAAGGAAATGAGGTGTGTATACACCATGGAATACTATGCAGCCATAAAAAAGGAGTCATGTCCTTTGTAGCAACATGGATGCAGCTGGAGGCCATTATCCTAAGCCAATTAGTGCAGGAACAGAAATCCAAATACTACACGTTCTCACTCCTAAGTGGGAGCTGAACAGTAGACTCATGGATGGAAAGATGGCAACAATAGAAACTGGGGACTAGTAGAGAGGAAAGGGAGGGAGGGGAGCTAGAGTAGAAAAATTAACTATTGGGTACTATGCTCAGTACCTGTGTGATAGGATCATTTGTACTCCAAACCTCAGCATCATGCTGTATACCCAGGTAACAAACTTGCGTATGTATCCCCTGAATCTAAAATAAAAGTTAAAAAAGGAAAAACAAAACAAAACAAAACAAAACAAAAAAAAGAGTCTGGCTTTGTAGAGAGAGGAAACCACACTTTTTTTTTTTTTCAGAGAGACTGTCTCACTGTGTCACCCAGGCTGAAGTATGGTTGTACGATCATAGCTCACTTATAACCTTGAACTCCTGGGCTCAAATAATTCTGCCTCAGTCTCCCAAGTAGCACCACCACACCTGGCTAATTTTAATTATTTTTTGTAGGGATGGGGTCTCACTATGTTGCCCAGGCTGGTCTTGAACTCCTGACCTCAAGTGATCCTCCTGCCTTGGCCTCCCAAAGTGTTGGGATTATGGGTGTGAGCCACCGTGCCTGGCCAAACACACTTTAAAAATGTTTTATTTCTTCTTACAGTCAACAAATACTATAAATTTTCTACTTTGTGCCTGGTGCTGTGTAAGATGCTGAGATGCAGTGGTTAATAGGACACAGTTCCTGCTTTCATTGTCCAGCAAAGTTGATCATAACAACCAATTACATAATTAATTATTTTACCTCCACGATGATCCAGACTACATAGAAGTATGGGAAGTACCGGGGCCTGTGGGTGGGGGACACTTAGCATAGCAAGGTAATGACTCCAGGAACCTGCAAGGATGAAATTAGAACTCTGTGCCTGACTCAGAGGAGGTGTCTGAGAGGTCAAGGTGAGGACAGAATGTAGTGCCTCCTGCATATAGGTCTTCCAAGGATTGAAATGATGATGGAGTGAATCCATAGTTGTTAGGAAGGGAGTTGTGGAAGGAGTGAGCAGAGAAGACACCACATGGTTGAGAACAGTGATGCCACTTGACATTATCACAAATTAGAAAAAAAGTACAGCTGCGCAGGAGACCCCTAGAAAATGACTATGGTGTCACAAATTCTGGGGCAAATGAGAGTATGTATTTGTGTATATGGAGGCACTAGGCATTTTTATTTAATCCTCACTACAATTCTTCGCATTGGCCTGATTATCATTGTTTTGCACATGAAGAAACTGAGGCTCAGCGAGGGGAAGCTAGAAAGTCACCCTGCTAGAAAATAATTAAACCACATACTAGAAAAAGCACACACAGTGGAGTCATTCCTCCTAGACACTCTCAAACGTTGTGAGCTCCAGTTTTTCTAAGATGAAAATAATAATCCCTCTTTTGTTAGGGTTATTCCCATGAAAATAATCATGTGTTTAAATTGCCCACGGATAAAGCACATAGGTGCTCAAGAAAGGGCAGATTCCTGCTTGGTGTGATGTCTATTTCATACCTCAGTTGCCTTATTAGTATTGCTTTATTCTTGTAAGAGGGTTTTCTTGGAGCTTTAGGGGAATACCAAATGGAAGAGAGGCTCTGAGCTGTGATCTTTGATGGGTTGGAACAAGCTGCCGTCAGCTGCGTGGCAGGGGCAGACACAGAAAGTCAGCAACTTCCAGAACCTCAAACTCGGTGCTCATCGCTGAACTAAGCCTTAGAGGCTGCAGGAACAGGAGGGAGCACCTGCGAAGGGCTGTGGGATCGGGAGAGGCTTCCCAAGGTGCTGAAAGAGGACTCAAGACAGCAACGTCATTTGCTCACCAAGCTGCACTAATAGAAGCTAGCATGGGGTTTTTTAAGCATCCCAGAAAAATGAACACATAGGACATCCTGCATGGAAAAAAGATCTGATTGTCCTCCCTTGGTCAATTTTTTCAAAGTTGCATAGCCATATCGTGAGGCAATAGTTCTTAATGTTGAAGCACTGTAAACACAGGTGTGCATGTGCGTGCACACACAAACACACACACACCAAAAAACAAAAACCACACCAAATTGAAACCAAAACTAGACTTTGAATCAGATTAACCTGGATCTTGGCTTCTCCACCTCCAAGCCTTGGGACTTGAAGCTAGTATCTGATGTCCCTACCCTTGGTTTCCTTCTTTATAAAAGGAGAATAATAGTATCTACTTTGCAGGGTTACTAGGACTGAAGCTATGTGTAAGGCACATAGCTGAGAATTTGCCACACAGTAAACATTCATTATCTGATTTTGAGCATTCTGCTGAGCACTGGAACATAAGGGCAGCATATTTTGTGTAAAAGCCAGCATATTTTGTGTAACAGCCTTTCCTAAATGCAAGTTATCAGTTCAGATTTTTATTATAGGCCAGGCGCGGTGGCTCACGCTTGTAATCACTTTGGGAGGCCAAGGCAGGTGGATCACTTGAGGTCAGGAGTTCGAGACCAGCCTGGCCAACAGGGTGAAACCCTGTCTCTACTAAAAATACAAAAAATTAGCCGGGCGTGGTTGCGGGCTCTTGTAATCCCAGCTACTCAGGAGGTGGAGGTTGCAGGAGAATCACTTGAACCCGGGAGGAGCTGAGATCATGTCATTGCACTCCAGCCTGGGCAACAGAGCAAAACTGTGCCTCAAAAAAAAAAAAAAAAAGATTTTTATTATGAAAAATTTCAAACATAAAAACCATGATTGAGAGAGAGAGAGAGAGCAGTTTAATGAATCCCCGTATGCCCAGCACCCAGCTTCAATATTTGTCAACTCATTGGCCAATCTTGTTTCATTTTTACCCCTTTCCTATTCCCCAAATTTGTCATATTTTGAATCAAATTTGGGCGTCATTTTATCCACAGATATTGCAAGCAATTTTTTTTTTTTTTAAACAGGGTCTTGCTCTGTTTCCTAGGCTGGAGGGCAATGGCTCGATCTCGGCTCACTGCAACCTCCACCTCCCGGGTTCAAGCAATTCTCCTGACTCAGCCTCCTGAGTAGCTGGGATTACAGGCACGTGCCACCACACCTGGCTAAATTTTGCTTTTTTTTTTTTTTTAGTAGAGACGGGGTTTCACCATGTTGGTTAGGCTGGTCTCGAACTCCTGACCTCGTGATCTGCCCACCTTGGCCTCCCAAAGTGCTGGGATTACAGGCTTGAGCCACCACGCCTGGCCTGCAAGCTATTTTTAAATCAAGTTTTCAGTTATTTGTTTGTCAGGGGAAATAATCCAATTCCTTTTTGTGGGTGAGGTTTTTTAAGGTAAAATTTACACACAATAAAATTAATCTTTTGGAGTATCGTTCTGAGTTTTGACAAACCGAAATTCTTTAGACAATTCTTCAGGCATTTCTTTATCTAATTTAAAAACATATATTCCAGTACAAACTAGATGAATGAATACACAAAGTGTTTTGCAATTCTTAGTGACATTAACAGAAGAAGGGGAAACGTCCTCCCTCAGTGGGTTCCTGAATCACAGTTTATTTTGACTTGGAAACACAACATGTTTGATTGGCTGGAACATAAGCCACCCAGGAATAGATTTACTAGCATCAAGCGTTGTTTAGGGCAACTGGGTTGATGCTGAGGCTTTCATTCCTAATGGCCATAATGGATGGAAGGTTTCTAAGAAGCTTGATTATTATTGGGTTCATTAATAACTAACCCTAACATGACTCTATTGGGACTGTGATTAATCCAAATAAAAGTAACTTTGTTCATGAAGAAGATTTTTATTTTTATTTTTTTCTGGTAACTGCTATATACTCAAATAACAAAGAAACAAAGAACCAAACTAGAAACAAGTGCAGATGCCAGGAAGTCAGTCACAACTACTTTCCTCTCCCGGGATCCCCTCTGGCGGCCTGAGAATGCCTCCCAGCAAGTGCGCCCTCTATTGTTTCCCAGTTACTTTGTCATCTCTTTGTCTGATTTTGAAGGACGGCACAGTTTCCTAGTAAGAGAACCCCTGTTGGACCCAGATCAGGACAGTTCAGGAAGACGACCTCACCCTCTGAGTGAGTCTAGAGCTGCAGTGTAGCTCAGAGCTCCTTGCTTTTAATGCCATCTGTAAGAGGATAATTATTTACTTACAGAAGCACTTGCCTGGGGGCTGTCAAGACTGAATATTGCATTTCATCACAACTGGCTCTAAACAGTTGAAGCTGTTAAAGGACCATGAACTTTAAGGAATCACTGTACCCGAGACCCCTACAGCACTGAACTACAAACAACATACAGACTTAGGACTCATTCTATCTTGTCCAGAGGGCTCATTTTCCATGCTTAGTACCACCATGAATTCCCCCTTTTTCAGCACTCAGAAACCCCTGACTTCCTCCGCCTTGGAGAACTACTAAGTGAATTTCTTCATTGGCATGTGTGGCCTTGCTTGGCAGAGTTAATAGCCTCATTTTGTTTCTTGTGTTTATTGTTTTTGTTTTGTTTTATTTTTGTTGTCAACTCTCTGTTTTTTTTTGTACGGCAGAAAGAATAGAGGTTCTACCGAAATGGCCTTGACCAGCCTCACTCACTGATGCTAGTGGACATCTCGGCCAGACAACACGAGTCCCTCTGTGCTCAGCTTTGGTCTTCTGCTGGGCCTGCACTGAGACAGGGTCTCCCGGTAGCCGTCAAGCTCAGCTGGTGTGATGTGTTTCTTGCATGCACACCGAGTTTACTTTATTTAATCTAGGTGGCCTGAGTTACCACGCTTTTGATTTGTTTTGTCATTCTGGTCAGCAATCCCCAGCAAGACTTGGTTTTAACTTAGAGTCTTTCCAGTGGCACTTTCAGTCTCGATTTGTTGTGTATTTGTTTTGTCTATGTTTCATCTGGGGAAGAGAAGCAAACACTGTTTCCTTGGAGTTACTCATCTGTCTTTTGGCTGATGAAGGAATCCATTCTATACCTGTTTTTCATTAAGCAAGTTCAAAAAGGGTTAATACATTCCCTTCAACCCAATATAAACTGTTTCAATTCTACAGTGGGCAACCTTTTCAGTTGGTTGTAAACTCTGTTATACCACACTCTAGGGATATCGGATCCAGATAGAAGCAAACTGATGAATCAGATGATAAATTCTCAAATTCTATGGGAGCTCTTAAGTTAATTTCTTTGTAGAGACTTAAAAGCACTTATATAAATTTAAAATAAGAGAACTTTAGAATTTCCAAAAACAACCTAACCTCTATTGTTATGAAACATTTTAGTTCTTTTAATGAATATTTTCTTGCCGAGCCTGCACCTCTGAAAAAGAAAGGTTTAGCTGTGAGTTAAGTTAATGATTTTGGTCACTGGGTTATATACTAAGATGAAATGGAGTTCATTTGGTGCTTTTATACAATTTAGAGGGTTAATTATTGTTATATAACAGGAGAAATTTATAATCATGGATATATTTATCATCAAGAAATATTTGAGGATTAGCCTATTTTGATAATATCTTCTTTCTGATTTTAACATGATATAAAAATAATTTTAGCGTAATATTCTAGTTTACACCAGAGAGCTTAAATAATTGGAATTTCCTAAATTTCTTAGACTTGTCTTAAGCTAGTGCTGCTTTCATAAATGTTTAGAATTATAAACATGTAAATATATGTATTCAATTAGATTACAATAACCAATGTCTTCTAGAACCAAGTCTTCTAAGACATTAGTCCAATGTTTTCTAATCTAACATCTTCTAATCTAATCTAATGTCTTTTAAGAAGACATTGGTTATTGCAACTTCAGTCATGCAACAAATTATGGGAATCTACAGAATTACTAGAAACTGTTGATGTAAATTCTAAAGTGGTATTTTTCTGATACTTTTAGTATCATTAAGTAATCTTTTACTATTATTATTTTTTGAAAGGTGACTTGAATTTAATTTCTAAGATCTCTAATTGACTTTGAAATCATAAAAGTTAGCAATCAATAATTTTTATTTCAGATTTCTAAGGGAAGAAAAGATGTGTGGAGTCTTCATGTGTATTGGTTTTCTATTGTTGCTGTAATAAATTACCACAAACTTAATGGCTTAAAGAAACAACTGTATTATCTTTCAGATCTGGAGGTCAGAAGCGTAAGTCTAAAATCAGAAGTCTAACCTCAAGGTGTTGGCTGCTCTGCATGTCTTCTGGACACTTCGGGAAGAATCTGCTTCCGCGCCTCTTCCAGCTTTCAGAGGCTGCCTGCATTCTTTGGTTCCTTCCTCTAATCTTCAAAACCAGCAGCTAAGCATCTTTTCTCCTCTCTGACTTCCTGCTGCCCTCTTAAAAGGACCCTTGTGATTAAATCAGATCCACTCAAATAATATGAGATAATCTCAAGATCCTCAACTTAATAACATCTGCTAAATTCCTTACGCCAGGTAAGATAACACAGTCACAGTTTCCTGGACTAGGACGTGAACATCTTTGAGAGACTGTTATTCAGGCTGTCATCTCATGTAACTAGTTTAACTTATATTCTTGCCTCTACATGAATGCATTTACTCTTTTATAACACTTTAATAAAAATGGTAAAATCAATATGACATATATATTGTCTTATGTTAAGATTAATAATGTAAGAAATTATGGAGCGCACCTATTTATGTATGTTTCAATGTATAAACACAATGGTACAGAAACATCAATGAGCAAAAGCTTCAAATATGACAGAAATGAGATGTCTAATAGTTATCAGCAAGTTATGACTTTGGACTATAGATGTTCTTTCCATATGAGGAAATAAGGCATTATTCTTATTTGATGTAGAGCCAGTTCCCAGTACTTAAGAGTTTATCTTTTTTTTTCTTTTATGTTCCTTCTTACCATGCTTCTAGGTTGTTTTAAATGAAGCAATAAGGATTCTTCAGGAAGAATTGACTTTTTTTTTTTTTTTTTTGAAACAGAGTCTTGCTGTGTCGCCCAGGCTGGAATGCAGTGGCATGATCTTGGCTCACTGCAGCTTCTACTTCCTGGGTTCAAGAGATTCTTGTGCCTCAGCCTCCCGAGTAGCTGGGATTCCAGGTGCCTGCCAGCACACTCGGCTAATTTTTTTTGTAGTTTTAGTAGAGACAGGGTTTCACCATGCTGCCCAGGCTGGTCTCAAACTCCCGACCTCAGGTGATCCATCCGCCTCGACCTCCCAAAGTGCTGGGATTACAGGTGTGAGCCGCTGCGCCCGGCCAGAATTGACATTCTGAATTATTATTGTGTAACTTCTCTTAATTTGTCCCTCTGTTTAATAGGTAATCAAGACAACTCTCCATTGTTCTTGCAAAAATCTATTCTGAAGATTCTTTCCTATTGCTTTCCCCAAAATGAGGCTCTAAACTTAGAATCATAAAGCTCTAAGGATATCTTCTTCCTCATTTTTTTTTTTTTTGAGACAGAATCTCACTCTGATGCCCAGGCTGGAGTCCAGCGGCATGATCGTGGCTCACTGCAGCTTTGACCTCCCGGGCTCAAGAGATCCTCCCACCTCAGCCTCCTCTGGGACTACAGGTATGTATCACCATGCCCAGCTAACTTTTGTATTTTTTGTAGAGACAGGGTTTTGTCATATTGCCCAAGCTGGTCTCAAACTCCTGAGCTCAAGGGATCCACCCGCCTTGGCCTCCCAAAGTGCTAGGATTACAGATGTGAGCCACCGCGCCTGGTCAAGGATATCTTTTAAACCCAAAATACCTTTGGATTTTCCTGGACAGTAATTGAGTAAACACAGGGATTTTTTTTCCCACTATATAAAAAGAAAAGACAATGAAAATAATTACGTTTGTCTGGCATTCTCCAGATTTTAAGTCAATCAAAATTTACTATGAGAATTTAGTTACCAAACTCAGTTTGAGTTTGTCATCCTTCTTATAGAATTCCATGGAGTTTTCTTTTAAGGCGCTGTGCTGAAAATGCTACTAGCTGCAGTTATGACAGGACACGTTCACGGAAGTTAATTTCCATATCTGGGCTACAATTAATACATTTATCTGTAAAAATGACACCTTCCAGGTTAATGTTCGGCAACCAACTTCTGAGAACAAAAAGTGTAGCTATAGTGGTCAGAATTTTCTCTAAGTCATATAATGTAAAATTTTGCTAATGGTAAATTGTTCCACAGGAAGTAATTAATAAAGCTTTTTCACTTAACTCTTTCCGTGAGGTCAAGGAAAATGTCCCTGTGCTGGTTAAATTAATTATACTATTTTCTGTTAAACTTTAGGTATATTTGGTTTTAATGGTGCTTAAACACTTGAGAGGTCTATTTAACAATATTTATCAATTGCCAGATGGTACTCCTTGTGGCTTTGTGTATTTCTGCTAAGATGATATCATCATCCAATGTGGACATTGGAGCAGAGAAAGAGTCTCCCATTCTGGTAGGCATGGGTGGATTTGCATGCCAGATTGGAGTTTCAGTGTTTACATACTGGCCATCACCCAAAGGACCTGCCTGTCTAAGAGCGAACGGCCTAGAGGTCACAGGGATACTGGTTTCATCGCCTTATGCATGGGTTTCTTCCTTGGCTTGGGGTTCCTGATTAAGACTTTGCATTAGAAAGTGCCCGTAACATTGGCAATCACAACCAATGAAATTGTCCAGAATGTGCCTGCTGGTCAAACTGAACTGTAAAACCTTCACTCACTCGCTGCAATGATGTCAAACAAGAGAATCACATGTGAGTTCTTTACTGACCAAACAAGGCCGTTGTGCACTGGCTAACACCTCTTGTGACATTTGGATTAATGTTTTGGGGTGAGTCAAGAAGTTCCTATATAAAATTTAAGAACAGGAAACTTTTTGTCTAAGATGGGTTGGACTGACCAGTGGACTCTTTTCTCATAACCTGGACTTGTCTCTATAGGGGGCTGATTAGAGCATGCTACTATTAGTTATGTTATGCCTGGTTGTTGCTGTTGTCAAGCATATTGTTAACAAGGTCTTAAATGCTGTTTCCCAGCAACCCTCTTGTTGGTTCATACATCAGCTGATTCTATTTCTTTTTCTTTTCTTTTCTTTTTTTTTTGAGACGGAATCTTACTCTGTCACCCAGGCTGGAGGGCAGTGGCTTGATCTCGGCTCACTGCAACCTCTGCTTCCCAGGTTCAAGCAATTCTCCTGCCTCAGCCTCCCAAGTAGCTGGGATTACAGGTGCCCGCAACCACGCCCAGCTAATTAGCTGATTCTATTTATAAAGGAGACTTAAGTGACTTAAATGAACACAGTGAGATCTGGGACAATGGCACTGAAACCAAATCGGCAGTGTGGACCCGAACACCCGACAAATTGCTTATCCTTTATGTTCTCATCTATTATCTCAGAAAAAGGGAGAACCAAGGGGAGGATAATTTCCACTGACAGCAGTGCTTGCCTAGGTAAGAGCAAAGCTGAATGTCATGTGTCAACACAATTGGTTCGGACAAATATTGAGTGACCCTTGTGTCTCAGACCCTTGATGGATGTAACTGAAGATGTTCCTGATGCATGACAACAGGACTTAGTTTAGCCTGCTGTTTTCAGACCTCTGGTCTACCTCTATCCTATCAGAATGCCAGTCTTCCATGGTAAATTAGACTAAACACCAGGAGCTCCCCACTTCTAAAACTTACAGAGCCCTGAGTTTTCCCACAGAGAACTTGGTGAATTTCTCCACTGGAACGTGCTGTGTTGGCTGGCAAGTTTATAGGCTTGGTTTTGTCATTTTCTTTTTCATTTCTCATGTTTTATATTTTATTTTTGCCCCAACAGTAACAATATGGTTTCTGAATGTAAGAGATCAATCAGGATGCAGATTCTGCTTCTTTCTAAAAAATAAAATGAAAAAAGAAAGTTGAACTCTGGACAATCCAGTTAAAATTCTTCAAAATTTACATATGTAGGTAATGAGTTGGTGGCAACACTTTATCTTGGTTTATCCAGATTTAACTTCAGCTTTTTACTTGGCTTCATCATCAAATGGCAGGTCCCAAAATCTGTATTATGAAATAATAAACAGTGCTACGTAGCTTCTTAAACCTCACTTATTTTTATGCATTTATGACTTTTGCCATATTATTTAAGATTTTTCTTTAAATTCACTCAGTTTTTTTACTTAATTAATTTGAGAAAATAAACTTTATGTTGCCATTGTAAATGGAGAGCAATATCATCATGTAAACATAAGATAAATATACAAATAAAAACATAAGTATTTTTTGAATTGAGCTTTGTCTTGGTACTACCAGAAACATGCTTATCACAACTTGTAAAAAACTGATGTGATTCAATGGCATAGGCTTTTGGAATTCTTTCAAATGGCCAACCCATGTGTGATGCCCTAAGATCAGATGTCAGTAAAATCCAAGCCTCTGGCAGTCCAGCCTACTTCCTCCATTGTCCTGAGGCCTCTCTCTTTACGAGCATTTTATTTTTATACCTTCACAAATCTAATGCATCTGGCTTGTCCCTCTCTCTTTGCCCTGTGTCTCCCCTGGACATGCGTCAGAATTGGGTGCCCTAGCTTTGCTCTCTAATACTTAGTATATTTACTATAGTAGTTAGGATTCTGGGTTGCAAGCAATAGGAACCCAATCCCAGCTGACTTAAACAATAAAACAAGATTTATTGGAAGGATTGGGGAGACTCACAGAATTGAATGAGAAGCTGAAAAAACAGGCTCTGAAAAGAATGAGAGCCAAACACCTCCGAGGATCAAGGGCACAGGAAGAAGTGGGTAGTTTCTGCATTGTCCTCACCCTGTGACACTTCCTCTCCTGGTTATTTGGGATCATCAAGCTGCATTCATCTTTGACTTCTGGGACACCATGCCCAGCCCTTTTCAGGAAACATTACAGAATTCCAGCCTCAGCACTCAAGGGCCTGAGTCACTTAGGGCAGCTCTCTTTACTTCTCTTAGCCTCAGTTTCTTCATGTGTTAAGTGGGGGAAGATGACACTTCATGAGGTTTAGGGAAAATAGTTATGAAAAGCAAAAGCTCCTCTAGTGAAGTAAATATAAGCAGAGCCACTGGAGCTACATAAATCTGGATTCGAATCTTGATTCTAATGCACACTAGCTGTGTATCTTTGTGCGATTTATTACACTTCAATTTCCTCATCTATAAAGGGGATAATGACAATGTTTACCTTATTGTAATTAACTTTGTACCAAGCAAATAATATATGCACATTAATGTAAGTCATACAAGGAAAACAGGCAATAGATGTGATGATAGCTTTGTGAAGTTATTAATATCAATCATTCCTTCTTAGGGGTGAGTAGTGAAGCCATACCTCCTCCCAAATATAATGTAACAGGACAGTTATGAGAAACTTATGTTTTGAAGTAACCTTTTCATAGATGAGAAAGGAAGCCCTTGTTATGAATGGTGGTGCTGGATCTCAACCTCTGTGTGATCCACAAAGCTCTGCCTGCTTCAGGCTCATGTCTTTTCTGGAGCCTGAAGTGTTCTTGGCACATCTTTTATAAAAGTCGGCCTTCCTTTCTTCCTGTTGCAAATTGCATGCACATTTCTGCTCCCTGAGACCAGCCTTCATTTCTCAACCAGCCTTCTTAGCTTCCCCTCTCCCTTCTCCTTAATGAGAATAAGTTGACTTGTAATTAAGGTCATATTTTATGGACCAAGAAAGGCAGTAGCTGATGTGGCTGGGGCGGTACAGCTCCGCTCAGTGTTCCTCTGGTGGATTACCCTTGCGTTGACCATCCGTTGTTGTTTCAGGCTGGAGATAGAAGAATGATTTTGATGGCTTGAAATTAACAACTGGATTTATAGCTTGTAAATAGTCCTTGTGGCGAGATTTTCCTTTTCTGCTGTAATCCCTTCTTCCCATTCAGACCTCATTTATGCATCCCTTGCCAGAAGGATTATCCTCAGAATGGAAAACAAGAGTCTTTCTAGCATTGCAGGCTGCTTCTGCTGAGAAGCCCACAAGCAGCCTCCGTGGGTCTTTGACGTGCCCCAGTTCCGCCCTCTGGAGTGGGAGCAGCTCCGCTGGCCCACCGCAGCCTGGCTGTCTGGGGCCAGCCAAGATAGTGATCACTCACCGCGCACTCTATTTTCTTCTCTCACAGCAAGAAAGTTTCTGACCTCTTCCTATTATTTTTAATCTATCTCTTAACGTAATAGTCACTGTAAAAAGACAGGCAGTTTTCCCAGACAGTCTGGCTGTGATAGTGATGGAGGAGCTGGTTTGGAAAAATGGGAACATTTTCCAAACCGCAAAAGTCAGTCTAAGCTATTAGAGGGGTACTGAGGAGCCTGGCTGACTTTTCCTATCTTCAAATTGCACTTGCTTTTCTGACTCAAATAGGAAATAAGCAGAAGTCACCAGAGATCCCTGCTGGAAAGAAAGTTCCACATCAGAAGCAAAAGAGAGAACAATCCATGTCCAAACAGCTGTTCTGGGCTATTGGCTCTGAGGTGGGTGGATGGGCCCAGTACTAATGAGAAAGTGAGGGGAAGGACCCCGTGTTGGCTTTGTGTAACTCACACAGCTGCTGGGTAGTTGGTGAAGGGGCTTACCTCAAAACCAGTGCCCCAAGATCCGGCATGGGCAATGACATTCAGTCCCGGCCTACGTGTTATCGACAGGAACGTAAGTCTCTCTCCTTTTGCTCTTCCCCTTCCCCCAGCATCAGCCCAAAATGTTTTAGATTAACGTCAGGGTTTTAAATGTGAACGACACGTCAGCAAGCCCCTTAGATGGCATGATTTAGTCTTCTAATGTTGGATGTTTGTAGTGACTGTACATTGTACCAGCACCTTCCTCCCAGTGACATTGACATCACTCTGCTCAGATCAGTTAATTTTCCCATCACCGACTGATTCATTGGGCAGAAACCACAAGTTCACATGCCGAGGCGTGGACTGAACTCTGTGACCCCTCCATTGAAAAGGCAAAACTGTATCACTGTGTTTTCATGCAAGCAGGCACTGGGAAGCAGTTCGCTTTTCTTTCGTTAGATTTTTATTTTCCCTCTTTGTGGCAATGTAACCTTTCATGACGCTTCTTTGTAGCATCCTCAGTTGGAATTGGCCTATGGCAATCAATATTTTTGGAGCTCATTAATGGACTATGCTAAGGTGATTTCCATATACTATTTTTTAAAATTGTCAGAGCAACTTGTTGGAATAGGTGGTATGATCCTTATTGTGCCAAAGATAGGAAAGAAGTTTGGAGAGATTAGGAAATTGTCCAGCTTATAGATGAGCTAAAAATACATTGACTATAAATGATAAATTCCAAAAGAGCATGCACAAGTGTTATGTCCATTCTTCTTCTCTATACCTCTTTACCATGGTCCCTCTCTATCTCTCCTCTCTGGAAACTTCTCTGAGCAGGTTACACAGGAGAAAGGGTGCTGAGGCTTGAGCTGTCCTGACAGGACAGAGGCCAAGTTGATTCTGCAGTGTCGATCCTGCCAGCTGAGACTTGGGCTTCAACACAGCAGGCTTATGACTTGCTCTTTATCATCTGCCTTGAGTTCAAAAGAAAGATGGCAAGCACATACAGCGCCGGGGAGGGACAGATGGACTTCCACAAATGTGAACACACGCACCAGCCTGTGGACTGATGATTTCAGCCCAGCCCAAACCAAACGCTGCTCTTTGAAGGCTGCAAACTTTTCCTCATGACTCATCCTTTCTGATTCCCAGCCAACTTTCCACCATGGAAGGGCCTAAGGCCCAGCAGAAAAGTGTCTGCTTATCCTAGGAGAGGAAGTATCCTGGAGAGCCGTGAAAACGCTTCTCAGGAGATCCCCCTGCTGGCTTTTCAGATCCACCAGCTTGAATCCTTGGGGAAACATCCAAAAATTCTAGGCTCTGCTCCAAATGGAAACTGAATCCCAAATCTTTGAAACTGTGTCCACATGCATTTCAGACCACTCACTGTGAATTTGGTTATGTTGTGGTGTGAAGTTTTGGACTGATGGCCCATCATAATACTTGGGTAAAATATGAGATTTCATGCTTTTGGATTATAGTTTCCACATAGCTTCTACCTGCCAGATGCCCCTGTCTTTCTACAAGTCTTTGTAAAAATGCTTCTGCAGAATCAGCAACATTAGATCACTGGTTCAGCCGCCTGCATTGATTAAGTACCTCCATGTCCAAAGACCAACTCAAAATGGTTTAAAAGGACAGAAAGGAATAATTGGCTCAGGAACCAGAAAGGTCCAGCAGTATTTTGGCATCAGGTGAGGCTTGATCCAGGTGCTCACAAAGTATTATCAACGATTAGTTTGTTGTGTATTTTGTCTCTGCCTTTCAAGGTGTCAGCTTCATCTTTAAGTCCCAGTGGTGGCCCCTAGCAGTTGCAGGCTCTTCCCTTGCTGCAAATCCTGAGGCAAGAAGGGAGTTGTCTGCAACTATCCAGGGAAGAAGGGAAAGTTTCTCCTGACAGTTCCCAGAGAAGACAGAGCTTCACATTCTACGAGCCCCAGCTAACCTCTCCTCTCAACTCCTTTGCACTGTTTGTGCTTTGTGACCATCATCAGACCAATTCCAGGGGTAAAAGGGAGGAGATGGAGTCTTTGGCTTAGGGCAATGAAAGTCCCCCACTGGAACTGGGGTAGGGCCAATCCCCCTCAGGCCTCCTGGCTGAGAAACCTGAGGAATAGATTACCAAGGGAAATCAGGGCACTATTTCTAGGAAGAAAAGAGAGAGATGAATGTAGGGGAAGAAAATGACAAATGTACAAAGTATGCTCCCTCCTGCTGGCGTTCACATGGAAAACAGAGGAAAGAAAATTGCCCAAGGTGTTTAAAGATATTCAATGACTTCCCACTGCTCTTGAGACAAAGAAGTCTTGGCCATGACCTACAAAGTCCTGTGTGATGTGGCCAGTCGTCCCTCCAGCCCCCCGGACCCCTCCCTCACATCCTCAGCACTCCCACCACACAGACCTCAGCTCCTTGAACTTGCAGGTCTCCGCCTGCCATCAGGACTTTGCATGGACTGTGTCCTCTGTCTTCCCTCTTCACCTCATTAGCTCCTACTCAGATCTCACCTCCAGGGCCTCTACCTTAGGGAGACCTTCCCAAGGGCCCTCCCAACCAAGGCAGCCTCCTCGGATACATTGCTCTTGGCCCCCGTTCTCTTCTTTTGCAGCCCTGATGAAATCTGTTTTTCCCACTAGATGATTCCTTTCATTTTTCCAGTAAATGCCGAGTTAGCACCTCCCGTGTGTCAGGCCCCATTCTAGATGCTGGGAATAGAGCAATTAACAAGAAATGCACCCCGTTCCTTGTGGAGCCTACAGGCTGCGTCTCATGCCACATGGCTCCAATATGAAAGCCAAGATTACTAGTCTAACATGCATTGCAATGCAAACACCATGGTGCAAAAACATTAAGTAACTTATGGGAAATTGCACGTGAGATTCAACCCTCTGAAAGGGACTCTGAGCACTGTTACCAGACCTAGAAGCTTCTTTGTTCTGGGTCTGTGTTAAAATTGCATGATCCTGAGATCAGACATTTTGTGCAGCAGGAGAAGTCCGCTCCGGTTCAGTCCTCCTCCCTCAGCAGGCCAGACCCAGTCTTATTCACCCAGGGGTCTCACCTTAATAGCTCCTGAATCCCTTCCCATGAGTCCACCACAGTGCCACAGCATCAGCTGAAGCCTCCCTAACTCTCTCCTGTGAATTTGAAATGTTCTGCAAGCTCCTTGAGGGCAGGAACTTTGGTCTACTTATCTCTGAATTCCCAGCATTCTATGTGGTGTCCGCATGCAGTAGGTGCTCCATAAATGCTAATTACGTGAATCAGTGGTTTCTTTGCCTTCTTCTGTTTTTCCATCTGGTCTATTCTCCCTACTGACTTTCATCTCATTCTAACTGGTAGGACCACCTGCTGAAGAAGATGTTAATATCGACTTTACAGCAGAGAAAACTCAGATTCTAGCAGGTGAGTCCTCAGGTCACAGGCGTAAAGTCACAGCATGGAAGACCCATATTCAGTGGGCGTCGTCTTGCCACATGCTTTGACCTGTAGCTGTGGTCCCTAATCCCAGCCAAAGGCTTCACTGTTGAGCCTCAGGAAACCAGTGAACGCTCCAGGATTCCCTGCAAAATGTGCCAAAGCGTGCATACATTTGCAGAAGCAAGATCACAGCTTTCATCCGATTTTCAAAGCTATCTGGAACCAAAAAACATTAAGGATAACTGGCCTGGGGGTGTTTTCTTTCTTTCTTTTTCTTTTGACTGACACCATGCTGACACACACTGCCCCACACCAAGTCGTCTTAATAGTGGGTTCACGTGGAACAGGGGCTGCTCTCCTCCTGGGGCACCTTGGCCACCTGCCCTTGGCATCTACTATGAGTCCCAACAGCATCGGCTGGCTGCCTCAGTCACATTCCTGAAGAATATGAATAGCAGAAGAAATTGAGGATACACGAGGTAAATTTCCAGACAAGAGGAATACAGCCAGTAATATAATCCTTACATGAAGAATGAGGCTACTGTTGGAATCTCAATGCTAAAAAAAAAAAAAAATTCCAAATTACAGGGGCACGCCCAGTTAGAAATTCTGGTTTTCACAGTCTCTTTGCTTGTCAAACTTAATATCAAGGAAAATAAGCTAATTTGATTTGGCAAAGGCTCATGAAATATGGAACTGATATCTGTGGCAGCGACCTTGGATGTTTCATATAAACAGTGTTTTCCCTGCTGTGGAGGCGAGAGTTGAATAATAAACAGCATCTTTCCTTCTCCACTCACTGCCCACCGCTTCCTCAGTACCCCCCAAAACATAAAAAGTAAGTCTTTTCTGTGTCTCACAGAATTCACGGAGGCAACACTTGTTGGCTAGTTTTACAGAGCAGGGTTTCTCAGCTTTTGCACTGACATTTGGGGGTAGATAATTCTTCATCATGGGGGGCTGCCCTGTGCCTTGCAGGGTGCCGAGCAGCATCCCTGGCCTCTACCCACTAGATACCAGGAGCATCCCCATCCCAAGTTGTGACCATCGAAAGTGTCTCCAAACCTTGCCAAATATCTTCTGGGGGGAGGATCAACCCTGGTTGAGAACCACTATCATGAAGGTAAGAAAGATGGTGGTATATAATATACACACACACACACATACATACATATATATGTGTGTATATATGTATATCTATATGTGTATATATATATGTATTTCTTTTTTTTCCCTTTTCTGTCAATTTCAAGTACTAGTTGCCATCCTCAGGATCTGTTGCCTTGAAGCTCTGGCTCATCATCCAACAGATCCTTAGGTGTCCCAGGGAAGAGGCAGAACAGGTATCATCTGTTGCACCCGCCTTTGCTCCCAGGGGCTTCAGGCCTGCTTGCTGCTGCACGTCTACCTGGAAAGGGCAGCTCTCAATTGTCTCTGAGTGATTACGTACTTGATAAATCTTCTGAACTCATAGATTCCCAAAGTTCAAGAATTGCATGGTCCCTGGGCAGCTCCTTAATGCCTCCTTCTCTGTGTTGCATGGCCTTTGGTAACACGTCATAGTAAAGAGGGTTTACCTGGAGTTAGGCAGATTCATGTCAATGACGTCATGAGTCGGCTTGCACCAGCTGTGAGAGCTGATGGTTACATCTTCAGGAATTCTATAAGCCGTTTGCAGTCCTGTTGGTAGCTTGAATTTACTTATGATGAGAGTATTTACACTGCAAAAATTGGCAAATGCCACCAATCAGGGCTTCCCTCCACCCCTGCCAGCTGACTGAGTAACACATCACTGGTTCAAGTCCAGGCTTGAAACTAGGGTGGATGGCATACCCTGCTCACTGCTCACCCAATATCCATTCTGCCCTTGTTTCTTACTGAAGGAATTCTTCCTGTTTGGCCTGGCAAGGAATGCCGCAGGATAACTGCATTTCCCATCTCTCTCGCAGTTAAGAGTGCTCAAATGACGTAGCTCTGGCCAATGGCATGTAGATGGAGTTTACTAGATAGGACTTCTCAGAGACTCTTTAAAATGCAGACAAACTGGCCTGTAACTTTTACTCTCTGCTCTTTCCCTACTCTCCATGTAGATCATAGATGCTATGCCAGGTGTGGATTGGGCATCTCCCAACTACAAGGTGATTAGTGAGAGGATAAAGATCACACACGGGGAATGTGTGAACTGAAAGACAAGCAGTCTTGTCTTGATGCCTGGATGGCATCAGGAGGTCAGTGGACTCCAGCCTTGGACTCCCTACTCCAGGCTGCTTGTTGGTGGATTCAGGAATATACCACTGAATGCCACCCCTAACCAAGACCCCAGACAAATCAACTGAAAGTTTATTAGCTCTGGTTTCCCTACCTACAAAATAAAAACCTAATTCATGGGACTGCTCTGAGGGTTAAATGAGATAATGGATATAAGGAGCCTAACACAGTCCTGGCATGTGGGGTACAAGCCTCCTAATGGGTGCAAGCTGCTGTTGTTAGTATCTCCACGGTCGCCATTATCTTGGCAATAGTTAGGTGTTTGGGCATTGGCCTCCCCCTCCAGCCTTTGTGTCTTCAAGCACAAGGGCCATGTTTCGTCCACTCTCTGTCTTCAGTCTTTACCAGGTGGCCTGATATTAGCACTGATTAAGTTTATTTATTTATTTATTTATTTTTAATTTTTTTTTTGAGATGGAGTCTCACTCTGTTGCCCACACTGCAGTGCAGTGGTGTGATCTCGGCTCACTGCAAGCTCCGCCTCCTGGGTTCATGCCATTCTCCTGCCTCAGCCTCCCGAGTAGCTGGGACTACAGGCACTCATCACCATGCCCGGCTAATTTTTGGTATTTTTTAGTAGAGTTGGGGTTTCACCGTGTTAGCCAGAATGGTCTCGATCTCCTGACCTCGTGATCCACCTGCCTTGGCCTCCCAGAGTGTGATTAAGTTTTAATAATAATTATCCTTTGTTAGAGTTTTATTCATATTTCTATCCTGCCCTGTAGCACTAACTAAATTCAATTCATGCTTATTGAACGATACAGAAGAATAACACAACAATGAATGATACAAGAACGAATAAAACATTCATGCCCCCAACCTACTCTAAGGAATCCATACTCAAGTTGGGAACATAAGGAAAGCCCCTACATGACTGGATGCAAGAGAAGCATGAGGGTTCTCAGGCAACGATGAACCAAAGGCTGCATGCAGGTGGACGATGGAAGTGATGGGGGTTAAAGAAAAGGCTTCTTGGAAGAGGAGGCGTTTGGCACAGGCCTTGGAGAGTGGTAGTTCGGGGTTTCTATTATGAGGACATTATGAGCCTCATGTCTTAGATGGACGGGGTATTAGGTAGTGCAGTGGGAAACCCTGGCTCTTGTCCTGGGAATGGAGCTAAGAGGAAGTTTGGAAAGCTGGGTGGAAGGTTTGCCTGCCAGGCTGAGATATGTACATTTCACTCTCTGGAAAGTAGGGAGCCACTGAAGGTTTGAGAGCCAAGAGTGACATTAGAATTGGGATTTAGATAGATGAATCCAGCAGCCATACAGAAGTTGTTTGGAAATGGAGACAGGAGGTAGGGCACCAGTAAGCAGGCTGTTTAATAGACTAGAAAGGGGGTGCATGTTCCCCTAGCCCTGTGAACTGTTCCTTCATAGCACATGAAATCATCGCAAATTTATATTTGTTTGGTCAGTCATTTGATTAATGCTTGCCTTCCTGTCTAGACCGGAAACTCTATGAGTGGGGCATGAGTCTGTCTTAGAGACTGCTGTGAGTCCTCATCACCCAGATAGGAGATGCTCTATGAATAGCTGTCGAATGGTGAAATAAGTCAGAGAGCTGGGGTCTCACTTGTGTCTTCTGGAGCACTGAGAATCATCTCTAGGCCTTGAAAACATGGCTGGATGCTGAGAAGGCTAGTCAGTGCCCAGTCCTGGGGGGAATTGTAAAGAACTTTTAGTTGAACTCAGACATCCTAGAGATTTCAACCAAAGAGCCAATTCTGCTGCGACTTGCTGCATGATCTTAGAAGACGCTTACCATCTCCAGGTTACTGTATACAATGAAATTGAGATACACAAGCTTGAAGTCTCCCAGAGCTCTATGCATCTCATTGGGAAAAAAAGAGAGAATTTCTTGGGTACAGATTACATGCCAGACCACTGAGCCAAGGACTTTCCCTGTGTGATCTCATTTAATCCTCAGAAGAACTCTTGAGATTGGTGAACATATCCCACTAACTCAGAGGGCAGCCAGGGTACCCTGCCTCTTATGTTCTGAATCGCCCGGCTCTAGGGAGCAAACCAGGCTCCACATTTTCATACCTGGGTGTCCTCGGGAAAGTGACTTAGCTTTCCTGTGCCTCGGTTGCCTCATTTGTAAAAGGGGCCTCCAAAGTATTACCTCACAAAGGAATGGAAAGAACTCAAGTAAAGAATGCATTTAATTCATGTGTGGCCCCTCTGCCTCGTCCTTAGAGGTCAGTCATGTCAGCTCTTAATATAGTGAGATACCCCATGGAATTGCAAAGCCGTTTCCAAGAGTTCCATGCATTTATACAGGGCTGAGACGCTCACGATCACCTCCCTCTAAACTACGTGCTGCTATTTCCTGAATATAACTTTTTTTAAAAATTTTATTATTATTATACTTTAAGTTTCAGGGTACATGTGCACAACGTGCAGGTTTGTTACATATGTATACATGTGCCACGTTGGTGTGCTGCACCCGTTGCTGAATATAACTTTTAAAATCATCTCACTGTATACAACTCAAGTAAATCTATTTCAAAAGGACTTCAGACGGCTACTGCAATGGCGATGTGGTAGCCAGGACAACTGTGAGACGTGGAGGCAACTGAAAAAATAAATGTAAGACAGGCAAAATAAAAGCCTGGCTGCCTGCAGAAAGCCATATGCCCGGTCCCTTGTTGTCAAAGAGGGAGGTCTTTAGGCTTCAGAGAGGTATCAGAGGGGTAGCACTAGACAGAAATAGAACTGAGAAGGGAATCATTTCTCTATGTTTCAATCCAGCGTACCTAAATGCTATGTGAAATGTACCATACAGACCCACCCCCAACTCCCCGAGTGTGTGAAGTACCACGCCAGGCTTTCCTGCTTCTTGGCTGGAAGGCCATTTCCCCAGGCCGTGGCGATGCCTGCAGCTAGGCAAAGTCAGCCTCTTCAGTATTCCCCTCTCCCCGCTCCTCCATCTTACTTGATCTGGGACATTATTGTGGGAGCAAGGAAAGCAGCCGGGTCCTTTAATCTCCTGCATTATGGAGGGATATTTTTTAAAATCCCATCGTTTTCTTTTTCATCTCTATTACCCATTTTAACTACTTAATTTGCCAAGTTCCTGTGAGCTGCCTATTGATAATTGATAGATTGTTCCTTCCTTTCCAATTTCCGCTGTTAGTTATCCCAGGAAGTTTATTTGTGCTTTGCATGTAACCCAATAGGTTGGAGAGTGCCCGGCTGGTTTGTGGGCCTGTGTAAATTAATACTGTCCAGAAATGCAGAGGCGAGATCAGCAGGCCCTCGACCAGGAAGCTATCCGGTTGCTTCCTGGCAGGCTTCTCTTCATTGAAACGGCCGCAGCGGAGGCACGGGGACTTCCCCTTGCTTTAATGGCTTTGAGTGGCCATCTGGGGGAGATCATTGATGCCAGGCCTGGCTCTTCCCTCAAGCCAGGAGGTTTTCTTTGGTCACATAGATCCCACCTCCACTCCAGTCCCACAACCTGGGCTTTTACAAAGTAGGGGTGGAGATTTCTAGCTAAGGACATTCATTTTAAGAGATCTCAGTTTCTCAGCCTCATCCAGTTCCTCTTGTTTGTTTGCTTTTTGCTGTTATTTGTTTTTCTTTCTCCTTTTGGGGTTTATCTAGGCAAGAAGCATTAACTATATAGAGAAGCGTCTCCAGTTGGGGATTTTGATTTGGGGCTTGATCACTTCTAGAAGTTGTGGGCGATTAACACTTCTCTTATGCTGTTATGTTTGAGTATGAATTCCTTAGGATGGGGTGAAGACAAAATGTTTTATTCATTTTTATGTTGTTCATTGTTGTGTTATTCTTCTGTGTTGTTCAATAAGCATGAGTTGAATTAAGTCAGTACTAAGGAGCAGGATAGAGATAAAAGAACTTCAGACTATTTCTTTTTTCTTTTCTTTCTTTCTTTTTTTTTTTTTTTTTTTTTTCTGAGACGGAGTCTCACTCTGTCGCCAGACTGGAGTGTAGTGGTGCAATCTCAGCTCACTGCAACCTCCACCTCCCAGGTTCAAGCAACTTGCCTGCCTCAGCCTCCTGAGTAGCTGGGACAACAGGCGTGTGCCACCATGCCCAGCTAACTTTTGTATTTTCAGCAGAGACGGGGTTTCACTGTGTTGGCCAGGCTGGTCTCCAACTCCTGACCTCATGATCTGCCCGCCTCGCCTCCCAAAGTGCTGAGATTACAGGCATGAGTCACCGTGCCCTGCCAGACTATTTCTATTGAAACTGCTGAGATAATCTTTTGAATCCAAAAGTAAGTACGATCATTGAGTCCATTGTAAGTATGATCTCCAGATTTTCACTAATCAGTTGTTTGAAAACCTGGAGATCATACACACAATGTCAAAGTTTTAGCTTCTGTTGAGGAATTGGGAGAAAGAGCAACCCTTCATCTACTTTCCTACAGAGAAACAAATGAAAGTGCTGGGAAGGGGCCACCTGGTCTTGCCTGGGGTCCACTCTCCTTCTGACCACAGCCTCAACAATGGGCAGTGTAAGACAATGGTCTTAGATGAATCACAGGTGCGTATTGCCTTTTGGGTCCTGTTGGTGACTGAGTTTTGGATCCCTGGCCTGTGCAACCCAAACTGTCGAGGCGGCACTCTCTCTTTTAGGGCACATTGGATTTGCTCACACCGCTGTCAGATATCCATTTCCGTTTATTTTATTCTGTAGTGACATAATCATAGTCCCTGATCCCTAACATGAAATAAAGGACATTCTTGGCCTTTGCATTCTACATTTTTCTTTTCATTTTAAACAAGAATTTTATTTAAACAACAAGACACTTGACTTGAAGGGAAAACTATCTAGGATTGTTTTTTGTTTTAGAGTAATTTATCCCTACCTAAAGACAGATTGCGCTACATGCAACAGCTACATACAAAAAAGTTACACAATTGTCCTTGGTTTTACAATGATAAATGAAAAACATTAAAATTCTCTAGTTGAACAAGGTATGCAAGGATTTTTATATTTTTGTTGTTGTTAAAACAGTGAGAGCAAAATAACTTACTGGAATATAAAGATAAGAGCTGAATGAGCATGCCACTAATGGAGGAAGGGGATATTTTCACAGAATCAGTATTTTTCCCCATCCCGTCTCCACTTGATGTCAATCAAAACATACCATTGGCTGTTTAGTTAAAAAAAATGCAATATGCTTGTGCACATATACCAGTTACTTTACATACAATAAAGGAATGGGGAAGGCGGAAGTGAAAGAATAGAGAAAACTATATGGTAGTAGTCAGGATGTGGTGGAACCAAGTTGCAGTTTTCTAATTGCGAATGTAATCTTGGTCTTTAAAGAACAGAGTTCTGGAGTAAAGAAGCAGGTTCCCTTTTCAGTAGACACCTCCCATCTGCTGTTGGAACGCATCAATTGTATCTCCATCCTCCATTTCCAACTGTGCAGGTGTGTCTGTTTCATTGATAGGTTGCCCGTCGAATCAGAATCTGATCTGCCTCATTGACAATCCCTGTCATTCACAATAGGCTTTCATTAGTTTACTAAGTGGTGTATGCCTCTTAATCTTAAACTGTGCCACAGAACCGTCCTGCCCCGCCACCTTCAAATTAATATGATCGTTGTTCTCAGTCTTGACTCCTTCCTTGGGCTTTTCGTCGGCCATGGTGAGCACCGGAGTCTCCTCAGCTGCCGCTTCACAAAAGAGGTACCAGGTCCGTACCAAACAAGCACACAAGCAGCACCAGGAGGCTTCATTCTACATTTGATGAGTGTAGGAACTATTCTGCATGTGCCAAAGTGTAGAAATCCTAAAATGAGTTACTTTGCACCTGTCTACCCCCATTGGAGTGAGAGTGTCATGAAGGTGGGACAGGGAGCTTGTCTGTAATTAACTGCTGCTCAGCCCCTTGCATTTAACACAGTATCTGGCTCATCAAAGAAGGAAGGAAGGGTTAAATGAATGAATGGCATAATCTCTGTCCTCAAGGAACTCACCCTCTGTAAACATACCAATGCAATGTTCTGCAATAGGAGCTCTGAGATGGAAGGAACAAGGGACTCTAGAAATTAAGGGAAGGGGTACCTGACCCAGCAGGGGGAAGGTCAGAGAAGTTTTGAGAAGGACGCAGTGATATACGAGCAGGGACTTACAGGGTGAATATAGTGGGTCAGCCTTCAAGGCAACAAGTATTGAGAGGTGGAGGGAACAGAATGTGCAAAAATAGGAAAGCACAGAGCACAGACATGGACATTGCTCCCTCACTAGACTGTGGGCTACCTCTTGCTCACTGTTTTCCCAGAGTCTAGAGTAGTGGTTGGCAAAAACTAGACATTCAGTAATTCAGTAAGTGTTTGTTAAATGAGTACGTGGAGGAGTAAGGAATGAAGCTTTAGCTGTGATGTAGACATGGCATTGAATCAAGCTTGAATGCACTGGAATGCTGGGGTGAGGATAGAGAGGAAGGGATCTATCTGATAGTGGTTTGAAATTAGTGGAGACGGTAGAGATGGGTTGGTTGGGTGAGCAAGTATGAACACGCTCTGCTTTATCCTATCCTGAAGACCATATAGGCTCTGTAAGGAGGATCTCAAAAAATCTCAAACCCAACTCCTGGGACCTTCCAGTTAAACCCCAGAAACACACCACCTCCTCTGCATTTTTCAGCAGAGCAAAAGGTTCTAGGCTATTTGGATTCAAAAGATTATGTCAGCCTTTCCCTGATTTAAGCCTATTAGCTCAAATTTAGAGGCTAGGAGCAAAGCAGTCAATCAGTATCTACCACGTTCTCTGGCGCACTTAGGGTAATGATTTTATATACTCTGCTCAGTTCTTGAGGTTGGGGGTGGGGGTGAGGGGCAGGAAACATTATTTCCTCTATTGAAATCTCCAACTACATCTATCATTCAGTCAGTGAGTTGTACGAGGACTGTGCCATGCCAGAAGGCTTTTCCATCACACTTATCACATCTCTTGAGGCAGGTGCTATGAGTGCCGAGTGCCAGCCTCTGTTTACTCTAAAAGCTGAGATCTGAGACCTTGTGCCTGCTCCCAACACCTGTCATGGTTCTACTGTCTTGCACTCTGTGAACCAACCCTATGCCACCCACAGTGCATCTGGGGCCCTGAACTGCCCCAGAGGGGAGAGGTCCTTCAGGAAGACTATCCTTCCTTTTGTTCCATCATGGTAAACCTGCCTTTCCCTGAATAACTTTGTCTTAGGTTTGTTCCTTAGAAGCAGAGCCTGGGATAAGGATTCTTGTGCAAATAAATTACTGAGGAAGTATTCTGCGAGAAAATGTGGGAAGCAGCAGTGGAAGCAGGATAGGGCAGGGGAAGAAGATAACTAAAATGTGGTTTCCAGAGAGTCCTGATCCGGGGAGGAACTCTGGAGCGGGAATTGGACTCCAGGGCTTATCCCACCCAAAGGAAGGGAACTGGCTGTCAGTCCTGGCCATGGGAAAGTGCAAGGCCAGTGGGGTGGGTGGTGGGTGGTGAAACTCTGAGGCAGCTCTGGTCAGCCCAGGGCAACCCCCAGCCCAAGGCAATCCCTAGGAAAAGGAAGCAGACACCCAGCAAGGGTACTGGGTGGGGCACTGACAGTATCTGCCGCATACCTGCTGACCGCCAAAGGCAGATGCTTTAGAGGTTATCATCTCAACAAATAGATCCAGCGCCAAATCCTACCTCCTCCACTCAGAGCAAGTGACCTCAGGCAAGTCACCTAACCTCACAGAGCCTCCATTTCCACTTTTGCAAAATGGGAATAGTGTGAATTTCTAACTTCCAGGATTGTTAGGATTTAGCAAGACAATCCAAGTGAAAGAGGTTAGCATAATGCCTGGCCCTTGGTAAATCCTGACAGCTGTTATGACATTTCTTGCCACTGCTGGTATCCTAACAGGTTCAAAGTTAGAAAAGGTTCTGCCCAACTGGGGTTCTGATCTTTTGCTGAAGGATTCCTTATTCCTCTGAAGCACAAAGGGACGTTTTGCTAGAGGGTAACACTGGAGAAATAGTATGTTTATGCGTAGTATGCATATTTTTGAAAGCTAAGCTTGGTAGGAGCCTAGTTACAAATCTGGTTGGCATTTGGCAGGTCATGACACATCCTTGGGGTCCAAAGCCTCCTAAGAACTTCTTAAAAAAGAATGAGTTGTTCAAACAGCCTTCGCCAAGAAGTATGTCAACAGTCAATACCTTATTTCCCATGTGAACATCATGCAAATACAGAGCCATAAATTGCTTGCAAATTGCTGTTGCCAGTTAACCAGAGTACTTACAGGAGAAGCTTCCTTCCCTAAATTCTTAGCGAGTTTTTGATACGAAATGTAAAGATTGTTACTATTAAATTTTTATTTTATTTTGACACAGAGTCTCGCTCTGTTGCCCATGATGGAGTGGAAGGAAGGAAGGAGGGAGGGAAGGAAGGAAGGAAGGAAGGAAGGAGGGAGGGAGGGAGGGAGGGAAGGAAGGAAGGAGGGAGGGAAGGAGGCAAGGAAGGAAGGGGGGAAGGAGGGAAGGAAGGAGGGAAGGAGGGAAGGAAGGAATGAGGGAAGGAAGGAGGGAAGGAAGGAGGGAAGGAAAGAAGGAAGGAAGGAATGAAGGAGGGAAGGAAGGAAGGAGGGAAGGAAGGAGGGAAGGAAAGAAGGAAGGAAGGAATGAAGGAGGGAAGGAAAGAAGGAAGGAAGGAAGGGAAGGAGGGAAGGAAAGAAGGAAGGAAGGAAGGGAAGGAGGGAAGGAAAGAAGGAAGGAAGGGAAGGAGGGAAGGAAGGAAGGAGGGAAGGAAGGAAGGAGGGAAGGAAGGAGGGAAGGAGGGAGGGAAGGAGGGAAGGAAGGAAGGGAAGGAAGGAAGGAGGGAAGGAAGGAGGGAAAGAAAGAAGGAAGGAATGAAGAAAGGAATGTAGGAAAGAATGAAGGAGGGAAGGAAGGAGGGAAGGAAGGAGGGAAGGAAGGAGGGAGGGAAGGAGGGAAAGAAGGAAGGAGGGAAGAAAGGGAAGGAAGGAAGGAGGGAAGGAAAGAAGAGAGGAAGGAAAGAAGGAAGGAATGAAGGAAGGAGAGAAGGAAAGAAGAGAGGAAGGAAAGAAGGAAGGAAGGGAGGGAGAGATGTTCTAAGTTAGAATGGAAATTACCACATTAAAAAATGCAAACTAATCTATGGTAGTATAAAGCCGATCAGTGATTGTGTGTGGTTGGGGGGAAGGGAAGAGATGGATTACAGACAAGCTTGAGGAAACTTTTGCAGGGGGATATGTTTGTTATCTTGATATTGAGGGTTTCACAGGTATACAGATAATGCATTAAATTGTGCTTTTTAAATCTGTGTAGCCGTTAGCTGTCATTTACACTGTGAAAAAGTTGTAAATAACAAAATGAATGACTTCCCTGTTTTTTAATACTATCTTTTAAAAAATTGATGGTGGATATGTTCCCAGCTTGAAATGTAGGAGCATAAGATCTGTCATCAGCCAATAAGAAAGGACAGCTGGGTCTCCTGATGTGACTTATATGCCTTAACAGTTCCAAGAACAGGGATGCCTACTTGTCTATGCATTCCTTAAAACTGGGTGTGTGGGCAGTGCTCTGGGAGGAAGCTCTCCAGCCCCTATCTGAGATTTCAAGAGATAGGTTATCTTAAAAATCTAGAGACTGGGCCAGGCGCAGTGGCTCACACCTGTAATCCCAGCACTTTGGGAGGCCGAGGAGGGAGGATCACCTGAGGTCAGGAATTCAAGACCAGCCAGAAACCCGTCTCTACTAAAAATACAAAATTAGCCAGGCATGGTGGTGCATGCCTGTAATCCCATCTACTGGGGAGGCTGAGGCAGGAGAATTGCTTGAACCTGGGAGGCAGAGGTTGTGGTGAGCTGAGATCCTGCCATTGCACTCCAGCCTGGGTAACAAGAGCGAAACTCAGTTTCAAAAAAAAAAAAAAAAAAATTAGAGACTGTTCATGGTGGCTCACACCTATAATCCCAGTGCTTTGGAAAGCCGAAGGGAGAAAATTGCTTGAGCCCAGAAGTTCAAGACCAGCCTGGGCAACATAGTGAGACCCTGTCTCTACAATTTTTTGTTTGTTTGTTTTTTTAATTAGCCAGACATAGTGGCACATGCCTGTAGTCCAAGCTACTCAGGAGATTGAGGCAGGAGGATCACTTAAGCTAAGGCCGTGGCGAGCTATGATTTTGCCACTGCATTCCAGCCTGGGTGACAGAGTTAGTCCCTGTTTCAAAAAAAAAAAAATTAATAAATAAAAAAATTTAATCTAGGTAATCCTGTGCCAAGATAATCCAATGTGTGGATTCCTTTGGTGGAAATCCGGTTTCAATGATGTGCTTTAGAGAAGCTTGTAAATATTTGCTGAATTGAATAGAATATTAAAGGTTTTTTAAATCTTCCTTGATTGAGCTGGTGGTTTTCCCAATTTGCCTGACGTTGAAAGGAAACATGTGGGGCTGGAGCCCTTTCAACTCTCACTGGGAGGCTGGACAGAGGACTTGGGTGAGACATTTAGTGTCTCAGTGTGGAAAGGGCTCCAGCGCCAAGTTCATAGGAGGACTCTAGACTCCTGCCTTCTCCCTGCAGCTGAGGGTGTCCCCATCCCTCACATTCTGCTTTCTAAGCTATGAACAAGTAAAACACACACACTGACACCAACACACAACTGTGAGGCATTAGTAGAAGTGAAATCTTTTTTTTTTTTTTTTGAGATAGAGTCTCACTCACTCTTTTGCCCAGGCTGGGGTGTAGTGGTGTGATCTTGGCTCCCTGCAACCTCCGCCTTCCAGGTTCAAGTGATTCTCCTGTCTCAGCCTCCTGAGTAGCTGGAATTACAGGCACGTGCCACCACCCCCAGCTAATTTTTGTATTTTTAGTAGAGACGTGGTTTCACCATGTTGGCCAGGCTGGTCTCGAACTCCTGACCTCAGCTGATCTACAGGCCTTGGCCTCTCAAAGTGCTGGGATTATAGGCATGGGCCACCATGCCTGGCCTGAAGTGAAATCTTGCTCCCATCCATCCATTCATCTATCCATCCATCCATCCACCCATCCATCCATCCATCCATGCTTTTATCTATCCAAGAACTCTCTGCTGAACACCTACTATGTTTCAGGTGAAGTGCAAGGACTAGGTGATCAAAACAAGCACAACGCCTGCCCTCAGGGAGTTTACATTCCAGAGCAATCGACACAACGGTCAAATCACTAGAAACCAAAGGTAAAATTACAAGTCGGGTAAGTGCTATAAAGGCAAAATAAATGCCTGTAAACAGCAAATCATGGGGAGATTTGGCTTAATCATGAATACTAAGAAGGACGGCTTCCTAGAAGTGATAAGACATTTGAAAGAAGAGTAAGAGCTAACCAGGTAAAGAAGGAAATTTGAAGGAAGAGTAAGAGCTAACCAGGTAAAGAAGGTCGGGAGCATTTCAGGCAGGAGGGATGGCATGTGCAAAGGCACGGTCGGGGGTGGGGGGAAGCATGGTGCAATGGAAGAATTGACCAAGGACCTCTGGGGCTGGAACTCAGACAGCAAGGAGAAGAGAAATCAGCAAGATAAGTGGCGACCAAGACGCATGACTCATTACAGGCCATGGTGAGGAAGTGCCAACTATCAATTTCCCCAGAAGACCACCAAGAAAACGAACAAAACAAAATCCAAGCGAAACAAAACGAAAGGCACATTTGTCCAGCAAAGCTAGGTTTACCAGACCTACTGCAATAAGGGAGAACACACCATTAACAGAGTTTTAGTAATGTCTTCAAAGGGAAAGGTCAGGGGAGGAATGTTTATAGAATTTTAAGGCTTGGACTGGAGGACTGAAGCCTGGTTTTACAAGGCTGAGAATTAGCTGGGATTAGGCAGAGCTGATACCATAGTGGCCTCAGATCTGTGGACTCAGTGAGGAGAGAGTCTCGCTCTGTCACCCAGGCTGGAGTGCAGTGGCATAATCTCAGCTCACTGCAACCTCCACCTCCCAGGTTCAAGTGATTCTCCTGCCTCAGGCACCCAAGTAGTTGGGATGACAGGCATGTGCCACTACGCCCAGCTAATTTTTGTATTTTTAGTAGAGACGGTTTTCACCACGTTGGCCAGGCTGGTCTTGAACTCCTAACCTCAAGTGATCCACCCACCTCAGCCTCCCAAAGTGCTGGGATTACAGGTGTGAGCCACCACTCCCGGCCAAGGAGAGTCTTAAAGTGAGGTTTGTCATTTGTCTTCTTACATAAATAAGCTCTTTCAGTTGGTTCAAATACTTATCTCCAAGGAGCAGGTCTTTCTTACAGTACATAACTGGGTGATCTTTACTTACCCTCAGTAGTGCTTAAGAATGGGCTGAAGGCTGGGCACCATGACTCATGCCTGTAATCTCAGCACCTTGGGAGGCCAAGGCAGGTGGATCATGAGGTCAGGAGTTCAAGACCAGCTTGGCCAAGATGGTGAAACCCCATCTCTACTCTCTACTAAAAATATAGAAATTAGCCGGGTGTGGTGTCGGACGCCTGTAATTCCAGTTACTCAGGAGGCTGAGGCAGAGAATTGCTTGAACCCGGAAGGTGGAGGTTGCAGTGAGCTGAGATCATGTCACTGCACTCCAGCCTGTGTGATAGAGTGAGACTCTGTCTCAGAAAAAAAAAAAAAAGAATGGACTGAAAAGAATGCCCGGCCTAGTATTAACACAGCAGCAGGGAACAGGTTGCTTTCAGTTCTGAGTTTTGATATTATCCTAAGTGCAAGGGCAAATCGTGAATGGGTTTTGCATTCCCCTTTACTTCTGTCCTGGCCATGGAGTAGTGGAAGGAGCATAGGATCAGCCACCATCACAATGTCACTCTCTCATCTGTCTGGTGGGAACATAGGAAAAGATGGCTTCCTATTTTTTTTTCCTTGCCTATATCCAAGTTTTTTTTTTTTTTTTTTTTTTTTTGGAGATGGAGTTTTGCTCTTGTTGCCCAGGCTGGAGTGCAGTGGCACAAACTCAGCTCACTGCAACCTCCATCTCCAGGGTTCAAGCGATTCTCCTGCCGCAGCCTCTCAAGTAGCTGGGATTACAGGCATGTGCCACCGTGCCCAGCTAAGTTTTATATTTTTAGTAAGACGGGGTTTCGCCATCTTGGCCAGGCTATTCTCAAACTCCTGACCTCAGGTGATCCGCCCACCTAGGCCTCCCAAAGTGCTGGGATTACAGACGTAAGCCACCATGCCCAGCCCCAACTTTTATCTTTACGTGTCCCTCTGTGTTAGCAGTGGTTGGGAGGAGACACTTAAGGGCAAAACAGCCTTGTATTCCTTACTCAGTGCTGTCACTTGGTATGTCTGACCCTCAGCCTATTTCATAAGGTCTAAGCAGTTTCCTCATCTCTAAAGTAAGGATAATAACAGTATTTACTTGACTAGAGTTGTAGTGCAGATTAAACGAGATCTGTGTGTAAATCCCTAGTGCTGCCTGATATATGACAAGTGCAGGAACATCAATTACTGCGGTTATTTTCACATTGAGCTACAGAGCTGAGAAGGCCTCCAGAAGCCCCACGTCATCCCATGGCCCTCTAAAGGCAACTGCTAACTAATTTGCCGAGGAATCTTGTCCAAGTCACTGCTGGGGTGATCTCAAGTATTTTGCTTGGCCTGCAACGCTGCCTCTGCTCCCAAAACCCAGGACCTTGCCTGTCGTGGTGTTTCTTCTGGCAATGCATCCTAACGGGCCATGTGCCCGAGTCTTTTCTCCACAACAAGTCTGCAAGTGACGCGAGGGCAGGGAATGTGCTTCCAGAGCTTTTATTCTGCACGCGGTAAGAGCTCAAGGGCTCAGTTCATTCAAATGACATGTCTCGAGACCCACTCTGGGCCGCAGCTGGGTGGGAAGCATTCTTAGAACCTGCTCCTGGGGTCCTCCCCTGAGTGGAAGGCAAAGAGCCCAGACAATGTTCTCGTAGGGTAAAACACTCACCAACTGAGGCCTTAAGGAGAGACTTATAGAAGGAGTGAAGCTTCAACAGGGTTTATCAAAACATGCTTATACATTATTGCTTTAACATAAGTAAAACATGCAAATGGCAAAAATGGAAATAGTTCTGAAATAGGTGAAGAAAAGTAAGTCTTCCTCCCAATCCTGCACGTTTCCTCCCAGAGGCCCCTGCACTACTTCTAGGTTCTACCTGCAAATCTCAGCACAGACATCCCTTCTATAAACTTCTCCCCCAGCACATTACGTGCTTTCACTTAATTTATAACTTGGGGATGGTTTTTTATCGGTCTACACTCATCTCCGTCATTGTTGTTAATATAATTAACTGTACATGAGCAGATTCCATTGATAGAGACAGAATGGCCATTTCCTGTTGTTGTTGTTGTTTTTTCCTGCTGTACCCAATCATGCTTCAATGAATAATTTCTTAGAGCGCTTATGTGAGGAGTGCATAAAAACATATAGAAAATTCCCAGAAGTAGATTTGGCTGGATTGAAATATGTATGCATGAACATTTTTTTTTTTTTTTTGTAGAGTTGGGGTCTCACTGTAGTGCCCAGGCTAGCCTGGAACTACTGGCCTCAAGCAATCTTCCTACCCTGGCCTTCCAGAGCACTAAGATTACAGGCATAAGTGACCACACCCAGCCCTGCAATTTTGATAGATATTTCCACATTGCCTTTCCAAGAAACAGTAAGCGTGTGTGACCCTTGTCAACAACCAGTGATGGTTGAGCAGGGCATGGAGGGTTTCCTAGCAGGTTTTCAGGTGGATCAGGTGGACCCCTGACCCTAGAAGGATGCGAGGGAAGAGGATCCCCGGTAGGGGGCACAGCCTGTGTCCGGGCATGGCGAGCTGGTGTGTGGAGGGAGTCCCCGGGGAACATGAGTGTTCAGTGCAAGAAGACAGGAGTAAGGCAGCCAGGTGGGCAACCTGGGCCGGCTGGGAGGACCCTGGACATCTTGCTGCCCTGCTGGGACAGCTCCTTGCAGGCCCTTGGGAGATTGAGGGGGTTTTAAGGAAAGTAATGCGATCAAATTTCTTTTTAAGAAGCAGCATTCTGGCAGAATGCAGAGAGGCTAGAAGAGAAGAGATTGGGTGAGGGGATACAGTAATCGTCCTGAAGAAAAATGATGAGACTTGAAGGAAGGGGAAGTTTTGAGACGTCAGACCAGGGAAAGCTTTGAGAGCTCTTTAGGAGGTAGGTTAGACAAACAATAGCTTAGTTTACCTACTATTTTGAGATTCCTTATCTATGTGATTTTCTCAAAAACTTGAAATATTTAAAAAAGCATCATTTTCATGTTTTGTGTAACTCTGGTAACATATTTTTTATTAGTCTATTTGCATAACAGGCCCAGTGTACTATGAGAGCGAACCCAGATGGAGTCGGGTTGGTATGGTGGTCTCAGGAGACCCGGGTGTGGCTATTTAGAAAGAATATCCAGTTCTCTTGGCATAAGTAAAGGGAATAAGGATGCCAGGATTGGGCTGAGGATTAAGTCTCCACAACTCTTTTGAGGGTTTATAAAAAATTTCCTTCTCTCACAGCCCAGGTGACAGAGGGAGACTCTGTCTCAAAAAGAAAAAAAAAAATTTCCTTCTCTCAGTCAAAGGCAAAAGAAATAATCAAGTTACTTTTCTGTGAAAGTTCCAAAAGTTCCCCATTGTCTCAAAAAAAGGCACGAAGTACTTACCTATGTTCTAGGGGTCACGAAGGACAGCTTATAGACATACGCAAGCGCTTATGCCCATTTCGCAGAGGACATTACTGAGGTTCCGAGAGAGGAAGTGGTTGCAGACTCAGAAATAGAGCCCAGCTTAGTAAAAGCCTGCACCCAGACTTGGGAGATCCTGGATATTTGGATGATGGCAATAGGTCTCTCTAGAAAGTTCCCTGGATTAAGACCTTTTGTGGAAGGCCACCGACCCCCAGAGGATTTAAGCAACAAGGTTCCACATTCAGAAAGCATCATCCTAAAAGAATTGTCTTCTGAAAATATTGAGTCCTTCGGGCCTGTGTTGAGTCTGAGGTTGAATGGTATTGATTTGTTGTACAACAGATGCTCAATATTAGTTCTCCAAATTAAATGTCAGTTGATTTCAAAGGTAGTGGGCACAAGAATGACCTGGAGAAATGGTAATGTAAAGAAACGTAAAGAAGAAAGTCAGCTGCTCCGAGCTGGTGCCTGTGGACAAACACCAGGAAAATAGAAAGCAGGTTGGTCTGAGGACCCCACTGGGAGAAACACTGCTGTATTAGAAAGTTCTATTAATTGAAGCACAGCTAGTTCTAATATAATTGTCACATGGAATTATTCCTGTAGTCAAGGAAGAAGAAATTAATAAGAAAATGAGCTCACAATTGGGAATGCTGGTGTCAAATTTTGCAAGTCAAATGGTCAGGTAGTGACTTAGACATTTGCCTGATTCAGTTCAGTGTTCTCTGGAAGGTATTGACTTGGTCCAGGGAAAAGAGTGATACATTGAGAATAATGGTCACTAAGGGAGGAGACAAACAGTATTTTCATTCACTTCATTTCCTTCTGACAGTTAGAAAACCTACCTTCTGCTTCAGCATGTGCTGGGCACTGGAGACACAGGACGAATCCGATGCAGCCTCTAGGAGTTGGTAGTTATTAGAAGCGAAGGACAGCAAGCTGGAGGAAAGGCGGTAAGGAGTGGAATCGAGGTGAAAGGAGGGAGGAAAAGAGAGAGGACAAAGGAGAACAGTAGAATTGAGGAAGAGCAAACATTTCCCAGTGCTACTCCCAAAGGTCCTTAACTGTGAGCCAAGCCTCCCAGGTTGCTGCAGCGAACTCAGAGGGTGTTCCAGGCTATTTTAAATTTCAAGGAAAAGCACAGTGAGCCTTCGATTTTTTTTTTATTTTTGTTTTTTTTTGAGATGGAGTCTCATGCTGTCACCTGGGCTGGAGTGCAGTGGCGTGATCTCGGCTCACTGCAACCTCTGCCTCCTGGGTTCAAGCGATTCTCCTGCCTCAGTCTCCCAAGTAGCTGGGATTACAGGTGCCTGCCACCATGCCAGACTAATTTCTGTATTTTTAGTAGAGACGGGGTTTCACCATGTTGGCCGGGCTGGTCTCCAATTCCTGATAGGTGATCTGTCTGGGCCTCCCAAATGTCTGGGATTACAGCCGTGAGCCACCGCACCCGGCTTGATCCTTGATTTCTACAGCACTCTGTGCACTACTAGCCTGAGGTAGCTCCCAGTTTCAGTGTTAGATCGTGCTGCATTGTTTTTGATGACATCATAGCTTTGGTTTTCTGCAGTTGCTGTAATAAAACCCAAGTAGAGCAGGAAAATCAATGTGGAATTGGAAATGAGGATGGTGGTGTCTCTGCTTCCCAAGGCTTGAGAAGTTGTGGGGTACCCAGCAAGCACACATGTCACTTACTTTGTTCTTAAGTAATCATGGCTATTGAAGAATGAAACAAACATATTATTGTTCTTTCTATTTATGTGTGCTATTTTTTTTTCAAATTGCTACTAAATTGTTAGGATATGGATACTTATTAACTCCTTTGGAGCTAATTGCTTAGTGAATAGAACTTTTAGATATTTCTTTTTGCCTAGGGGCACCATCAAATGCTGAAATGCTCAGGGCACTGAACAGAGAAAGTCTGGGAGCTGTTCATTACTCTGTTCTTTAATTTAATTCTTGTACTGACACTATTAGTTAGGTACTATTATTCTTTTTTACTTTTAAGAAAACAGGTTCAATGAAGACCGACATCCTACAACTAGTTAGTGCTAGAAAGAGAAATGCCTCTAGAACAGCCTGACAGAATGTTTGTGTTCCTGGCCACTACTCTTAGCTCTCAGATACTTAGGATGTCCAATTAGCCAGTGCACCCTAAGCATTAGGAAAGCTTAGTTTTACTGAATTACTAACAAGGCCACATTATTCTTTCATCCTATTAAACTGCACCCGCGTCTTATCCTCTAATTTGAAATCCCTTGATGTCTGGGCAGCGCAGCCCTGTGAGTCAGATCGCTGGCTCCACTGCTGTGATCGTGGACAGGAACAGAGCCCTGGGGACCCATGGAGTCATATGCCCTTTAAATGTGGCCAGGCCCTTTTCCAGGCACCAGTAGGTATTCTTTCTGAGGAATGAGAAAAACTTGGAGAGAGTTCAGAAAAAAAAAAAAAAAAAACAGCCACTGTGATCACAGGGTGGGAATCAAAGAATATTACAGTGTTAGAAACTAGCTAATCAACCCTTCATGACACCAAGGAGAAAACA